>NC_000011.10:119899697-120202727 GCF_000001405.40 Homo sapiens | reverse complement strand
CCAAAGTGCTGGGATTACAGGTGTGAGCCACCATGCCCGGCCCACACATCGTTCTTAATAAAGTTATAGAGCACACCATGGTGTAAAGAGTTGACAGCGTACTCTAATCATTTGTTGGTTATTATTTTTCTACTATACAATCTTGTAGAAAAGATTTAAAAGGAGACTACAAATTGTGATTCTGATGCTTTTTGCAGAGTTTGAATGCTATGCACTTAAACTCTGATTTATGCCTTCAGCCAGGTTCCTCTCTAGCAGCCCCCTGAGACAGAGTGTCCTGTATATCTCTTTTCATGTCTGTGAAGGGAAAAGACCCCATAATGTCCCGAGGGGACTCAATTACTGCTGTACAAACACAGGATCTTAGCTACTTTCAACTAGAAATTTCTTTCTCATGTACAACACAAATGTCCTTGACTTGAATGTAAACTTTCCACCCTTTCCTGAGTGTGAACAGTTTCTCTCACCTGCACATCGTGTGTGCAAATCAAAAGAGTATGATCCATATTAGGAGTTATTTATATGTGATGATATTCTGCAGGAGAATGTCATAGACTTTTCATGAATTCTCATCAAAGTCAAATAGCACAAACCTTTGTGAGGGGTGTTATTCTGACTTCCATTTTATAGACGAGGAAAGAAGAGGATTCATTAATGCTCAGCTTTAAAATTAAAAAAAATCATATTATATGTCTTCTATTTGGAATTTTAAATTACTTCCTCCAAATAACCCACTTATTAAAAACAAAGTGGTGAGAAATCATGTCACGATTCATCATTTGCTTACAGTAAGCCTGGAACTTTGGACTCATTTTCTTACTTAATTCTTATGATAACTCTGGGAAGCAGGAGACCAAAGTGACTTTTAAACCCAAGACTTTGTGTGGTGACTGGGGGCAGGGAGGGGGTGGGGGGCACTGGCCAAGGCCATCAGGGATGAAGGCAGAGGGGTTGGGGATCTGGTTGTCACCACTCACCTGAAACTTCTCTCTTATTTCCTGCAAATAACAGAGTGGAACGTGTGAAAGGGCTGTTGATGGCAACCGGGGAGGACACAGAGCAGGACCCATACCTTGGGAGGAAGTGGGCTTGCAGTTTCCACCCTTCCCAGGCCCCTGATCTTGACATCTTGGCTCTGTTGTTAGCTAGCTGTGTGAAATAGAGCCAATGACAGCCTCCTCCTGACACCGATGAGTCTCTGCTTCCTCCCACGTTAAAGAGGGGATATTAGTACCTACTCCAGTTGGTTATGATGCGGACTAAATGTGATATAGTATACAATTAGGATGGTGCCTATACCAAGTGGAGATTAGTGAAACGTTTTATTTATTTATTTTTGAGATGGAGTCTTGCTCTGTCACCCAGGCTGGTGTGCAGTGGTGCAATCTTGGCTCACTGCAACCTCTGCCTCCCAAGTTCAAGCGATTCTCCTGCCTCAGCCTCCCAAGTAGCTGGGACTACAGGCATGGGACACCATGCCCAGCTAATTTTTGTATTTTTAGTAGAGATGGGTTTCGCCATATTGGGCAGGCTGGTCTCGAACTCCTGACTTCAAGTGATCCGCCCAACTCGGCTTCCCTAAGTGCTGGGATTACAGGTGTGAGTCACTGCGCCCGGCCAAAACTTCTTCTTACCCTCCTTTGCTATCTTTCCTGTCTGATAGCCCTGGAGTGAGTTTGGAGTGTCTATGACACTCTTGGGTCACCTCAGCTCTTCCTGCCACAAGACCCTCAGACCTCTAGCTCCAACCCTGCTGCCCTACCTGCCTCTCAGTGCTCCCCAGAATGGACGAGAAACCCAAGAGCCAAATCCTGGCTTCCTGACCCAGGGATGAAGCCCTAGCAGCCCTTCCTTGGCCCAGGTCCTCTTTCCTGTACCTTTGTTCTGCTCCCTGCTGTTAACAATGATTCACAGATCAAAGGATGTCCCCAGCAGGGATCCTTAACCATGAATTTGCTTCAGGGTCCAGAACTCTTGGAAATTACAATATAAAAAAACCTTGTGTATATATTTGCATTTTTCTGGAAATAGAATTCTCAGGGATTCCTAACCTCTGTGGGTAGATTTGAGGTGGGAGAGGGATTATGTGGGGTTTCTTCTGTGTGGACTAAAATTCTCTTAGAATTGAGATAGCAGTGTACAAGTTCAGTAGAAAAAGTCTGGTCCCAACCACAAAAAGAAGTGAAACAGAGATGAAGAGCCCACCTCTTACCTAGGGGAGAATTCCTGGGGAAAGGCAGATCTTCTGCTCATATTTTGTAGAATCATTCATGGTCTCTTCATGCTCTGCTCACTCACTCATTCATTTCATCAATCAGCATTTATTATATACCTACTGTGTGCCTTGCTTTACACTAAGTCATACTGGCTATACAAACATCAGTTCTTTAAAGTGTGGTCCTGCTTTAAAGCGTGCTTGTTAAAAATACAGGTTCCTGGACCTCAACCATGGAGGGCATTGCCTGGGACTCTGCATTTTAAACAGGCTCCTTCGGCTCATTAAATTAGGTTGACAGCCATTGATAGAGACTGGCATCTCCTCCCAGGCACAGCCTTTGGCATTGGTATGCAGCAAAGTGCCCGCATCATGGTTGCCTCCAAGACTGTTGGTTGGACCAAGATCACGGTTCTGACCCTTCTGCAGGAGAGGTTAGTTCCCTCCCTCCCTCTGCCCTGGCTCCCCCTGCCTCTCTTGAATGCTGGGCCCTGTGAGGGGGGAGGGAGCGGAGGGGTCGCTGGCTGTCCCCTCTACTGCAGCTGTGCTGGGGGCACAGTCTTGGGCAGATTGTGAACCCCAAGAGCAGAGAGGCTGTCCCAGCATGCGCTGCTCCATCCTGACTGGGCGAAGATCTGAGAGTACCAATTAATGTTAACGAGGCTCCCTCTGCCTAGGCCTGTCTTAAGGCTTGGCTAATTAACACTTCTATGGTCCCTTGGGTCCCTAGAATGAGAGGTTTGCGGAGACCTGCAGGAAGTGACTGGTTTCAACCAAAAGGATCTTTCTACCTGTAGTAAGCATCGGGAGGCTGAGACCTGGAATGATAGTGGCTTGGGAACTGGAACCTGGAACAGCAGTAGCTGGTGTTTCTTGATCAACCCGCGTGCTTTACATCCAGCACCCCACTTAATACCCACTTGTGCTCCAGCAGCTAGGATTACTATTTCCCTCCTTTCACAGAGGAGGAAAGTGAGGCCTGGGGTTTGGAGCAAGGTCACACAGCTAGTGTGGCAGAACTAGGGGCACACCCAGGCCATCTGGCTCCAAAGTCTGAGCTCCTGCTCCCGCTCTCTAGAGCCTTCTATGGCCACACAGCCCAGGGTCCCCCTTGTCTTGGCTTCATGCCCAGGCCTGGGCATTTTCTTCTCCATTGGGCCCGCAGAGTTGCTGGCAGCGGGAGACAACCGCAAGCCTGCAGCCCCGGACTCCTTCTTCCCACTGTGCCTTTGGACCTGGTCATGGACTTCCCGTTCCCAGAGAGGATGAGGCAATGGGGAGATGGGGCAGGGCAGGGCGGGGCAGGGACAGACCCTTCCCTTCTCCAGGGTCAGCAGCCTTGGGGAGAACCTACACCCTGTGTCCTCCTAGACAGTGCTGGCCTCCTTCTCTGCTGTGGACTCCTCTTACCTCTGAGGAGGGGATGGAGGTGGGCAGGGCGTGTGTGCAGCTGGCAGGGACATTATAAACACATGGTCAGGATCTTGCCCCCTGGAACCTGTCTCCAGCATGACTGTGGGGCAGCTTTGAGCAAACTTCAGATTTCTAGGAACTGGTGGGCCTCTGGTCATTTCATGGTTATCAGTCAGCCTTTCCCAACTTCTGTCTTGCTTACAGATGGGCAAATGGGTCACGTAGTGAGGACTGTGGAATCAGTCCCAAGTCTGAATTGTGGCTCTGTCACATTCTAGCTGTGTGGCCTTGGACTTAAACCTCTAAGATGTAAAGCTTCAGTTTTTTGTCAGTAAAATGGCTGTAATGATTCCCATCTTGTTGGGTTGTTGTGGGACTTTAGAAAAGTACTATATTCAACGCCCTGGGCTGCCCACCCTACTGCTCTGTCTCCTGGTCAAGGCCAGACATTCTGCTTCGGTTGGACCTGTAGCAGAGCAGCCGGGCAGAGAGAAAAGACCACGTGGCCAGAGGCCTCGGCTGCACAGGAAGAGGCATCTAATAACTGTTGTATAAATGGTAGCTATTTTTCATATGTGCTGGGGCCATTGGCAATACTGCCTCTTATTTATTTATTTTAGAGACAGGGTCTTGCTCTGTTTCCCAGGCTGGAGTGCAGGGGCATGATCATTGCTCACTGTAACCTCACCTCAAAATTCTGGGTGCAGTGATCTTCCCACCCTGGTCTCCCAAAACGTTGAAATTATAGGCATGAGCCACCACATCCAGCCAAGCCTCGTATTTCTTAACTAGAGACAATGGAGGCTGATTTGGGCTGACGCGTTGAGACCCCAGTGAGAGGGCACTGAAATCCAGGCAGGATTCAGGGTATCTGTGGCATTCCTGCGGGGAGTTCTGTTTGCCCAATTCCCTCCCCTCCCCCATCCCCTCCCCAGGCCTGCCTCCAGCGTGCCCTCCCAATTCCCCCTCCCACCCTCCACATCTGGATTCAACTAGCAAACAACGGGCTTTCTGTGAATGCCCCCACCTTCCTCTGCCCTCTGTCCTCTGCTACAGAACTTTGGCTCTCACTGGGGCAGATGGGGGCGGGTGGGGAAAACGGGTCAGGAAAGCTTTGAGCTCTGTTTCCCCAAACCTGTAGGGTTGACTTAACTCTGCACCCCCAGCCGCCCGGCCGCCTGGCCGCGCCTCCCCCACCCCCCACCCACCGCCTTGCCCTGATTCTCGGTGTTGTCTGTTGCTCAGGATCCACCAGGGAGCCTGGAGCCCTAGTTCAGAGCCGGGGCCAGGAAGGAGACTGCAGTCCTCCACCCTCCACCCCAATCCCAGGCCAGAGAACACAGCCACTCCTGTCTGCCAGAGAGAAGCCCTGCTGGGCTTCTAGAGGCCAAGCAGTAAATTGGAATGTGGCAGTCACAGTCAAGGCAGCTGTAACTCTCATTAAAGTGACATCAACCCCACCACGGGAGGATGCTGTAAATCCAGGGAAAGGGGGCATTCATCCAGGGAGAACCGCAGAAGCAAAGAAAAAAACCCATAAATAGAGGAGACGTGGTGTCTGGAACTAATGGCGGGGCCCAACCCAAGGCCGGGCTGAACTGGGGGTGGGGTGGGGAGGGAGCTAAAGGCTGGAGGAGGGGGTGGAGGTCCGGAGCCGGGCCCTAGATGCCGGCGCAGTGCAGAGGCACAGCCGAGGCCTCTACCTGTAGCTGAGTCTCCTCTGCCCTTTCTGCCCAGGCTCCTCGGCTAAGACTGGCACTTGGGAGCAGAGTTGGCTTGTGTCCCTGGGGAAATGGCTGGGGAGGTGTCACTGTTTATGGGCCTTCCCAGGGTCAAGAGGAGCTGTTGCTTTGGCCATTAAGATTCTGTCAGCTCTCAGAGGAGAAATCAGCCTTAGGTCAAACTCCAGGCTTAGAGCTGGTCACCTGAATTCAAATCCAGGCTCTGCTACCTCTTCAAAGCTGTGGGCCTTGGGAGACTATCTTCACTTTTGGAAGTCTCAGTTTTCCCCTATCAGAGAAATGGAAGGATCCCCCGTGCCATATAGACCTGGTGTGAACATCCGGGTAGATAAACACGGGGTAACATCTGGCTGTCTGTGGGTGCTGCTTGTCAATTGACTGAATGAATCAGCAAAGCCCTGCAACCCCAGAAGCTGGGATTTTCTTTCAGAGCAGTTCCCTTCTGCTCAGGTCTGGGTTCGGCCGCTAATTTGCTGAGACGCCTTGGGCAGGGGACCTAACTTGTTAGGGCTTTGGTGTTTTGTGGGTTTTCTTGGTTTTGTTTCTTGAAAACGAAGCTGTTGTTGAGTGTGACTCTGGATGGGGTAGATGGGGCTGCACACAGTAGGAGCACTACTCCTTTGTTTTGGGGTCTATGGAGTGGCCTGATCTCTAGGTCCCTGTGAACTCCAGGTGGGCTGCATTCTAGGATCTTCCCCTAGGGTCGTTCTGGTCGTTCTCCCTCCTCACCACCTATACCAGGAACCTGGGACACTACATTGGGAGGCCCCCTCTCCTTTGCTCTCTGGCCCTGGTGGCAGTGTTGCTAGCGTCTACCCTGTTCTGAGGAAGGGTCAAGGCCAACCATGCTCTCCTGGGGTAGGAATGAAGGAGACAGAGTGGGCTGGAGAAGTCCTGCTGTGTTTCTCCCTGCCCTCAAGTTGCAGTGTGCATCGGAATCTCCCGGAAGGCCTGTTAAATCACAGATTGCTAGGCTCCACACCCGGGTTGGGTTTCAGTAGGGCCTCAGAATCTGCATTTCTAACAAGTTTTTGGATTGCCGTGATGCTTCTGAGTTTGGGCTGCATTGTGAGAAAAATTACCCTAGAGTGATCTGCTGGACTCAGCTTCCTAGCCTGCATTCTTGTGGACCTGCAGCTGAAGCAAATTGGTGCTGCAGACAGACTCCAAGATGCCTGCGTGCAAGCTCTTAAGTCAGCTAGGATCTCCAGGGCCATCATTCACTGCTGTGCAAAGAGCTGGTCGGGGGGCCTCCGTGAAACAGCAGTTCTTGGGAATGCGACGCAGTCATCTATGTCTAACAAGCTCCCAGGGTGACTCTCGCGCACAGCCCTGTTTGAGAACCACTGCCATAGAGGGTACTGGTATTGGAAATTCAGTTTCCTGTGTGGGCTCCTCCCTCCCATCTCCCCACCAAAAAGGATTAGAGAAAAAGGGAGTGAGGAGTGGGAAAGCAGGAATTAAATTGAGTAAAATCGTCTAGGCGAAGAGAGAGGCACAGTCAATTGAAAGGAAAGGCAATAAAACCAGGCTCTGTAAACACCCAGAAATGAGGCTCAAGGCTGGGCTTGGGGAAGAAAACACAATTTACCTCTGGGGAGGGCCAGAGGGACGCACGTGCGGGTAGAGGCAGCCCTGCTGATTTAAAGGATGCTTCTGGGGCATGCCTTCCTCCCTGCAAGCAGAGGCTGATGATGGATGAATGCCACAGCTGAGACCTCCCAAGGGGCAGGAGCAGGGGCAGGGAGGGGGCTGGAAGCTGTGGAGTGGGGGCGGGCCAGGAGGGTCACTGCTTCACCCCCAGCACATGTTTAGCCAACAACAGAGGCACTCAGAGAAAACTCACCAGTGCCCTGGATCTGCCATCTCCTTTCTGGCCCCTAACACCTTGCTTCAACCTCTGGAGAAAGCCATGCCTGAATCCAAATCCTCCTCTGAGGAAGCGTCTGCCCCACCCACTCCATCCTGTAAGCAGCAGCTTTCTCACTAGCCCTGGGAGCAGAGTGTTCCAATGCCCCTTTGGTGGGCCATGGCTATGGTGCCTGTTTCCTCACCTCACAGAAGGACACACGGCCTGAGAAGAGGGACTAAACTTACAGGACACAGGAAAGAAAGCTGGAATTAGGGCTGCCTTAGACTCTACGGTCTGCATGGTTACCATCGCAGAATAATGCCACAGGTTGCAGAGCCTTTCACAGTTTGCATGATGGCATTACCTCCCCTCCACAACTCTGTAAGAAAGGCAGAGAAGTTATTAGATCTCATTTAAAAATGAGAACGAAGGCTGGGCATGGTGGCTCACACCTGTAATTCCAGCACTTTGGGAGGCCGAGGTGGGCAGACTGCTTGAGCCTAGGAGTTTGATAACAGCCTGGGCAACACGGCGAAACCCTGTCTACCAAAAAAACAAACGAACCAAAAAACAAAATTAGCTGGGTGTGGTGGCATGCATCTGTGGTCCCAGCTACTCGAGAGGCTGAGATGGGAGGAGTGCTTGAGCCCAGGAGGTTGAGGCTGCAGTGAGCTGAGATCGCACCACTGCACCCCAGCCTGGTTGGCAGAGTGAGACCCTGCCTCAAAAATAAAAATGAAAAAGCTGAGAGTAAGAGAAATGAAAAGACTTGTCCCAATCCATGCATCTAGGTAAGAGTTTAGACCCAAACAGGAACCTCAGTTTCTCATTCCCTGTTGGCCTCTCTACTGGAGTCAATTTAGCTCACTTCTTGAAACTGATATTAGGTTTGGGGTGGTGGGGAGAGTTGAGAGTTTGTGGTGGGTGCCTGGAAGCTGAGGCCAAAGCATCCTTTGGGATGGAGGTGCTTACTGCCTCAGCTGCCCAGAGTGTTGGCCGGGAAGGTGCACAGCTCTGTCTCTCTGAAATTGCCCTCAGCTGAAGGGAGATGCTCACAGTTATGGCCCTTCTTGAGGGTGCAGATGACGGATGAATGCAGCAGCTGAGACCTCCCAGGGGCAGGAGCAGGGGTGGCGGTGGAGGAGGGGAGCAGGCCAGGAGGGCCACTGCTTCAGCCCTAGCACATGGTTAGCCATGTTGCACCCAGTGACATGTTGTACCCAGTGACGCCTTGCACCCAATGACATGTTGGTGAGGATTACAAAGGCCTGGCCCTCTTGCCTTAATGTGGGATATCTCTGCAGAGCCCCAGAGTCCCCATGGGGTTGGCAAAGGCCTTGGTTGCAACTTCACAGCCAACATCCAACGTCCAATGTTTCCCCCAACCCAAGCCTGTTCTCTCCACTTCCCCTACAGGGGTTCATCCCCACAGCATTCCAATAAATGATGCAAAGCTCTCAGAGTCTCTTTGCTAGGAACCTGACTTAATATGGGAGGAGAAGGGAGCTAACTTCAATGGGATGCTTCTTTTTTTTTTTTTTTTTAAAGAAAGATGGTCTCATCTAATACAACACATCTGTGAACTAAGCATTTTTGCTATGTTACTGTTCAGAAAATGTTAAAGAAGTTGTCAAGACCAAATGGTATCTGGCAAAGCTGGGATTCTAGTGCAGGCCCACTCTGACTTTGAGAGCACAGGTTCTACTCTCTCCCCACTGTATAAAAGGTGGGGAGTCCCTGACCCTGACCTGTGGGGTCTAGGGTGGAAAGGAGCTGGCTGGCCAAGGACTTGCCTGTGGTGTTCGAGTAGGCATGTAAACACCCATGAGAAGAGTGTTCACACCTGGGGTGCAAATGGGGGGAGGCAGGAAGCAGGGAAGGGTGGCCACATGTGGCAACCTTTGCTGGCCAAGGAGGCAGAGGTGCCTCTGGTGGAAGAAGACCTTGGGATCGGCCAGCAGCAGCCGTGAGGCACATCTGAACCCTCTCCCCGCACAGGCCCCATACAGTGGGGACTGCTGGCTCTGAGCCTCCCTGGGGCACACAAAGAAGGTTTACCTTTGCCCAAGCTGGTTGGCAAGACCCAGGTCCCATCCTGTCCCAGTGAAGGGTGAGGACTCTGGACTTCTCTGGCTCTGTGTGCTCCCTCTGGTCCCAACACAGCGGAGGACTGGCCCCTGCCTGCCTCTGGGGCCGCTCTGGTGGTAGTCAAGGTGAGTTCAAGGTCAGCAGCATGCTGCCACAGCCGCAAGCCGGCCTCGTAGCTCCTCCCTCAGGCCCCAGCCCTGGAGCACTCTGGAGCCGATCATGGGAGGAGGATCTTTCCTGAACTTTGTCTCTGGAGGGCCCAAGCCAGTTCTACCGTTGGTGTGTCCATTTGCAGAGGGGCGCCTGGTACCAGTCCTCCCCTGAGGGGCAATGCCCCCGGAACTACAGCTGGGGAAGGGCAGCAGGTCTGGAAACAAGCCAAGAGCACCCCGTCTGGTGCCGGTGGACTTTCTTGCATGAATTGGCAGCTCCGTCAAGCTTTGGCATCAATTCCAAAAGTGGAGCATTGGGGCTTGTCCTGTCACCTGGAGATTCTGAGCACATATTTACAGTTTACAGAAGTAGAAACAAAAGTAACCCTTTTATCTCCTCAGAGGAAGCTGGCCCTTCCACTGAGTACAGGAGCCGGAGACAATGTAACCTTCCCTGAGAAGATACTCTTTGGGGTAGGAGGCAGCTGTCTAGACGTGGCACCACCGAATGCACCCTAGCAAATCAGGAAAATCTCTTTTTCCTTTTTTTTCTTTTTTTCTGAGACAGAGTCTTGCTCTGTCGCCCAGGCTGGAATGCAGTGGCGCGATCTCGGCTAACTGCAAGCTCCACCTCCCGGGTTCACACCATTCTCCTGCCTCAGCCTCCGGAGTAGCTGGGACTATAGGCGCCCGCCACCACGTCCGGCTAATTTTTTTGCATTTTTAGTAGAGACGAGGTTTACACCGTGTTAGCCAGGATGGTCTCGATCTCCTGACCTCGTGATCCTCTCGTCTCGGCCTCCCAAAGTGCTGGGATTACAGGCATGAGCCACCGTGCCCGGCCATCTCTTTTTCCTTAAAATGCTCAACTGGTGTGTGCAGAACTCCCCCTTGCCTCAGCAACTGGGAGGAGTGCCTTGAAATGGCAGCGTGGGTCAGGAGCTGGGGCTCTGGGTCTAAGTGCCAGGTCGGCCATCTGCAGGAAGGAGCAGCAGCAAGATTCTCTACTGAGCTGGGCCCTGCTTTCCTCACCCGGTGGGGAATGTCTTTCAGCTGCGGGAGGTTATTTGTGACTGCCATCTTTTTCTCTTCTCTTCTTTTTTTTCAAAAAAAAAAAAAAAATCTTTGTGAGAAAAACCCCACCGTTCCACTTGTTTTCTCCGAGCCGTTTTGTTAGTTGAGGTGTTTGCATGCTGAGCAACACACACTAATATTTTCCTCCTCGTCAAAACATTAATTATCCCACCCAGGAACCTTTCTCTTGGATGTTTTTTCTTTACCACCCCTTAAGCTGTTGGGCACCAAGCGATTCCTGTATTTCCCATCATCTCAGCAAGCTGACTGTGATGTTTAAGGAGAGAGAGGCCCCCTTGGCTGGGTGCGGACCCTCCTTTGTGCTCTGTGGCACCCAGTAGTCAGGATGCAGTACTCAGGAGAGCTCCTGTCCCCCTGCTTCTCACTCTATGTGCGAACCATCTGTTTACATCTCTTGTCGTCTCCCACGAGGCTGTGAACGTCCTCATGTCTGTATTCCCGACACCCAGGACAGTGCCTGGCACAGAATAGTGGCCCTACAAATGTTTGCTGCACAAGCACATAAATGAATGAAAATGAAGATAGAATAATAAACACGCAGTAGGAGGAGTCAGGGTTCAAATCAGCCCCCCTGGTTGGGCCCCGCCCCCCAGCCTCCATCTCTTGCCTGTTCATAGAGGGAGCAGTTGTAAGCACAAGTTGGGTCCTTTGCTCTCCCTAGCACTTGGGAAGCCCCATCCTCTCTCCCTGCTTGAGGCCATTCTCAGCTGCCAGACAGCCAGTGTGTTCAGGGGGAGCCCAGTTTCCTCCTCCCTGGTCTCCCCTTGGTTGAGAGTAAGATGGGACAGCAGGGAGAATTCAGAACTTTAGAGTCTGGAAATTAGGGAGGCTCCAGGGAACAAATGCAGAGCTCGACAGGACCTTAGCAATCACTGGAGCCAGCTCCTCCCCTCCTCCCGCTTCAAAGACAAGCCTCCCAGAGGGCTGAGATGTCTGGTTCATGGTCACCTACAGGTGAGAAGTGGGGCTGGGATTCAGGCCCTGGGCAGTTATCAAGAAACAAGAGCCTCCTAATTAATTCTGAGTACAGGGCCTTTCTAGTCCCTCCTGCTACCGTGTTCTGTGCCACAGTGAGGAGGGCATGGCCTCATCATCTCCCTGTGTGCAGCGCAAACTCCTTTCATCTCCCTTTCAGCTCATTTGATCCCCACAGTGCTCTTCTGAAGTAGGCAGAGTGATGATTTCTCCATTTTGCAGATGAGGAAATTGTGGTGCAGAAAGCGTAACGGAGCTGCCTAAGGTAGCAGAGCTGTCCTGCGGTAGAGTTAGGGCTGCAGTCCTGCATCCAGAGCCCTGTGCCTGCACCCACCACATGCTCTTTCCAGGTCAGATCTCTCTGCTGCTCTGCCCCTTCCCACTAGGAGCCTGAGCATCTGATTCGACTTGGCTCCAACAGAGATACCAGATGTCCTGTAGTCAAGACCAGAGCCCAGGATCCCTCCTTCCCAGCTATGGCCAGGACTCTGCAGACAGTGGACCTCTCCGTGAAGGCCCAGAGCTTTCAGCCCTAGGCCCAGGGGCTGAAGGGCTGGCGAGTCTTCGTTGTTGAGATTAAAGCCCTTCTCCAACTGGAGAACATTTAAAATGAAACCTCCCCGTTGCATTTGTCCTGCTCAGTTTTGGAAAGTGGGCAGGTAGCTCACGAGAGGGTTCTCGTTCAGCCCCTGCCTGGCCTTACCACCCTCTTCTTTGGCCCTAAAATCAAGTGAGCTATTCTTTAGCAAGGGTGAGACACTAGGCACTGGCTTGGTCCACTTCGAAAGGGTAGAAGGGGGCTCCTAGGAAGGTATGAGCGATCTAGCCACTTCCCTCTCCATTCTGCATGCCGTACTGTCCTCCGTGTGTGCTTTAGAGAAAGGTAATGGTATGGCTGTTCCATGCAAATGTGTTTTCTCAAAGACATGACTTTTGTACCATAAGCTGTTTCCATCTAGGACCTATTTCTGTGGGATGGTCTGAGGGTGAAGCTAAGGAGAGAAGGCATATGTGAATTTATTTTGTTTATCTGAACATCTGTGTTTGGCCGGCCCCACCCCTACAATGTAAGCTAAAATGCTGTATAATAGGTTTATGTATGTACCTATACTGCCAAAGGTCATGGTTGAATCCTGTGACTAGGTAGAGTTTACCTGTCAATTGGCTAAATCAGAGACCCATATGTTTCATAGTCAAGGAGATTCTGCAGCATAAATGGCTGGCCCAGGGACCACTGGCCTGTATGCATCACTGCCCTGCTCATAAACCTCATGGCTCCCCACTGGCAAATGTTGAGTCCACCTTCCTCAACCTGTATTCAAGGCCTGCCATCATCTTCTTCCTGCCAGACTGGCCTTCAGGTCCTGTGCCTTGGCAGGTGAGCTTTTCCCCTGCCTCCCTTCTCTCTCTCTCTCTCTCTCTCTTCCTCCTTCCCTCCCTGTCTCCCTTTCTTCCTCCCTTTAAAGAGCACCAGACACTGTTTTAAGTGCTGGGGACACAGTCACTAAGTGTGGTGGACAAGACACAGGAGGCTTTAGCTTACGTTGTAGAGGTGGAGACAAAAGAAAACAGATATTCAAATAAACAAGATAAATTCAGATAAGTGCTATGAATACAATAAAACAAGATGATGTGCTACAGCAGGGGTTCCCCCACCGCCCATGCTCCTCAACGTTAGATTCTCAAAGGATGTGAACCCTATTGCGAATTGCACACTCCTTATGAGAATCTAATTCCTGATGATCTGAGGTGGTACAGTTTCATCTTCAAACCATCCACTTCCTGCCCTCCCATCCGTGGAGACATTGTCTTTCATGAAACTGGTTCCTGGTGCTAGAGAGCTTTGTGGGTAGGAGTGAGGCTGAATTCTCCCTACCCCCATGGCCTTCACAGGTAAATGCTGCCCATTGGTCAAAGCCTGCCCACATGTCACCTCTTCCAGGAAGCCTGCCTGCCTTCTCAGCTTGGCAGTGTTCTCTCCCACCACTGGACTCCAGAGCACTTTATTCCGCTCCCTTGCAGGGTGTGGAGTGGCTTGCAGCACAGTCCATGGTCATCCTTGCTGCTGGGCTGTAAGTTCCTTAAGGGTGGAGAAAGCACCTCTTTCAGCCCCTGCCTCCCACTTCCCCGGCACTTCCCTGGCACAGAGTAGCTGGTTAATAAGAGTTTGCTGAGAAAATGTGCAAGGATATCTCCTACCTCAGAGGGCAAAGAGCAGCCGGGGCCCATCCCCAGGGTCACCTGCTGAGAAGAGGCCACTTTTCTCCCTGGAGAGGGACAGAGGAAGGGGTATAGTTGAATGGGAGAATTTATGCCCAGGGCAGGAGGTGGTGGGTGGGTTCAACTCACCAAGGTAATCCTGTTGGACAGGAACACCTCACACTCTTCTAAACCTTTACAGACTTTGCTCTGATGAGAGGCCTAAGAAGAGTGTCATGCCCCTTCCTTGGCTTGGGGAAGTCTGGACCTGTGTGTAGGGGCGTGGGGTGAGGTGGGGTCGGTGTGCATTGTGCCAGGGTGTATGGCTCAGAGCATGTGTGCAGTGAGGTGTTTGTGAGGTGTCTGTGACTGTGGTCCTAGAACTGTGGGCATAGGATGTGTGAGAGAACAAGTGAGTGCGTATGTGAATGTGGTGGTGAGGTGCGTGCAGGGTGGCTGGTTTGTGTAGTGTCTTTGTGTGTTTGGATGTTGAGTGGTGGGCTGGTGGTGGTGGGGGTGTGTGTGTATCTGTGGTACAGCCCGTGGGGTTGGGGGACAGGGAAGGGTGGAGCAGCAGTGGCCTGGGCTCTGGGGGGCCAGCATCTGTGGTATTAGGGCTCAGAAAATGATACCCACAAAGATGGCACTTTGACATGCTGAATTGAAGAAGCAGCCTCCAGGTCTCTCTGACCTACCTCCCACAAAAGCCCCTGTCTCTCCCAAAGCACAGGATGAGGCTGTCTTCTGAAGCTCCCATATCGAACTGGAAACTGGACTCCCAAGCAGGAGCAGAATTGCCTTCGATCCCTCTCCTGAAATTTCATTAATCAGAGGAGATGAAAACTCCTACCACAGAGGAAGAGACTGATCACGAAACACCACATCTAGAGCCCAAACTGTGTCTCAAACTATTGTTTGTTCTCTGGTCCCATTCAGTTTCCAAAAAGAATCATTCACAAGATAATGCCTGCCTCCTGGCTCCATTCATCCCCCACCATAAAAGTATTTATGCCTGTAACACCTTGTCTCTTTCCACTATAAAGAAGGGTTTACAAGCACCTGGACCTCTCTGGGTTATCGGGTAATCATTCTCCCGCCATACCCCTGTGCTATGCATGTTAAATAACATCCGTTTACCTCTTTTTTCTATTGATCTGCTTTTTGTCAGCTCACTTTCTGCAAACCTTCAGAGGGTGAAGGGGGAAGCTTTCCTTCTTTGCCCCTACACTGGCAACTGGGACTTCACTTTCCAGCTGCTAGCTGGGGCCTTAGAGAGGACCCCACAACTGGAAGCCATCACAGCTCTTCCCCCACCCTGCTGGCCTGTGGGGGATGCTGTTGCCTCTTCAGCTCCCCTCTGACTGTGGTCCCTCTGTTTCGAAGCCCTAGCCTCAAGCCTCATCCCCACTCTCTTTCCTACTACCAAGAGCAGACACCAAAATATTTCTGCGTTTCCTCTGGAAAAATCCTGGGAGGTCTGTTTATGGCTGTAGCAAAGCGGCACACATCTGTGCACAGTTGAGCTGGGACAGCTGGAAACTCAGGCACTGGAGTTTGCTGGAATTCGGAGCACGTTGGTGTACACAGTGCCTGCCCCCCACCTACCCACCCAACGTGCCTCCCCATCTCTGCACGAGTGTCCCACCAGAGTCAGTTCTTGCTTCTATGAATAACCCTTCCCTGGCCCCTGCACAAACACACCCACATACGCAGACACACTCCTGCACACAGCCGATTTCAGTAGGACACACAGAGACAGAGAAAGGGACACGTGGCACACAGATATGCCAGCACATTCTGAGAACAAACTCAAGCATGGTTCCTCAGGTCTAGAGGCCCACAGACACACACAGGCACCCTCCCGCTTCACCAGGGCACACCCTTGACCTGTCACCCACCAGTAACACCTACATACACCAGCAGACACGCAGGACAACGCATGCTGACTCGGCACACCCACATATAAACATGCAACCCACACAGAAGGTGTGATTCACCTCCAGCCACGTACAGAAACCCACTCCCAGCCAGTCGGGGCCCGCCACCTAACCTCAGGCGAGGACTACCCTCCCCTGGGAGACCTGGGGACTCCTGAGCCTGGGAATGTCCCTGTTCTTTCCCATTGCCTGCCCTGTCCCTGACCCTGGCTCCCCTCTCAACTCTACCATGTGCTGTCTCTGTCAGGCAGGCCAGGGAACCTGAGTTCCCCCAGTCCTGACCTGCCTCTTCCTTCCCTTCTGTTCCTGTACCCCACATCTTTCCAGAGGCCTAGAAAGCTCTAGGGCTAATTATCTCATGGCCCTCCCTGCTGCCAGGAACTCCTCTGCCCAGTGGCTGACACCCCTTCTGCCTCCCTCAATCCTTCAGGGCTGCTCTTGGATCTGAAGTCTCTTCTTCCTCAGCCCCAGGCCCCCCAGATTCCCACAAGGCTCCCTGATGGGGAAAGAAATGTACTCTTCAGGACAGATTGGGGAGGAGCAGGCAGATGAAGGGAGACAGGAAGAAGGGGAGAGAGAAAGTGGAAAGAAACAAAATGAACAGATATTTCCTAAGGCCTAGGAAGGAAGGAGGGGCAGATTGAGTGCAGCTGTAGGATGCCCAGGGTAGCAGGTGTCTGTGGGGAGCAGGGACAGAGCTGGGCCACCTCAGACCCCCTTGCTTTGCTGGGCACCCATTTTAAGGGCTTACTTGGCCCACATGAGGACAAGGCCTCTCTAGCAATTTATCCCAAACTCCTGATCTTCTCAGGCCAGACCGGGATTCTCCAGGGCTCTTGGAGTGGGGAGTTCTAGGCCTCCTCTTTAGCCCCCTCCATCCATAATTTCCAACCTCACAAGCCTTCCCAATCCCCCTTGGGGCTCTTCCTCTGGATAGGAGCCCAGTCTGCATGCAGCCCCTGCCTCCTCTCAGCCCTTCCCACCCCCCACTTCTTTCCAAGCTGGAACATCACAGCTATTCTCAGCTTTCTGTCCATATTCTGTGGACAATCATGGAATTTTTTAACCCAATCTTGGGTTAGGAACACCCTCCAAACTCTACTGGAAGCCTCAAAGCACTTTCCTTCATATTTATGAGATCTGAGGCAGGTTTCTTTAAGTCTTTGCAACTTGGTTTCCTCAATGTAACATGGAAACACCCAGCTACTAGCACGGCTGTGAGCTTGGTCTCTGCAGAGCACCCAGCCCAGGGCGTGATGTTTAGCAGGGGGCCCTTGATAAATTTAAATTCCCTTCTCCTTCCCCCACTTTTCCCTTTTACTTTGCTACACACTATTTAAGCCAGGAGAGATCAAACTGACCCCATTGCCCTGGGACAAAGGAATGATGGCCTCAATTCAAGAGCAAAGTACAGGAGTTTTTGATTAACTCATAAACACTCCCGACTTCCAGCAGCCCAGCTGCTGTGGTGTGGGGTGGGGAAGGGAGGGGAGGGGAGGTTGTTGAGGGGACATGCAGGAAAGAGATTAGGAAATTCAGAACAGGAGGACACAAGGGCAGGGGAATGCTGAGGCCAAGGCCTTCTCCCACCACCTGCCTCCTGCGGGAGTGATTCCACAGTGCAGAGGGAGAGCCATTTGGAGGTCCGGCACCCGCTCTGCCCATGCCTATGCTTCAGGCTCTGTGAGAAGGCTGGACTCCTTCTGGAACTTCAGGACCTTGGATGCTCCCCTCCTCTGCTCCTGCCTCCCTTCCCCCAGCCCTGGGGTGTGTCAGATGTGTGTTTTCTCCTGGACTCAGCTGAAGCAAGGTCAGCCCAGCTTTCAAGGGGAGGAGCTTCCACACTCTAGGTCAGTGCTCCCGCGGACCAGGGACTTGACCAGAGAGCAGAGAGCATAGGGTGGGGTGTGGGGTGGGAGGACAGAGCACAGGGAGCCCTGGGCTCCCTCCAGAATCTCAGAGGTGCTCACATCCAGAGGGTCTCCCAGGAATCACGGAGCCCCCCCTCTGCCTCCATGCCAAAGGGATCCCAACTCATCCCAGGAAGAAGCCCAAATCTTTGTGCCATGGGGACCAAACATTCCACATGGTGGCTGTCCTCATGGTTTGCATGGTCATTCTGATTTCTAACCCGAATCTTTCCCGCATCGCTAATGGATCCTGTAGGTTCCAAGGAGTTAGTCATGATATCAAGTAAGCAGTTTGTTTCCCCTGAGGATGAGCCAAATTTTGGGAAGATTCTCAGCTGCCTGTCTCCACCCTCCTTCATCCAACTTACCACCCCGACCCTGTCCTCCTCCCCACCCGGACACGTGGGAAAATGCCCTGTTAGCCCTTCCAGTCATGTGAATGAGGCCACGATTCAAAGGCAGTGGGCAAGAAGGAGGCCACAGGGAGCAGCCAGAAAGAACCAGCCCTTTGTGCTAGACAGGGGTCCTTGGGGGATGAGTGCATTTTTGGCGTATTTAGAAATATTTATTTTTTATAATGAGCAGCAGAGGAGGAAAGGGGAGGGAGGGAGAGGCAGAGAGGCCAAGGCAGGACTTGGGAAAAGAGGCTGGAGCAGTGGTGAGGGCTGGGAAGGGAGGTTACAAGAGCGAAAGGAGAAACAGACAGGAGCCAAAGGGTAAGAAGTGGGGACAGAGAGGGAGAAGCAGGACGGTTCTGAAGACAGATGGAGATAGTGACGACACAGGTGCCTGCCACCATGCCCAGCTAATTTTTGTATTTTTAATAGAGACAGGGTTTCACCATGTTGGCCAGGCTGGTCTCAAAATCCTGACCTCAGGTGATCCTTCTGCCTCAGCCTCCCAAAGTGCTGAGATTATAGGCATGAGCCACCATGCCCGGCTGTCATTCTGATTTCTAACCTAAATCTTTTCGGCATATCTCATAGCCAGAGTTCTGGCTGGCGGCCTAGGAAACACCTCTCCTCCTCAGTCATTTGTAGAGTAGATATCAGTGATAGCTCTCCGGAGCCCCCATCCTCTCCCGGCCTGTTTTCCACTTGGCATGCTGTGTGGTGAGCCCTCCATTCACAGGCTTGTTTCCCCCAGGCACTGCCTTTACTGGCCTCAGAAAGCCTGACACCTGGCCCTGGCTGGAATACTCAGGTCCGTGTATTTACAAACATGGTTAGAGCATCAGCTCCGTGCCTGGAGTGTGCAAGGACCTGGGGAACCAGATATAGTCCCTCTCTCATGGAGCTGACCTAGCTGGGGAAATGGATGAGCGAATCAATGATTATACTGCATGATGATGGGGATGATGGCAGGGGCCATGGAACACAGTGGGGCTCTAGAGTGAAGGGTCTGGGGAGGTGGGGCGCGGGGTGGCAAATCCAGGAGGGCCTCTTGGAGGACATGGGGACATACTGAGTCCTGAAGAAAGGGAGATCTCATCTCTATCAAATTCTAGTGGGTTCAGGCTTGCTAGTCTCCTTTCCCCAGTCTTGCCACCCATTTTTGGGAAAAATAACAATAATTCATCAATCATTAATTCATCAGAAAAATACTTATTGCCTATGTAACATGCCAGGCATTGTGCTAGTGTCTAGAAATTCAACGATGATGAAGACCTAGTCACTGCCTCCCTGAAGCTCCCAGCCAAGTGAGAGAGCTGACAAGCAGGCAAGCAGTGAGCCCCTGGAGACCATGTGGAGTCTGTGCCAGGGCTCTCGGAGTGCACAGAACCCCTGTGAGCAACCAGCCTTCTCACTTGACACTCCTTCCCTGAACCCAAGGAAGAGGAGCCATCCTTGCCATTTGACAGAGGCTGCTGGCTTGCCCAAGGTTCTAGGGCAAGTACCTAGGGGACCCGCCACCTCTCCTCAGTTCTCAGACTCGAAGCCCCTGCTCTTGTGTCCTCCTAGCCTGGTCTTGCAGGAGAAAGAGGCTGAATGAAGGTGGGCTTGTCGCCTGGGTGCTGACTGCTCATGAGCAGGCTCCTGGGTGACCCTGCAGAAAGTTGGAACAGTGTCCTTCCTCTCAGGCTGCAGGTCAAAGATCTGGTTCCTTTGCTTCTCTGGCTTCTCCCAGTAGGTGGGGCTGTGGGAAAGGCTGGGAAGGTCAAGGGCCTCTGGAGTACTCTAGGCCCCTGGGCTTAGCCTGGCAGAATGGTTCTCCTCTACTTCCTACCTTCTCCCTCCTCCTGCCACATCCTCCCCAGCCTCCTTACCTTCCTCCTCCTCCTCCTCCTCATCTTTCCTGTGTCGTCCTCTTCTCCTTCCTCATTACTTCTCTTTCTCCAGTTTTCCTCCTCTTCCTCCTCTCCCCTTCCCTTCCTTTCCATTTTCTCCCCCACCTCCCCTCTTCCCTCCTCCTCTTTCTCCTTTTCTCCTTCGAACTAATTGCTTAAGGGGTGAAGACCAGGTCGACTTGTGAAAACCCTGATCCATCGCCATGGTGATGCTCATTCAAACTGAGTTCAAAGGAAATTGTTCCAGTTAAAACTAACAAGCTGGAGCCGAGGGCCCCAGGAAGGACCAGTGCCAGGAGGAGCAAGCCCTGCACCCAGAAAACTAGCAAAAACAAGCCCACGGGTCGCTTATACTCCACCCCTCTGTGTCTTCTCTGCAACCTTCAGATGGGCCCAACTAAAAGGGAACCTGAGAGGTCCTTGCAGGGAGCCCCCTGCCTCCGGGCCAGACTCCACCCAAGCCACTTCAAACAACAGAAAGGCCTGCACCTCCTCTGTGGTAAAGCCCTCCACTACCATCACTGCACAGTCTCCCTTACGCTAGGGTGCTGGTTTTTAACCACCCATGCTTTTGGAGACTTCTTCACGGTTTACACAAACACTTCCCATTGCTTTCGAATACACGTGGATTTGAAAGTACCAAGAGGAAAGGAACAAGAATGGCTGAGGCACCTGCCCCCTACCTAGGTGCTGTCCTAAGACTTCATACATGTTCACGCAACCCACTAATGCCATTATTATCTCCACTTGGCGAGTTTCCAAGGATGAGAAAGCGCCCAGTGGAAGAAACTGCTTAGAGCTTGATTTGAGCTCCACTAGGTCAGGCTGGTTTAGTTTGACCTCCACTAGGTCAGGAATGACAGGGTAGGCCTTGAATTGGGGGGAGATGGCTCAAAACAGGAAAGAGGAAGGGTCTTGGTTCCAAAGTTCAAGTGAGTTGTCTTCTGTGCTTTGAGTTAACCCGATCGCACTTGCTTCCCTGGCCCTCACAGCATCCTGCCTGTACCGACTCCCAGTTCAGCACAGGCGACTTTCAGCCCAGTGGCTGCAGATGGTTCCTCTCTATTGTGTGGGCAAGGACCAGGACTTCTTTGTCCATAGCCCAGGACCTGGCTCAGAGTGGGCTCTGGCTGTTAATTACATGTCCGAATGCTGAATGCTGAATGGAAACACTAGTCCCTTGGGAGCTGGAAGATTTGAGGTCCCCCAGGTCAAGAGAACCCGAGGAGCCCGGCTTGGTGAGCTTAGTATAATGGATGCACCTGAGGGCAGCAGGAGGAGAATGTCCTGGAGGGCCTTGTCGTGCTGATGTGGTGGCAGGGGCCAGCCCGGGGACCCTCTTCCTTAGGAGCTCTCACCTCTGCCTCATTCCCTCTCAGCATCCCTTTCTTGGTTGTTGTTTTAAATCCTGAAATATCTAGTGATCCTTCCAGGTACTAATAAGACATTAGTCTAGCAGCAAAAGAAATTCCTTGAAGGCGAAGACCGTGTCTGTAGTTCTATGGTGCCCCCGCAATGCAAAGTGCAGTGCTATGGAGCTCATGGGGGAGCTTCACAGGTACATGAGTGAGTGATCTGGGGTCTGGGTGCCCATGGGAGGGGCTCTGGGAGCCTACAGGTTTCAGATCTGCTCTTTCCTCAGATGTACTGTGAGACCTTGGGAAATCTCCTTGCCTCTTTGTTCCTGGGTTACTTCACGCGTAACCAAGGATGCTCTTGGATGAGCCATCCTGCTCCCCCAGACACATCAAGAGCAGAGTCATGCAGCTATGATGCATGATCGCAGCTCCTCCAGCATCAAGGACCTCAGCACCTCCCTCCCCTCCAGGGATAGGGACCTCTGGTGGTGACTGAGGTTCCTGCCTGACTCTCTGGGACCATCCGCTGCCCCTCCGTCCCCTCATTTCCACCCCCCATCACCTGCCCCTCCAAAGTTCGATGTGTCTGGATGACTGAGGTGAAATCCAGCCAGAAGGGAGGAAGTGACTCAGCCCTTGTTGGGGTGGGGGCACTGGAGAAGGCCCAGGGCCAGCCTCCCACTCCCAGGACAGCTTGCGCTGCTTTGTACTCAACCCCAGCCTTTCATCCCGGCAGCTTAAAGCCCCTTTCAAGCTGGAAGCAGTCCTGGGAGCTGGGTCATTGTCTCAATTAACAGGAGAAAGCTGGGGCCCAGGCTGGGTGGAGGCAACTTTCCCCTGAATTAGGCCGTGAGTCAGATGCCCAGGAAACCCAGGACTTCCTCGCAAGCCAATTCCCCCAGGCTCCTGCCCCAAGCTCTGGGCTGCAGGGGCCCGTTGCAGAGGAAGTGAGAGCTGTGTCCTTCCCTGTCACTCCCTGTAGAGGAGATCAGGGTCCTGCACAGGACCCCGAGGGTGTATTAGCTGGGCTGGAATTTCCCAGGGGGCCATTCAGTGGGTCCCCCTGACATTGTTGTTACTTGTGGGGATCCTGAAGAGGCTGTGCATTCCCAAGTGGAGAGAGGGGAACAAGGTGAGTGAACAGATTCTAGTAATAGACCCAGCCAGCCTTGGGGACCCTGAGCTGTTACAGCCAGCACACCCCACTGACTTTCTCTCCCTGTCACTGTTAAAATATTCATCTGGGCTGGGTGTGGTGTTCCGCACGCCTGTAATCCGAGCACTTTGGAAGGCTGAGGCGGGTGTTCGAGACCAGCCTGACCAACATGGGGAAACCCTGTCTCTACTAAAAATTCAAAATTAGCTGGGCATGGTGGCACATGCCTGTAATCCCAGCTACTCTGGAGGCTGAGGCAGGAGAATTGCTTGAACCCGGGAGGCAGAGGTTGCAGTGAGTCGAGATTGTGCCATTGCACTCCAGCCTAGGCAACAAGAGCGAAACTCCATCTCAAAAAAAAAAAAATCTGTAAATCATCTGTAGCCAATCATTTAATAACTGCTGAGGCTCTTGTGTACCTGGCCTGAAGCAAACAGATCACAGTTCTAAATCCTGGCTCGGTTGCTGCCTGGCTGTGCAATCTTGGGTAATTGCTTTAACTTCTCGGAACTTCAAGTGCCTTGAAGCTCCTTGGCTCAGCGTCTAGAATATAGGAGATTCCATCCCCACTAATATTGCATAGAAGATGAGAATTACAGAGTACAGGGGCTGGCGGGAATCTTCTTCGCTTCTCTTAAGGAACAATGCACAGGGAGGTCATGGAATGCTTCAGGTCACACAGCCAGGAGTAGGATGCAGGTTGCCACGGAGGAGCTTTCAAAGGGTGTCTGTTCCTGCCCTTCTAGGCTTGGATGAGGCAGCTCCCCGCTTGCTGAGTCAGGGAGGAGAAAGGCTGGAATAAGAAGGAGTGTGAGGGTGGGGTGTTGTGGGGAAGTCGGGGGCAGAAGAAAATCCAAGATATTGCGCAAAGAAGAGTGGGAGTAGGGGAGGGTCTGATTTAATGAGGCAGCAAGGAGGAGAGGGGCTGGCTCCCCCAACAGAGACTGCCGGCCCCTGTGGTGATACTCCATGTGCTGGGGATCAAAGCTGCCCTGGGAACACGGCAACAGTGCTGGGCCACTAACGCTGGAGCTTCCCAGGGGCCTGCTTGATGTAGCTGCCTCTGTTTCCTTCCCAGCTCATCACCCACGCTTATTTCTGAAGGGGCCTGTTCCAGCCCAATCGCCTTCTCCACGCCTCCAGCTTGGGTTGCTGACTCAGTCCACTGAATTGATGTCCAGGGGCACCTGTGGCTGCAGACTGTCCATCTCATCAATGCCCAGCTTCCCTCTCTGGCCCTTGGTGGCTACCACCATCTCCACCTCCTTTTGTTCTCTTGCAGAGCTCTAGGCTAGCTCAGCTTATTTGCTCAACAACCTCAGACTCTCAGTTTTGCCCTTGGCCTTGGCATTGGTCAGTAAAGTGAGTGCAGTGGGCCTGGCCCTTTCCCCTCCCTGGACCTTTTCAAATCTCAGTTCTGGGTTGACATATCCAGGCCCTCCATTAGCCTCCGTAAGTGTGAGGCCCCTCTCTCTCAGCTGCTGTTTCTGCAGTGCGCCGTTGAGAGGCCCAGCTCAGGCCAGAAGGCCCAGGCCTGTCTCAGGTTTACCCATCCACGGGGCTTTGGTTCTGGCACAGAAACAAGCTAAGGGTGAAGAGATCAGCATGGCTGAATAGAGGCAACTGAGAGTCCTCTGGGCAAATCTGGAGGATGCATTAGGGTGGTGATGGGTGGAAAGGATTCTTAAGAGGGAGGGAAACTGGGCCTGGTATCAAAATCGTAAGGAGAAAAGAATGTGACCTTTCTTCTGGGGTTTGTGAATGCTGGAGAATGGTTTCCTCAATGTGACTTCTAAGATGGTTATCTGAGGGTCTCAAACTCTTTCCCCTTAGGGCTTTTGTGCCTCCCACTGGGCACGTCCCCCAGTCCTGTCTCCTCCAGTCTCTAGCTCAACATTTCACTTGAGCTTTTTGAGGTCTTTGGATGGGTATTAATTCCCTCGCTTCTCAGATGAAGAAAAAAGGAGACCTAGAGAGATCTGGTGATTTACTTAGAGACTCACAGCAGTAATGTTAGAGCCAGGAAACTAACCAGGTCCACCTGGCTCCAGAGCCTATGCTGGTTCCATTACACCCTCATACAGACGTGTGTGTGGGGGGTGTGTGTGTGTGCATGCATGTGTGCACATGTGTGTGCATGCAGTTTCTGTATCGAGTATGTGATTTCCCAGAAATCTTTAGAGAATTGTTTGATGGTCTCTCTTCCTTCCTTCCTTCCCTCCCTCCCTCCCTCTTCCTTCCTTCCTTCCTTCCCTACCTCCCTCCCTCTCCTTCCTTCCTTCCTTCCCTCCCTCTCCTTCCTTCCATCCTTCCTTCCTTCTTCCCTCTCCTTCCTTCCTTCCTTGCTTCCTTCCCTCCCTCCCGCTCCTTCCTTCCTTCCTTTCTTCCTTCCTTCCTCTTCCCCTTCCTCCTCTTCTCTCTCTCCCTAGATTATACAATGAGCTGTCTTTGTTCATGATGTGGTTTCTTTCCAAGCTTTAGAGGATCAGAAGTGCTGGCCTTTGTCTCTCTGCAGCTTCAGAACTCCAGCTTCTAGCCCTGTCTGGCGAAGAGGAAAGTGGTTTTATAACTCTCAGCTGGTGTAGTAGCAGTCTCAGTACCAATATGACTTCTAGGTGAAATATATACATGTCTTAAAGGGGTAAAGTGGAGAAGCCAGAAGGGTCAGGGCACCTGTGTTCTAGGCTTTACTCAGCCTTTTATCAATTATATGACCTTGGACAAGTCTCCAAATTTTAGCTTCCTTACTGTGTGATGGAGACAACGATGCTATCAGCCTCCTAAAGTTGGATTAGAAGACACAATGTGCATGAACACATTGGGTAAACTACAAAGGATCAAGTCATGCATAAATGTCAACTGGGGGAATAAAACTATTGGACGCATCCCCCACTAGCGTTTCAATGGGACATCATGAGAATAGCATATGCTCCTCACCCCTGTCAGAGACAGGACCTAGTTGGATGGATCATTCTCTGTGATAATTCTTATGGCAGAATGAACTCACAGGCGGCCTCCCTACCTTTCATCCTGGTGATGTTAGGAATTAGTCTGACTACCATTAGTCATTCCAGATGCTGAGAACAGTGAACAACCGACATGGTGACACTTCTACTATAAGCCAAGCTCAGGAACGGGTGATGCTCCTTAGATGAATTAATGCTGGGGCTATTGTTTTATAAGGGGCAGGGTCAAAGACAAGCTCAGAAAGATAGCCCTTCTTCATAAGAGACCAGATAATTGGTGCTGAGAAAAAAGCTAGTGCTCATCATGGATGGAGACAGGCTTGCTTCTAGGCTACTGAGGACATCGACCACAGCTCTCCCATGGGAGACTAAAAGGCTTCCATCACACTGATGCCAGCTAGGCCATCAATAAGGGGGCTTTCTGTGGGAAGGGATGGGGCAGGGACACTGGTCCAGGCAACCAGAAAGAAGGGACTTTAGGAAAAGGGTAGGAAGTCAAAGAGAGAGACCAAGAGGTCTGGAGAAGAATGGGACAGAAGTCTATCTCAAGGTCAATGTCAGGTGGGCTCCTTTCTTTGTTGGTTCTTGGAAGTTAAAAAGTGAACTTTCCACCAGTGTATTGCTCTTAAGATCCACCTGCTCCTCAAGTGGAATGAACCAATAAGCCTTGTATATCTCCATTTCACTTCTCTATATTTGACCTGGGACACATTCTCCAGGACGAAGGTGTTCAGAAAAGCACAGAACTCTTTCCCCAGTTTCTTTCAGGGGATTTCTCTGAGTAGAATGGAGGAGCCCTGGACTCTGATGGGTGACCGTGTTGAGTCATCATGGTTACTGGCATCAGAAGAGGGCTCCAGGGGCCAGCGGTGGAGATGACCACCCTGCCCCAGTGTGAGAGACTGAGTTTCCTGAGGGCTGTTCACAAGTTAGCGAAAAATAACTTTTAAGAAACCTGAGTAATGACATCTTCTCAGGGTCTAGCCACAAATGTTTCTGATTGCACATTCTGGCTATAGATACTAATACTTGGGTTGGAAATAGACCCAATAGGTCATCTTGTCCATCCTCCTGCCTCAGGCAGGACTAATGATATATGTTTGTCTTATTCTTCCCCTAGAACTCCAGGGGTCAAAATACTGTATATTCCTCCACTCATCCATCCATCCATCCATCCGTCATTTATTGAAACATGAGTAGGACAGTGGACCTCTCCTTTAACAACTCATGGTATAGTCTTTTCAGAGTTTCCAATCCCTAACCAGCAAGAGTAATTTCTAATGTCTAAACTAAATGTCTAATCTAATCCAGTGTCTAATTTCTAACATCTAATCTAATGTCTTCATTTCGTAAATAAAGAGAAGGATAAAACAGGCTCATTCATTCATTCACGCATATGCAAATGCATGCATTCATTCCACAAATACTTCTGAGCATGTTGTCTGTTCCAAGTGAATTGGAAGGCACACCTTTGTTTTGGATATGCCACTTACCTTTCATGTTCACTAGGTACATCCTAAGACTGGGAACTCAATCAGCATTGAAAATGCGGTCAAGAAAAGCTCATATGTAACTACGTATTTGGACAAAATGTAGCTCCTACAACTCCTTCCATTTAAGGATCTCAAAATATCTAAGAGCATGATCATTGCCCAGAGGGAGTGATCGTGTGTTGAGGGTTTCATCCCAGCTGGCATTCGGGCGGCTCCAGAATTCCTAATTCTTTGCCACGAAACTGTTTCCAGAGGAGCAGGTAAGCAAGGCTGGGTTCTTTTGCCTCTGTCTGAACCTGCTCCCCAGCCCTTCCCTTGAGTTCTGTACCCTCTTCCCCCATCTTGGGTCCTTTCAGCTTCCACATCTTCTTGAAGCAAAAGGGGAGAAGGTGGGCTGAGAGTGGGACAGAAATACCCCCTTGAACTCTCAGCCTCTCCTGATTCATCAAAGTGGGGAAGTTGGTTGCTGGAATGAGTGGGGGCGGAGAAGAGAGGAAGAGAGGGCTCTGCAGGCTGGGAATGATCCAGAACCCTCATTAATGTCTGACACCTCCAATAAAAGCTGCAGATTCCCCAAAAGCGATTTTTGAAAATCCTCAACTCTTTGAAGCTTGGTGTTTAACTGCCACTCCTTCCGCGGGCTTAATAGGAAACCAAGCCCCTTGGCTTGTACAAAGGGCATCACCTGGGGTAACACCCCTTTTCCAAGCACTTGAGATCCTCGTATAGGAGCCCTTGAGTCTTCTTGCAGCTGGGCATGACAGGGAGGCCTCAGTCCTTGCAGAATGAAGGGCAGTTTCCCCCAAGGCTTGTGGCTATGATGAAAGCTGAGGCTTATTGGCTGGAGTGGGTCAGAGCTGTGCAAGGGAGCAGGGGCAAGACTTGGAAGGCAGAAGGTGGATTGAGTGCAGAAATGTGGTTACGTCCAAGCAGTTATTTTTCTAGACCAACTTCTTTTTTTTTTTTAACTACCTCTCTCCATTTAACTGAAAAAGTGGAACAAATACATATGCTAAAATAGGAATATAATGAAAAGTAAGTCCCTCTTTACCGGAAGCCACCTGTCTCTCAACCTGGAGGCAACTACTATGAACAGAATTTGTGTATCATTCAGAAATTTCTTATGCTTTACATGTACCTTCTTTTCTTGGGCATAAACAGGAACATAGTATCTCCACTGTTCCATATATGACTTGTTTTTAACAATATATCCTGCAGATCCTTACATAAATCGACTGCATTTGTATATGCTTATAAATCTACTTCATTCTTTGCCTGGTGTTATATAGTATGGGTACCACAATTTATTTGCTCCATCCCCTAATGATAGATATTTAGGTTGCTTTCAGTCTTTGTTATTACAAACAAAGCTGCAATGAACAGTCTTGTACAAAGACATCTGTGCTAATATAACTGAGGGGTAGATTTCTAGAAGAGAAATTGCTGCATTTGAGATATGTACCTCGAGTTTGCTAGACGTTGTTTAGGTTGTTTTCTGACTAGCTAAGATTGCATATGAAGTGGTGGAAGAATTGGTTGTCAACTCTCCATCCCTGCTCCCCACATTCTACTTCCTATCCTTTGCAAGAATGGGATACAATGATGGGGATAACTCCCCCAGTGGGGTGACTGAAAATCATTTTTGATGGGCTTTGGGAAGCACAAAGAGAGGTTTTTGTTTTCAGAATGACCCACCCTCCTAATGATGTGGGCTCAGGCTGAGCACTACCTGAGTCCCTGAGCAGAGCCAAAATGAAGAGGGCCTGTGAGGGCCAGAGGTGTCAGTTGGACTCCTCCACAGAGCAGAACCACTAGCCCATTCCTGGGAAACTCCACGGGCTCCCCAACTTCTGCTCACAAAATGCTGCAATCACTTGTGTTGTGGTTTTAACTTTTCAAAGCCTTTTGCAGCCGACGTTTCATTCCACTTCAGCTGGGAGGGAGGCCAAACAGCGATTGTTAGATGAAAAGACTGAGATCCAGAGAGGCTGTGTGATGATGGCGAGTGGTCATGAAAATGTACTGGCTCAAGTGTGAGGAGTCTAAGTTTCAAGTCCAGCCCTGAGGTCAGTTAGCTGTGTAGCCCTAGGCTTCTGTTGAAGTGTTTGGATAGGATGGTCACCAAGCCCCTCACCATTGAGGGTGTGATCTGATGACTGTTCAAGTCCTGCAGTTGGCTTGGAGACAAATGGGACATGACCATTCTCAATTGGCTGGCTGTTGAGGATTCGTTGAGCCAGATGTTGGGTTGCCCATCATATGATGGCTCCAGGCAGTACCACCGTCCTGATGTGGCTCCTGTCTAGGCAGCAGAGGGTCTCTGTTTCCTTTGAGTGCTGGAGCATGCTCTCAGATGCCTCTGGGGGCAGTTTCTGTGGAGGGTATTGTACTGCAGGCAGGGAGACACAGCAGAGGCTGGAGCAGATGGGATTGGCCCAGGCTGCTAGGGACGAGGACCCCCCATGCAACCCCTTTCAGAAGCACTGTGGGGGGAACCCCTCTACCCCATTAACGCCCCTATAATTTATGCCATCTGCCCCCATAAAACCAACCCATCTCCAGCGTCTGGTTCTCCAGATGGCCTTGGGGGCCTAATCAAAGCCAGGCCCCTCGCTGGCCTCTTCCTCTCATACTGGTCTCTTTATAGCCTTCAGCCATCCCGGCTCCAGGCCCCCTTAACTCCTTCATCCCCAGATTCCTCCTCCTCCCGAGGATCTCTGTTCTGTGCCCTTTCAACGCCCTGGACTAGGTTCACACAGAGGAGGCCACCCCAAAGTCAAGTGTGATTTCTTGGGAGAATCGCTAGATTGGGATCAGGATCCTATGGCCACCGCTGACTTACTGAGTGGCTTTGGGACAGTCATTTGACCTAGCCCCCGTTTCCCTATTTTTGGCAAGCAACATTTCAATGAAGAGCTTGCAAGATGTTTTTTACCTACATGGTCTCATTGAAACTTCCAAAAGGAGGTAATTACTCCCCTTCTAACAACTGTCACACGGGGACATTCACGGCAGCATGGGCTGCGGAGAAGAGGAAGTAATACAGAGGTCCGCAGTTACCAAGCCAGACTGGGGAGGGGCCCCACGCAGGTGGCACGAGCCCCTCTCTCCAGGCAGGTCAAGGTCCCCCATGGGAGGGCGTGGGATCTCCCCACAGCTCTGTTGCCGTGACTTCTGGAGACTGAGGCTCTGGCTGTGACTCTTGACACAGGACAGTGTGGGGGAACTTGGGGGAGGCAGAGAAGAGGCCACGTGGAAAGCAGCACTTCTGTTCCACGCCACTCCGCTGAACCCCACAAGGCAGGGGGTGCAGGTCAGTGACAGCCCTCATGCTTCCCAGAGGAATCAGAGCCTGTCCCCGCTGAAGACAAGACAGGCGCAAACAGGCCACACAGGAGCAGGAGGGCTGCAGCCAGTCCCACAGGAGGAAGGGCTGCGCCAAAGGTAGCCCAGGCATCGGGTGGCTGGTTGAGTAGTGGCGTGGAGACACCCTGTGGTGAGATCAAGGAATCACAGTTTGGTTCCCTCCGAAAGGGGATGCGACAAAAAACCCAGAATCAGCGTTGAGTTTCCACCTGTGCTGGATAGATACTTTCCAGAGACCTCCTTTCCCCATCCCGGTGCTCTGGGAGGGTGACGTGCCAATGCCCAGACTCTGCCACCATCCACCTTCTAGCTCTCCCACTTGCCAGCTGTGTGATGGTGGCAACTTACATAACCTCTTGGAACCTCAGTTTTCTTGCCTGTGAGATGGGCTACTTCGTGGGGTTGTTGCACGGATGGGGGCAAGTGCTTGCCCAAGGGCCTGGTATGTAATAAGAGCGAAACAAAGTTGGCCACTGCTGGAGAGGCTACATCTTGTCCAGTGTCACATAGTTAGTAAGGGACTGGTGCAGCAGGGATTGAATCTAGGTTTCTGCAACTCTGCCTCATGGGAAGCAGGGAAGTTGACTGTTGAGTGTCCCCACTCAAAGGCCACGTTTATTTCTGAGATGGAGAAGGTACAGTTAGAGCTCACCTCAGGTGGGGCAAGAGAGAGATGACTGGCCACATCTGACTTTCTGGCAAGCCCAGCTCCAGTCAATGAGAGAGCAGAATCTCCCACAGGTGGGAAGAGGTGTTGGTGCTGCCTCTCCTGCTTCCTTCTCTGTCCCTTCCCCTACCTTCCCCCAGGACCAAGCACCTGGAATAGAGATGGACTCTCTCCCTTCCATTTTACTGAATTTATTTTATAAAGACGGGGTCTGCTGTGTTGTCCAGGCTGGTCTTGAACTCCTGGGCTCAACTGATCCTCCCGCCTCAGCCTCCCGAGTAGCTGGGACTACAGAAACACACCATCATGCCCTGCTAATTAAAAACAAAAACAAAAACAAACAAACAAACAAAAACCAAAGTGTTTTTTGTTTTTTTGTAGAGATGGGGGTCTCATCATGTTACTCAGGCTGGTCTTGAATTCCTGGCCTCATGTGATCCTCCCGTCTCAGCCTCCCAAAGTACTGGGATTACAGGCATGAACCGCCATGCCCAGCTCTCCCTTCCATTTTAAAGAGGAGATCATAGGCTTGGAGAACCCAAGTGACTTGGGCAAGACTGAACTGGCAAAGAGCAGAGTCGAGATTGGGCTGGAGGTCACATTCCTCCATCTGTGACCTCGGACACTGCTCCAGCCGCCATCTCCACGGTGGGGCTTGGGCCCAGGTGCTTGGCTTAGCTAGGCCAAGCAGTGATAGAACATGAAGGACGGGGTGGACTCTTTCCTAGGGTGTTCGGATGACCAGCTCAGAGGCTGGTCCCCACTGGCCAGTGGCCTGACACTGCCGTCCTGCTGGACATATGCACATAGCAGGCAATGCAGGCATTGCTTAGTCCTCGGCTCTTAAATGTCTGGGCCAATCCCAGCTGCAGCCAGTGCTGCCTCGGTGGAGTCAGTGAGTCTTCCCCAGGATCTTGTCTACCCTAACACGTGCCCTGCACCACAGGTTTGCTGAGGGCACTGATTTAGGCTGAGAGCTCATTATGAGGGACAAGCTAGGTGTTATGTGTTGGGTGAGGGTAGAGTTACTAAGCTGTGTGTGTTGTGGGGGGAGGTTGGCAACAAGAGCTGACGTTCATCGTGCCTGTGGCAGTGTGCCCGCTACCCTCACAGCCACTCTGTGAGACAGATGCCACCATCCCGTCAATTTTACAGACGAGAAAACTGAGGCACAGAAATAAAGAAACTGGCCCAAGGTCACACAGTCAGAAGATGGCAGAGCCAGGATTTGAACCCAGGCAATCTGACTCCATAGCCCATGCTCACCACCATTGCCCCCGACAGCCTGTATAAAGGATAGGGCAGTTGGGCTCGACAGAAAGTAGGGTAATGGGGTCCGCAGAGGGACAGTTGGGGCAGGGAAGGGGGCTGCAGGTTCCGATGAGCAGTTGGGGCAGGCTGTGAGGAAAACCAGTGTGTTGGGGGCTTCTTGTGAGAGGCAGAGAGCCTCGGTCAGAGGATTAGAGGTTGTGCCCTCTCCCCGAGAGCAGAGCACTACCTGCAGGCAAGGTATCCCGGTGTGCCAAGAATGGGTTACAAGTGCGTGGTCAAGACAGAGATCTCCCCTCCCCCACCCGACCCTCCAGAGGGTCCAGGGGCTCCCGGGGCATCTCTGGCCCCCTCCCCCAGCCCCGCCTCTGGCTGAGAGCAGCCATCGCCTTACTTCACTGTGCCATAGGGCAGCGTCGTTTCCCGCGAGCCGCGCTGTGAGAAAGCCAGGGAGCCCTGCCTGGGGGCAGCCCCGACTGCAGGTCGCCCAGTGCCCGCGTCCTCCCAGGCACAGGAGCTTGGCACTGCGGGCGCTACTTCCACAGCGGCAGCCGCCTCTGCCGCTCCCAGTGCCAGGCACAGGCAGCCCACTTCCACCTAGGGCTGCTCTGTTATTGGCGGTGGGGTTAGGCCTGACCGTCAGGGTGGGCTCTGCGTTCACCAAGCTCAGGGAATCCCCGAGAAGCTCATTCAATCCATTCGGCATCCCGGCGCCTGCTGCCTTCCACAGGCTGCACGATCCTGGGCAGGGGACCCCCGTGGATTCCAGATCCATCATGAGGATGGTGGAAATAGTAATGCCCACCGCAGAGGGCACCTGCAAGCATTAAATGAGCTGGTCTGCGCATCCCGCAAGCCTTTGCCGAGCGCCTGCTCTGTGCCAGGCAGTGCTTGGTGTGGGGATGGGAAATGAACTAATAAACACAGTGCCCACGCTCAAAGAGGGGAAGTGGCCAGGGCCAGGGAAACGCACCCAGAGACAGAAACTGGGATATGCAATGAATAGGGCTCGGCACAGAGCCCAGCACGGAGCACGCCGCCCGCACACACTCCTGGGCCTCCCTTTAGAGCAAGAACAGCCTGGCCGGACAGGGGATTTCACCGCTGCCCTCTGCAGCCCGCAGGGAGCCCGAGGGCAGACGTAAAGCCCATGCCGGCGTCGGCCATGAAACAGGCCTTTATGGGGAGCGGAAGCAGCCATCAAAGCCTAGCGAGCCGGGGCAGGCCAGGGAACGCTGAGAGCCCGGACGCGGAGCGCTTCCCACCGCCCCCACGGCCCCGGCCGTGGCGCCTCCCCGCCTGGCCACACGGGGGCGCGCTCCCCCTCCGCGCCTCGACTGCTCTACGTCCGCGAGCCCCGTCCGCGAGCCCAGTCCGCGCGCCCCTCGGGTCGCTCACCATGTCCCGCCTCGCGCCACCTCCCCGTCTCTACCGCGTACCTTCCGCGTTCCTCTCCATGTCCCCTCTGGGTCCGCCCAGCGCCCCGGCTGCGCCCCCTCGGCGCCCTCTTTGCCGGGTCTTTTGCTCGCATCCTGCCCGCATTCGCGGCGGAGAGAAGGAAGACACAGCTCGTGCAGCGCTTCAGCTTGAGCGGGCTCCCTCGATGCGCTTCCTAGGCTAGCAGGGTGTGCGGATGCCGCTCGGCTGAGTCGCGGGGAACGACGGTAGCTCACGCACTAAGCGCCCTCTCCGCGCTGGGCTCCGAGGGTGCGGCGGCGGGACCAGACTTTGCAGGGCTTTGTACAGTCTCCAGGCCTGGGTCTCTCTACTGAAGGGACTTGGGCAGGGTGTGAAGGAGGGAGGTGGTGGCGAGAGGGAATTTATGTTCGGAAAGATCCCTCTGGCTGCTGGGTGGAGGGTGACTTGGAGTGAGCTGGAGTTGCCCTACAGAGAGCAACCAGGAGATTCCTGAGAAGTCCAGGAGGTGACGGTGACAGGGTCACGCAAGTGCAGACTCCAATGCGTTACACATATATGTGGGATTCGGGCGTCGGTCCAGCCCCTCCCTACTCCCTGAAGCCGCCCCAGGCCATCACTTGTTGGACTGCAGACCCCCTCCCTTCGCAGAGATCCCTTCCCCACCCCAGGGTGTTCCCGGCCTGAGGCTCCCACCAGATGTGCCACATCATGGGTAAGCTGTGACCATCACTAGCACCACTATGTCCACAGCCAATGTAGAGACGTCCAGTTGGGTGCCTGCCTGGACCCCACGTCAGGCCCTCAAAAGGGAGCAGCCCCCGAGAGTGTGTATGTGGTGGCTGGGGTCGCCACAATCTGTAGTCCGTTCATTGCTTTCAGACCCCGAAGCTTGCTTCTGTCTGTAGAGTCAGAGGCAGTCTGTCTTCGAGGAACTGATTAATGATAAACAAACTTCCAGGAGACTGAAAAGAAAGTATAACGTCAATGTAGTATGTAAGGTTCTCACAGAGCTGTTGTGAGACACACTCACAAATATTTGGCAGACACACACACACGTGCTAGAACGGTGCCTGTGCCGCGCATGTTAGCTGTGACTGTGATGAATGGAGAGAGTGTCCAATATGCGGGTCTGCCAAATATGGTGCTTCTCTGGGATGCTGACTAGGTCTCCTGGCTCCTCAGTGGGCTTGGATTCAGAACAAATGATGGTTCATCCATCCTCGTAAAGTGTCACCGGAAGTTCTCAGGGAGGCCCCCTGAAGTTCCCTGTCCTCCAACAGAACATGCCTCGCTGGTGCCTGAAGTGTCCCTGTTCACCAGATATGCGGTGGGGCTCCCCCAGGAACTGCGGGATCGCATGGAAATAGTCCGTCTCTTTTTCTGGCTTCCTGCCAGCCATTACTTTTTGATGACCAAACAGGGCTCAAACGCTTGGGCTTCTTATTTCCAGTTATGACCACAGACCAGTCCTGCCTGTCTGTATACACCCTCGTCGCTGTGACTAAACTTGGACGTTTCCAAATCTTTTCAGCTTCAAATTTACGGATAGTCTCTTGGGCCACCTCTATACCCTTCCTGTGTGGGTTTCACTACCCAGTTTAACTCTCGGAGAATTACCCCGGAGGCTTCCCTCTGCCCCGGTTGCTGGCAATAACCGCTGTGCCTGTGTGGCCAGGTTCACCATCCGCCATCCTCACCAGGCACTGATAACAACTAGGAGGACTCATATTTTTAACTTTAGTTTACAAACCATATATGCTCCTCTGTTTGATCTTCAGAACAACACCATACTACTGTGAATTATCATTCAACTACACACATAAGAAACTGACGTTTAGAGTGATAATTAGAATTGTATTAGGTCTCATAATGATTATGCAGCAGATTCAGGACCAAACTCAACACTCATGGCCCAAGATCCTTTTACAGTACCCCTCTCTGCCTTCCCAGTACAATTGATAATCAACTCCCTGCTATGGCCAGGGTGCTACTGGTAGCATCACTATCCCTACCACGGGTCTTACCCAGCATCTGTATGGCCAATAGCCACCATCATGCCCCATCAGTTGTACTTACAACTGAAGAAAAAGGCAAGTGCAGTTTGTGAATGGACAGTTAGTAAGGTGTTCACACTTCACACAAGATCCAGGGTAAATCTGTCTGAGGGGTGAGAAGAGAGAGGTAGATGGAGGCATTTCAAGATAGAAAAAAATCAGAGGATCACCTGCCCCCATCAATCAACGATAGCAAGACTTGGATATTAAAGTTGATTATTAGCCAAAAGACTTTGGGCCAGTCACATTGATTCTCTGGGCCTCAGTTTCCTACTGTGTAAAAGGGACAATAAAGTTCTAGCTTCCAGTAATGGAAGAATAGCTTTGTTTTACTAACCCTTCCTCCTTCCCTCTCTCCTCCCCAAGCAGCCACCAGCAGCAGATAACAATGATAAAATCTAGACAAAATATTTTTAAAAACCCATTAATCGAAGACATTGGAGAATGATTAAATGCAGGCAGAAACTGAAGGGATGTCCGCCCATGAAAAAATGAACTGCAAAGAATGAGACTTAGGAGTTTGCAGCCTTTTTCTGAGGGCATACCACATGGGTGGGTTCAGTGGCAGAAGCTGCAGACTTACTAGTTTGAGGTATCAGGCAGAGCAATCAGAAAATTGGGAATGCTGAAAGCGAGGGAACCGCAGAGGGCGTGAACCCTAAAATCTAATGTAAAATCTGCTCAAATCCTTGGTTGATTGCTAAGCTATTAAGCTAAACTGTCAAGCATGAGGGAGACCCCAGGCAGCCTGGCAAAAAAGCAGCAGCTAGAAGCTGAAGGAACTGAGCAAAGGTTTCAAATGTTACTCACCACAGGAGAGGCAGAGTTTGGAGTTTGAGTCTAGCCAAGTTAACTAACTGCTGCAGTTGAAATTACTCTTCTAGCTAAAAGCAGAACTATCATTTGACCCAGCAATTCCATTACTGAGTATATACCTGGGGGAATATAAATCATTCTACCATAAAGACACATGCACACGAATGTTAATTGCAGCACTATTCACAATAGCACAGACATGGAATCAACCTAAATGCCCATCAATGACAGATTGGACAAAGAAAATGTGGTACATATACACCATGGAATACTATGCAGCCATAAAAAAGAACAAGATCATGTCTTTTATGGGAACATGGATGGAGCTGAAGGCTATTATCCTTAGCAAACTAATGCAGGAACAGGAAACCAAATACTGCATGTTCTCACTTCTAAGTGGGAACTAAATGATGAGAATTTATTAACACAAAGAAGGAAAGAACAGACACTGGGGTCTTCTTGAGAGGGAAGGTAGGAGGAGGAAGAGGATCAGAAAAGATAACTATTGGGTACTGGGCTTAATACCTGGGTTATGAAATAATATGTACAGCAAACACTGATGACACGTGTTTACCTATGTAACAAACCTTCACATGTACCCCCACACCTAAAATAAAAGTTAAAAAAAGAAAAAAATTACTCTTCAAAGGTATATGACAGAATCCAGAGTCTCTAGTACATATCATTCACAATGTCCAGTATCTAATCAGAATTCACAGGCAGGCAAAGAAACAAAACACGGCCCATACTCAACTAAAAAACATTCGATTGACCTCAACCCTGAGGTGATCCAGCTATTGCAATTAGCAAAGATTTTAGAGCAGCTCTTATAAATATTTGAGAATATAAAGAAAAATATATGGATTATGAATGAACAGATGGTGAATATCAGCAGAAAAATACATCCTATAATAAAAGAAACAAATGGAAATTCTAGAACCAAAAATGATCAAGCAATAAAATAAAAAATTTACTAGATGGGTTTAACATCAGATTGGAGGTAGCAGGAAAAAGAGTTAGTGAACTTGTAGCTAGACCATTAAAAATTATCCTATCCTAAGGACAAACAAAAAATTTTAAAGAAAAATGAAGAGCACTTCAGAGGTCTGTGGGACATCAAGCAGTCTAAGATGAATGCCACTGGAGTTAAAAAAGGAAAGGAGGAGAAAGAGAATGAGTAAGACAAATGTTTAAATAAATAATGACCTAAACTTCATAAATTAGGTGGAAGGACATTAATTAGCAATTCAAGAAGCTCAGTGAACCCCAGGCAAGGTAAGTACATAGAATACCATACCTAGGCACCTGATGTTCAAGCTGCTGACATCCAAAGATAAAGATAATACATTGAAAGTATCCAGAGGAGAACGATGTTACCGATCATGACCAGCTTCTCAACACAATGGAGCAGCATCTTTAAAATGCTGAAAGAAAAAAGCAAAACAAAACCCTGCCAAGCCAGAATTCTATATTCAGCAAAATGTTTTTAAACATGAAGACAAAGTAAATACATTTTAAGATAAAAATGAAGAGAATTCATTAGAAGCACAACTACACTACAAAAAATGTTAAAGGAAGTTTTTCAGGCTGAAGGGAAATGGCACCAGATGGTAGCTCAGATTTGCCAGAAAAATAAAGTCCATCAGACATGATAAATATGTGGGTAAATATAAAAGACGACACACATATCATATTTTCTTATCTTAAATCTTTAAAAGACATATGGCTGTTTAAAGAAAAAATTATAACACTGTCGTGAGGGGTTTATAACCTATGTAAATTAATATATATGACAAAAGCAGAGCAAAGTATGGAGGTAAATTTAAGTGGAATTATTCCTGCGATTCCTACATTTTATGTAAAGTACAATATTAACTGTAAGTACATTGTGGTAAGTTAAGATGCATGTTATGATACCTGGGACAACCCCTAAAATGCAAAGAAAAATAGATAAGAAAGGTAATAGAGGAATCAAATAAAATAGTTAGAAATATTTGATTAATTTATTTTTTCTTTCTTTTTTTTTTTTTCTTAGAGAAGGAGTCTCACTCTGTTGCCCAGGCTGGAGTGCAGTGGCATGATCTCGGCTCACTGCAACCTCTGCCTCGTGGGTTCAAGCAATTCTCTGCCACAGCCTCCCGAGTAGCTGGGATTACAAGCGCACACCACCACGCACAGCTAATCTTTTTGTATTTTTAGTAGAGACGGGGTTTCACCATTTTGGCCAGGCTGGTCTTGAAATCCTGACCTTGTGATCCACCCACCTTGGCCTCCCAAAGTGCTGGGATTACAGGTGTGAGCCACCGTGCCCAGCTGAATAATTTCAAATAAGTCAGGAAAGGAAGAACAAATGAATGAGAGAACATGTGAAATAAATAGAAAACAAATAGGAAATGACAGAACTAAACTCAAATTTATTTATATTACATCAAATGTGATTTGACAAATTATTGATAAAATGATGAATTAAACACTTTAATTAAAAGGAGTAGACTATCAAAATGGACAAAGAAGCAGGACCTAGGTATATGCTGACTGTACGAGATGAACATTAAATACAAAAAACACAAACAGGTTGAAAGTAAAAGGATGAATAAAGATATACCATTTGTGATGGTCAGTTTTATGTGTCAGCTTGGCTTGGCTATAGCACCCAGTTATTCAATTAAACACTCATCTAGGTGTTGGTGCGAAGGTATATTGTAGATGTGATTAGCATCTATAATCAGTTGACTTAAAGTGAAGGATATTATCCTTAATAATCTGAGTAGACTTCATCCAGTAAGTTGAAAGGCCTTAAGAGCAAAATTGAGGTTTCCCAGGGAAAGAAATTCTGCCTGTGGACTGACTATAGCCTCAGCTCCTGCTAGAGAGTTTCCAGCCTGCCAGCCCACCCTACTCTACAGATTTCAGATTTGCTAGCCCCTTCAGTCACATCAGCCAATTCCTTGAAATTCTGTCTCTCTGAACACACACACACACACACACACACACACACACACACACACACACCCCTGTATATCTATAGAAATATAGATATCCAGTAGGTTCTGTTTCTCTGGTAGAACACTGACTGATGATACACGATTCAAATAGAACTCATCAAAAAGCTAGAGTTACTAAATTAATATCAGACAGACTGAACTTCAAGACAAAGTGTATTACCGGAAATTAAAGGGATATTTCATAATGATAAAAGGATAAATATATTAAGGAAGCATAATACTTAGAAATATGTACTAAAATCTAATAATAATTAGTTATAATTATTATAATCTGCACTAAATCTAATAACAGGGCTTCAAAATGAAGCAAAAACTGATAGAACAAAATCAATAGAAAAATTTACAATTATAGTTGCAGATTTTATCTGCAACTCAGACACTGATAGCATAATTAGACAAAAATTCAGTTAGAATACAGAATATTTGAATGACACTATTGACTTCCTTGACTAAATTGACATTTATAGAATACTACACATAATAACTGCTGAATACACATTTTACCTACAAGTGTCCATGGAATATTCACCAAGATGGATCATATGCTGGGTAAAATAACAAGTCTCAATAAATTTCAAAAGATTGAAATATTATAAAGTGTTTTCTAACAAAGATGGAATTAAATTTAAAATTAATAAGATATTTAGAAATTAAATAAAATTTTGGTATGTTGTATTTTCATTATTTAGTTCAAAATATTTTAAAATTTCCCCTTTTTTAAAATTCTTGAGTTATCTGAAGCTGTATTATTTAATTTCAAACTGAATCCAACAATATATGAAAGGGTTATATATCTGACTAAATGAGGTTTATCCATTTTATATTTGTAAATCAGTTATTATAATTAATCTCTTTTACAGAATAAAGGAGAAAATTCATATTATATCTCAATAAATGCCCAAAAATCATTTGACAAAACTCCAATCATTCATGATAAAAACTCTCAGAAAACTAGAAAAGTGACTTTCTTAATCTGACAAAGGGCATCTATGAAAAACCTACAGCTAAAATCATACTTGCTGGTGAAAAACTGAATACTTTCCCCATAGATGAGGAAAAAGACCAGGATGTCTACTTTCACCACTTCCATTAAACAATGTACTGGAGATCATGGCCACTGCAATAAGGCAAGACAAATAAAGACATAAATACTGAAAATGAAGTAAAACAGTATGTATTCACAAATGACATGATAGTTTACGTGGCTAAAAACCTTATTAAGACAAATAAGTGAATTTAGTAAGGTTGGAGGATACAAGGTCAATACATACAAATGCATTGCATTTCTGCATATTAGCAATTGGAAAAATAATTGGAAAAGGAAAAATTCCAATTACAATACTATTATAAATAACAAAATAGTTAAAAATTCTTTAACAAAAAGTATGCAAGAACTGTGTACTGTAAATTACAAGACATTGCTAAGTGAAATTAGAGAAGACCTAAATAAATGGAGGGATAAGCCGTATTTATGAGTGAGAAGAGGTAATTTTTGCCAAATTAATCTAAAGAGTTAATGTAATTCCAATAATAATCCTAGAAGGCTTTACTGATAGCATTTTACAGGCTTATTTTGAAAATATATAGAAGTACAAAAGACCCAAGTTATCCTGAAAAAGAAGCAAAACAAAGCTGAAGGATTTATGCTAGATTACTTTAAGACTTAGAAAACTACAGCAATCAAGACAGTGTTGTATTGGCATATATAGACAAGTGGATCAGTGAAACACAATAGAAATTCTAGAAATACGCTTGCACTAACATAGTTAATTGATTTTGGACAGAGGTGCTAAAGCAATTCTATAGAGGAAAGAAAATCTTTCAACAAATGGTGCTTAAACAATTGGACATCTTTATTCTGAAGAAAATGAAACTTGACCCCTGAACCTTATGCCATATATCAAAAAATTAATTAGAATTGGATCATAGATCTAAATATAGCAGCTTAAAATATACCTTTTTTAAAAGTAAGCATAAAATAATATTTTTAAGACTCAAAGGTTGGCAAAGATGTCTTGAATGGAACCCAGAAATCAATAATCATTAAAGAAAAAATAACATATTAGACTTCATTAAAATAAAAAAAATTTTTGCTCATCAAGAAGCATTTCTGCTTTCAGCATGATAGAGTAACAGCGACTAGATTTACCTTGCCACTTTCAACAACTAGAAAACTGGACAAAATATGTGAAAAAAATGTTTTACAGACATTAAATAATAGGCAGTGCAGGGCTGTGATCCTTAAGAGAAGGGGAACAAATGAAGAGAGCCCTACAATGGCTTATTGCCTGGAGGCAGTTTCCAGGTCACAGAGCAGGGGGAGAGAAGCAAAATACACCTGGTAGTCTCACTGAATTGAGAAGAAAGTTGCAGTTCGGGGAGGCCAAGGTGCTTGAACTTGCAGGGCAGAGTAACAAAGAGGAGAAAGTTCACAGAAACAGACAGAGGTCTGAGATCTTCATAGGTGTCCCTTGAGTCTTTGACAGGCTACTTGGATTTATACTCTGTGAGAGTAAATGACCCAAAGCTGAAGAATCACCAAAGGATGGGCAGAATTGTATAGTGGTGAAGTCTGGGCTTTTAGTATACCTGTCACCCAAATAGCATATATTGTACCCAAACAGGTAGTTTTTCATCCCTCACCCCCCTTCCACCTTCCTGCCTTCTGAGTCACTAATGTCCATTTAACCAAAAACTACTCATAACCCTAAAGCTATTGACATAATAATAATAATAAAAGAGTGGGCAGAACAGTTTCTGGAGCTTATATGGAACTTAGAATTTGTGTTCCTACCAGCCAAAGTTGAGAGATCGTATAATACATGGGACATTAGATAGAATGTTCAGAAGGGTATTGGCTTAGTACTGGGTTAAATTAATTCTAGTCTAAAGGCTGCAGTGGGCCCACTTTAATTACAAAGCTTAATCATAAGGTTTGCAAGGATCCAACTTAACTTATGCACCAGAATAAAGTCCAATACTACTTCAAAAAACACAAAAAAGTCCAGCACCCAGTGATATAAAATTGAGAATGCCCAACATTTAATTAAAATTTCTAACACAGAAATAATGAGGGAATATGACCCATATTCAGGAGATAAACCAACCAATCAAAAACAGATATAATAAAATTAGCAAACAAGAATGTTAAAAAAGTTATTATAAATATGATCCATAGGTTAGAGAAGGTAGAGGAATGCATGAACTTAATGAGAGAGAAATGAGTACTAAAAAGACTCAAATGGAACTTCTAGAAATGGAACTTCTAGAAATGCAACTATCTGAAACAAAAAATACAGTGGATGGGATTAGTGGAAAATCAGACACTGCAAGAAAAAAAGGATTAATGAACTTGAAGATTGAGCAATATAAATTATACAAAATAAAGCACATAGGGAAAAATACTGAGTTAAAAAATGAACTTCAATGACCTGTGGAGCAATGTAATTGGAGTTATAAGGGGACGATGGGAGACGGGAGAAATAGAAAAAAATTATTTCAAAAATTTATTAGTCAAATGTTCCCAAATCCAATAAAAAGTATAAACCCACAGATCTAAAAAGTTCAATGAACCCAAGTAGAATAAAAATGAAGAAAATGACATCAAGGTATATTATAATCAAATATCTGAAAATCAATGATAAAAAAATATCAAAAGCAGGCAGAGGAAAAAAAGACATCATGTACAGAGCACAAAGATAAGAATGGCAATAGAGTTCTCATTAAAAAAAAAGATGCCACTGCACCCCGGCTTGGGCGACAGAGCAAGAATATAAAAAAAATAAGTAAATAAATAAATTTGTTCAAAAATCCAGCAGAAAAAAAGACAGCCAGAAGATAAAGGTGTGACATCTTTAAAGTACTGCATGAAGGATAACAAACGAAAAACAACCCCTGTGTCCTAGAATTCTATAGCAAGTCAAATACCTTTCATAAATGAAGATAAAATAAAGGGCTTTCAGACAAACAGAAACTGAGAAAATTCACTGCCAGTAGAACTGCACTACAAAAAAAAAACTTAGAGGAAGGTCTCAGAGAGAAGAAAAATAATACCATATGAGAATCTGACTCTACCCAAAGGAGTGAAGGACACTGAAAATAATTGAAAGATACAAGGGTAAATATAAAAATTTTTTCCTTACTCAAAAGTTTAAAAAATTTAATTGAATATTTGAAGCAACAATAACAGCATAGTATTTTGGCTTTGTAACAGGTGTAGAAGTAAAATTCTATGACAACAATATCACAAAGGATGAGAGGGAAATATAAATTGGCCTGTATATTGTTACAAAGCTTTTATACCAGGGATTGGTCAATTATGGCCCATAAGTTAAATCCAGCCATCCACCTGTTTTTCTATAGCTCATGACCTAAGAATGGTTTTTACATTTTTAAATGGTTGAGAAAAAACCAAAAGATAAATAATATTTTGTGACATGAAAATTATATGAAATTCAAATTTTAGTGTTTGTAAATAACATTTTATTGGAATACAGATCATTCATTTATGGATAAGCTGTGGCTGCTTTTGCTTCAATGGTGGAGTTAAGTAGTTGCAACAGAGACTGTATGACCCACAAAGTTTAAGATATTTAATGTCTGACACTTTATGAAAAAAGTTTACTGACACCTGTTTTAAAATATGTGAAATGGTAAAGATTATTTGAAGGTAGATGTGGTAAGCTAAAGGTGTATATTGTAAAGTGTAGAGCAACCACTAAAAATAAAATAAAGAGAAACAGCTGATATACCACAAATGGAGATAAAAAGGAATCATAAAAAGTCCTTACTTACATCCAGAGAGGGCAGAAAAGAGGGACAAAAGGAGCACAGAACAAACTGAGCTAATAACAAATAGCAAGAAGATAGGTTTTTACCCAGCAATAGTGATAATTACTTTAATTGTAAATGGTCTAAACACTTCAATTAAATGGCAGAGATTGTCATATTGGATTAAAAAAAGATTCAACTACAATGTTATTTATAGGAAATTCACTGTAATAAACGTATAAATAGATTAAAATTAAAATGATAGAAAAAAATGCCATGCAAACACTAATGAAAAGATATTGAGGAGACTATATAAATAATGTTCAAAGTAGACTTTGAATACTACAAAGAACAAAGAAATATTTCCTAATGAAAAAGAGGTAAAATAATCAATAGGACAAAAATCTGAAATGTTTATGCATTTAATAACAGAGCTTGAAACTATATGAAGCAAAAACTGATCTGAAAAGAGAAATAGATATGTTCACAATTATAGTTGAAGGTTTTAACACTCTTCTCTCAGTAACTGACAAAACAAGTAGAAAGAATATCAGTTAGGGCATAAAATATTTGAACAACAACATCAATTAACTTGACCTAATTGACATTTTATAGAGTACTGTATCCAACAAATCAGAACATACATTCTTTTCAATTGTACAAGTAAGATCGATCTACCAAGATAGATTTCTGGAACAGGTCTCAAGATTTAAACAGTGTGAAATCATAGAAAATATGTTCTCTGACACCAGTGAAATAAAAGCAGAAATCAATAAGCAAAATATATCTAGAAAATCCCCCAAATATTTGGAAATTGGACAGCAGATTTTGAAATAAACCAAATCAAAAGGATAATTAGAAAATGTTTTGAACTGAATAAAAAAGCATACAGGGCTCTCTCTCTGCTGCCACCATGTAAGACAAGCCTCGCTTCCTCTTCACCTTTTGCCATGATTGTAAGTTTCCTGAGGCCTTATCAGCCATGTGGAACTCTTTGGGTTGCAGGCCATACTCCTGTGCAAATGCTTCACTGGCCAAAATTGCCACTGCAGCACCATCTGAGGTAGGACTAAGAGAAAGTGGAAATAATTCTCCACACCCAGTACCACCTTAATCATAGGATTTCAGACTAGGAGTTCCTTCTATGTGAGAAGAAAGGCCAATACGATTGCTGGTCAGTAGATTATCTTTTTTTGCAATACCTGCAGTTGTAAATCACACATACTTCCCACTTGAGGACTGAACCTCTGTTAAGAACTTAAGTGTTGTCAGTCACTACTTGGCATCTAAGAGTCCCAAAAAGTTGTTATTGCAAAGAATCACCAATTTGCCTCTGGAGATGCATAAGGCATCTTCTGGGGACTTCTAAGGCGTGAGTCCAAAGGTGATCCCTATCCTGGTAGAAAAAAGATTCTACTATAGACGAAAAAAAGCATGTAAACAAAGTTTCTTGGATGTAGCTAAATCAATGCTTAGATAGAGACATATAGTATTATATGCTTTTATTAGAAAAACATGTTCTAAAATCAATCACCTGAGCTACTGCCAAAAGAAACTAGACAAGAGAAAATTAAATCCAATTAAACCCCATGAAGGAAATAAAAAGATGAAAACAGAAATCAATGAAATATTAAAAAATGAGAGAAAAATAAAAATCTAAGAAATCTCAAATATATCGTTTGGAAAGTATTTTAATTGCTTCCTATTAACCAAGTAGGTGACAGAGAAATTCCCACCCTAGGGTTATGGGGATGACACAATGCCTGACACCAGATGAAACTGACAACAGTTTGTTAGTTACATATACTCATAGCCAGCAGGAGGAGGACACCACATCTCATGCAGGGGTGTTGCACTTGGGAACAGAAATGAACAATCACATGGGGGTTGTACTTGTGAGCAGAGAACAACCAGAGGCTGTGGGGGCCAGGCTGTAGCACTAAGAGAATGGGGTGGCCCATGGTTCCTGCAGGAGGCTGTGATTGCCTTGTTTAACTGCACCTGGTTCTCTTTATTAAGAGGATTTGGCTAGGGGTTAGGAGCAGAGTGGAATGAGGAACTTGGGGCTAGGCTAGATGAGGCCCTCCTGTTTTCATCAGGTGTCAAGGTAGCACATAATATTGAACCTTAATTTTAGTTCTTACACCACAGAAAAGATCAATACAATTGATAAAACTCTAACCTGACTGATCAAGAAAAAAAGAGAAAAGACACAAATTACCAATATCAGGAATGAAAGCAAGGATATCACTACAGATCCTACAAACATTGAAAAAAACCTAAGGAGATATTATAAACAACTACATGCCAATAAATTCAGTGACTTAGATGATAAAATGGACATAATCTTTGAAACACAAACTATGAAGGTCATTCAATAAGAAATAATTTGAATATCTTATGTCTGTTAAAGGAATTACATTCATAGTTTTTAAAAAGTGAAACCTTTTTCATAAAGAAAACTCCAGGATCAAGTGGTTTCACGAGTGCATTCTACCCCCAGGTGTATTGGTAAATGTTTTACACCTGGCACTCTAGAAAAAACAACAACCTGTTTTGTAGCATTTGCCACTTTCCATAGTGTAAATATTCCCGCTATGGTCAATTTCATGCTACCAATGTGATGTCAATCATCATGGAGATAAAAAGAGATGTGCATATATATGCACAAATATATATAAAGATAATACCATATAAATGAAAGTCATAAATATCCTAATAGCATTGATATTAATAAAATGTAGCAAAATATTTAAGATATGATAAGTATTCATTCCATATGGATTACTTTTGCTTTTAACATAATTTATTTAATTTTTAATACTGGCTGTATTTAACAGCTGGCTTACAAAATTTCTGAGAATTTGAAAGTACATTGTCATGGGCCAGTACAAGCCATTTCTGGGATGCTAAACATTTTTAAAAAAATACCAATTCTACAAAAACTGTTGCAGAAAAGAGACGGGGAGGAAACATTTCTAAACAGAATTTTAGCAGAAAAAAAATCAGCAATATATACAAAGAATAACAAAGTGTGATCAAATGGGATTTATCCTAGGAATTCAAGGTTGGCTTAACATTCAAAAGTCAGTTTTTTTAAGTTTTAAAATCTTTATTTATTTATTTTATTTAAATAGCTTTGGGGGTACAAGTGGTTTTTACCTACATGGATGAATTCTATAGTGGTGAATTCTGAGATTTTAGTGCACCCATCACCTGAGCAGTGTAACTGTACCCAGTATGAAGTCTTTTATCCCTCACCTCGCTCCCAACCTCCCCACCCACAAATCCCCAAAGTTCATTATATCACTCTGTATGTCTTTGCATCCTCATTGCTTAGCTCCCACTTACAAGTAAGGATATACAGTATTTGGTTTTCCATTCCTGAGTCATTTCTCTTAGAATAATGGCTTCCAGTTCCATCCAAATTGCTGCAAAAGACATTATTTCTTTCCTTTTTATGGCTGAGTAGCATTCCACAGTGTATGCACATCACATTTTCTTTATCCACTCATTGGTCTATGGGCACTTAGATTGATTCCATATCTTTGCAATTGTAAATTGTGCTGCTATCAGCGTGAGTATGCCTGCATGTATGTGTGTGTCTTTTTTGTATAATGACTTCTTTTTCTCTGGGTAGTTACCCAGTAGTAGGGTTGCTGGATTGAATGGTAGATCTACTTTTAGTTTCACAAGTCAATTTATATACAACTTGAATGAACCTTGGAGACACTCTGTTGAGTAAAATAAGCAGTCGTAATAGGACAAATAGTGTATGATTCCACTTATATGAGATATTTAAAGTAGTCAAAGTCATGAAAACAGAAAGTAGAATGGTGGTTTCGTCGAGTTGGGAAGGGGGAATGGGGAGTTGTTGTTTGATGGGTATAGAGTTTTAGTTTTGCAAGATGAAAAACTTCTAGAGATCTGTTATACAACAATGTGAATGTAGTTAACACTACTGAACTGTATACTCAAAAATGATAAATGGTAAGTGTTATGTGTTTTTAACCACAATTTTTAAAAAGTCAATCTATAATTTATCATATGTGGTAGTCATAATATCTATGTCCTAATCCACAGAACTTGTGAATATACTACTTTATGTAGCAAAAGATATTTTGCAGATATGATTGTTAAGGATTTTGAGATGGGAGATTATTCTGGATTATCAGGATGGGCCCAATGTAATCACAAAGATCCTTGTACCTAAAAGAGGGAGGCAGGAGAGTCAGACAAAAAGATGTGTCATGACAGAAGCAGAGATTGGAGTGATATAAATGCTGGCTTTGAAGATGGAAAAAGTCATGAGCCAGGGAACATGTGCAGCCTCTACAAGCTGGAAAAGGCAAAGAAACGGGTTATCTTCTAGAGCCTTCAGAAAAGATGCAGCCCTGCCAACATCTTGATTTTAGCCCATTTTGGGCTTCTGACCTCCAAAACTATAAGATAATAAATTTGTGTTGTTTTAAGCCACTAAGCTTGTTACGGCAGCAATAGAAAATGAATGTATCATATAAACAGATCTAAAAAGGAAAAAAACATGATCATGTCAGTAGATTCAGGGAAAGCTTTTGACAAAATTCAACAAGACAAATTTATCAAGATTCATGATAAAATCTTAGCAAATTAGGGATACAAGGGAACTTACACAATCTGGAAAAGGGCATCTATTTAAAAATACCCTACAATTGACATTATACTTAGTAGTGAAAAATGGGATGTTTTTCCTCTCAGATTAGGAACAAAGCAAGTAAGTCTGTTATAACTATTTCTATTCGACAGTGTACTGGAGGTCCTAGCCAGTGCAAGAATTCAAGAAAAAGAAAAAAGGCACAGATGAGAAGATTCAAAATTGTTTTTATTTATAAACAATATAATTTTCTCTCTAGAAAATCTTAGGAAATCCACAAGCAAGCTAAGACACTACAGTTAATAAATGAGTTTAGCAATGTTGCAGGATATGGGTTCAATACACAAAAATTAATTATTATTATTATTATTTTTGAGAGGGAGCCTCAGTCTGTCACCCAGGCTGGAGTGCAGTGGCACAATCATGACTCACTGAAGCCTTAAGCTCCTGGGCTTAAGCAATCCTCCCACCTTAGCCTGCCACGTAGCTGTGACTACAGGCCTGTGCCACCACACCTGACTGACTTTTTTATTTTTAAATTTTTTGTAGAGACAGGGTCTTGCTACGTTACCCAGGCTGTTCTCAAATTCCTGGCCTCTAGCTGGAGTTGCCACCTTGGCCTCCTAATATGCTAGTATTACAAGTGTGAGCCACTGTGCCTGGCCTAATTGTATTTCTATATACTAGAAACTAACAATTGGAATTTAAATGGAAAATAACATTTATGATGGCATGAAAACATGAACTAGTTAAGAGTAAATTAGCAAAAATTTGTATAGTACACTAAAAACTACAAAACTGCTGGGAGAAGTTAAAGAAGATCTAAATAAATAGAGAAACATACCATGTTCATGGTATGTATTGATATTATTAAGACTTGCTATTGTTAAGCTGTCAATTCTCCCCAAATTGATCTTCAGATTTAATGTACTCTCAGTCAAAATCAGAGCAGATTTTTGAAGAATTTTGTAATCTGATCCTAAAGTTCATATGGAAATGCCATGGATCATAATAGGTACAAAAAATTATGAAAAACGAAGACCAAGCTTGGAGGACTTACTACCTGATTTTTAAGACTTACAACAAAGTAGTAGTAATTAGATAGTGTATTATGGAATAAAGTAAACATTTAGATCACTGAACAGAATAGAGAGTCCAGAAATAGATTTATATATATGTAGATAACTGATTTTTCACAAAGGTGCCAAGGTAATTCAACGGGGGAAATGATAGTTTTTTCAACAAATGGTGCTGGAACAATTGGGTATCCATATACAAGAAAAAAAATGGCCCTTATCTCACATCATAAACAACAATTAACTTGAAATAGTGGATCTAAGATTTAAAATCTTTATAACCTAAAATCTTTATAACCTGTTATGCATAACAGCTCTATCTATACCAACCGCACACTGAAGCAAACATAGAAATTTCTTAGATAGGACATAGAAAGCACAAACCTTAAAGAAAAAAAAAATCAGTATATCAGACTTCCTTAAAAAAAACTTGTTCTATTTATTTATTTATTTATATAATTTTTGAGACAGGGTCTTGCTCTGTCACCCAGGCTGGAGTGCAGTGGCATGATCTCGGCTCACTACAACCTCTGCCTCCTGGGTTCAAGTGATTCTCCTGCCTCAGACTCCTGAGTAGCTGGGATTACAGGCCCCCACCACCATGCCCGGCTAATTTTTGTACTTTTTTTTTTTTTTCAGTAGAGACAGGGATTCAACATGTTGGCCAGGCTGGTCTCAAACTCCTGACCTCAGGTGATCCACCTGCCTTGGCCTCCCAAAGTACTGGGATTACCAGCGTGAGCCACCGTGCCTGGCCAAAACTTGCTTATTAAAAGACATGGTTAAGAAGATAAAAAGGCAAGCTATAATGGGGTAGAAACTATTTGTAAAACATGTATCTAACAAAGGACTTGGATTCAAGATATCTTTTAAAAAGCTCTTCCTACTCAATCAGAAGACAAACAACCTGATTAAAAACTGGGCAAAAGATATGGAGAGACATTTCACTAGTAAAGGGAAGCAAGTGGCACATAAGCATATGAAAAGAAGCTTAACATTATTAGTCACTAGATAAGCTCACATTAAAACCACACTGAGATACCACTGTACAACCACTAGAATGGTTAAAATTTAAAAAGACTGATTATATGATGTCTTGGCAGGATGAGAAGTAACTGGAAGTCTTACAATTTGTTGGTGGGAACGGAAAATAGCATAGCCACTATGGAAAACAGTTTGAGGGCAGCCAGAGAGAAAGGTCAGGTTACCCACAAAGGGAAGCCCATCAGACTAACAGCAGATCTCTCTGCAGAAACCCTACAAGCCAGAAGAGAGTGGAGCCCAATATTCAACATTCTTAAAGAAAAGAATTTTCAACCCAGGATTTCATATCCAGCCAAACTAAGCTTCATAAGTGAAGGAGAAATAAATCCTTTACAGACAAGCAAATGCTGAGAGATTTTGTCACCACCAGGCCTGCCTTACAAGAGCTCCTGAAGGAAGCACTAAATATGGAAAGGAAAAACTGGTACCAGTCACTGCAAAAACATACCAAATTGTAAAAACCATCGACAGTATGAAGAAACTGCATCAACTAACGGGCAAAATAACCAGCTAGCATCATAATGACAGGATCAAATTCATACAAAACAATATTAACCTTAAATGTAAACAGGCTAAATGGCCCAATTAAAAGACACAGACTGGCAAATTGGATAAAGAGTCAAGACCCAACGGTGTGCTGTATTCAGGAGACCCATCTCATATGCAAAGACGTACAGAGGCTCAAAATAAGGGGATGGAGGAATATTTACCAAGCAAATGGAAAGCACAAAAAGCAGGGTTTGCAATCCTAGTCTTTGATAAAACAGACTTTCAGCCAAAAAAGGTCAAAAGAGACAAAGAAGGGCATTACATAATGGTAAAGGGATCAATGCAACAAGAAGAGCTGACTATCCTAAATATATATGCACCCAATACAGGAGCATCCAGCTTCATAAAGCAAGTTCTTGGAGACCCACAAAGAGACTTAGACTCCCACACAATAATAGTGGGAGACTTTAACACCCCACTGTCAATATTAGACAGATTAATGAGACAGAAAATTAACAAGGATATTCAGGACTTGAACTCAGCTCTGGACCAAGTGGACCTAATAGATATCTACAGAACTCTTCACCCCAAATCAACAGAATATACATTCTTCTCAGCACCACATCACACTTATTCTAAAATTGACCACATAATTGGAAGTAAAACACTCCTCAGCAAATGCAAAAGAACAGAAATCATAACAAACAGTCTCTCAGACCACAGTGCAATTAAATTAGAACTCAGGATTGAGAAATTCACTCAAAACCACACAACTACATGGAAATTGAACAACCTGCCCCTGAATGACTACTGGGTAAATAATGAAATTAAGGCAGAAATAAATAAGTTCTTTGAAACAAATGAGAACAGAGACACAATGTACCAGAATCTCTGGGACACAGCTAAAGCAGTGTTTAGAGGGAAATTTATAGCACTAAATGCCCACAGAAGAAAGCAAGAAAGATCTAAAATCAACACTTTAACATCGCAATTGAAAGAACTAAAGAAGCAAGAGCAAACAAATTCAAAAGCTAGCAGAAGGCAAGAAATAACTAAGATCAGAGCAGAACTGAAGGAGACAGAGACATGAAAAACCCTTCAAAAAAATCAATGAATCCAGGAGCTTGTTTTTTGAAAAGATTAACAAAACAGATAGACCACTAGCCAGACTAATAAAGAAGATAAGAGAGAAGAATCAAATAGACACAATAAAAAATGATAAAGGGGATATAACCACTGATCCCACAGAAATACAAACTTACCATCAGAGAATATTATAAACACCTCTATGCAAATAAACTAGAAAATCTAGAAGAAATGGATACATTCCTGGACACATACACCCTCCCAAGACTAAACCAGGAAGAAGTCCAATTCATGAATAGACCAATAAAAACTTCTGGGATTACAGACGTGAGCCACTATGCCCGGCCTTAAATTATGTCTTAATAAATCTAAAAGGACACCATTAAGAAAATTAACAGACAAACCACAGATTTGAAGAAGATATTCAGAAAAGATATATCTGATGGACTTGTTACTAGAATACACAAAGGACTCCTATGATTCAATAACAAAAAGATAAGCAATCATGTTAAAAATGGGCAAAATACTTTTTTTTCTTTTTGAGAGAGAGGGTCTTGCTCTGTTGCCCAGGCTGGAGTGCAGTGGCACAATCCTGGCTCACTGCAACTTTTGCCTCCCTGGCTCAAGCCATCCTCCCGCCTCCCAAGTAGCTGGGACTACAGGCATGTGTCGCTACGCCCAGCTAACAAAAAAAAACAGGCAAAAAAAGACTTACACAGATGCTTCACAAAAGAAGATATATGAATGCCAATGAGCACATGAAACATTGCTTAAACATCATTAGTCATTAAAAAGTACAGAGTACAACTACAATGTGATACTACTACATACCTACTAGAATGGCTACAATTTAAAACTCTTACAACAACTGCATGTTAATGAGATCACAGAGCACCTGAAATGCATATACCTTGCTGATGGGAATGCAAAATAGTGCAACCACTTTGGAAACGGTTTGACTGTTTCTCAAAAGGTTAAACTTACATCTACTGCTTGATATGGCAATTCCACTCTTAGGTATTTATCCAGGGGAAATGAAAACATGTCCATAAAAACAAATGTTCATAGCGGCTTTATTCACAATAGTCATGCACAGGAAACAACCCAAATGCTCATCAACAGGAAATCACTAGGTAAATTCTGATGTGTCCATACAGTGGAATCCTAGTCAGCAACTTCAAAGAAATAAACCACCATTCATGCATCCAGATGGATGGGTCCCAGAGACATTATGCTAAGAGAAAGAAGCAAGGCACTAAGGAGTGAATATTGTGCGAGTCCACTTAAGTGAAGTTCTAGATTAGCCAAAAGTAATCTGTAGCTAGAAATTGGATTAGTTGGGGATGGAGGAAATATAAGAGAATTTCCAGTGAGATGGCAGTGTACCATATTATAATAGGGATGTGGTTTGCTTGGATATAAACATTTTATCAACATTGTAGAGCTACTATTTGCACATTTTAATGTGTGCAAGTTTTCCCAAAAAATAGTAATGTCAAAAAACAATAAAAATTGTGTGGGTGAAAATATAGTGAAAGGAGAATGGCGCGATATGCTCATTGTTGAAGTGGGGTGATGGATACATAGGGATTGAAATTATACTATTGTGTTTACACTGTGTATTTTTGAAGTTTTCCATAATAAAAAGTGAAATAAAACAAAAGGGAAGAAAACGATAATTATACTTCACAGGGCTGTTTTGCGTTCATACAGACAATGCTGGAGACGGGGTTCTGCCGGCCGTGAAGTGTATTTTGACACAGCTTCTCCATGTGCTCTGCTTCCCCCTCTCATTGACTCACTCTGGCTCTTGCTGTCTGCTGCATTCTTACCTTCCTGCCACTCCTGTTTCATTTCTCTTTCCCTCCCACCTAGTTTTCTTCCTTATTCCCCGCTCCATTGCCTTTGGTCCATTGATGGTTAGATTAGCCCTGGGGCTCAGGGACAGCAGTCCCCAGCTTCAGGGGAGTTCATGAGGGAGGGGCTCAGGACAGACACCCCAAGGCATTGCTTCCTGCTCTTTCTTCTTGGTGCTTGCCCACCCCCCAGCTCTGCCACCCTACGTCTCCCCAGGGTGGAGGCAGGCAGGGCTCTTGCCTCACTGTCATCTGAGTGCCAGCACATCCGTAACAGGATGGACAGGCTGCTATTGTCCCGACACGTCTCCTCCACCTGGCTTCCCTGAAAACTGTCAGATTAGTGGAAATTTGAGCCAGGTTCACAGCCCTGCACCCTGGCCGGCCTCCCTGCTGGAGCTGCCCTGCTCTGGGCAGCCTTCCTCCTCAAGCCTTCACCTTCCACCAGACTTGGCCTCACTGCCGCAGCAGTCAGCATCCCACAACCTTGCATCCTGATCTGTTCTTGCCAAGAACCAGCTGAGTGCCTGGCAGTCCTCTGGAAACCTTGGGCTTTGGGGCAGTACCCACAGGTTGCCTGCAGTCTGCGCTGGCTTTGTTCTGTTTTAACCACCCGTGAACTTGACAGATACTTATTGGGCACCACTGTTTGCTGGGCACTGTGTTAGACTCTGTGGCCACAGAGATGGCCTGGACTTACCGCCTGCTGGTGGAAGTGGTGTAAACAGATGCTTTCAATGCAGTGTGGGCAAGGTGGGCCCTGGGGAACTGTGTGAAGCTGTAGCGGCACACGGAGGGGTCACTCAGCCTGGACTGGGGCGGGGAGGTCAGGCAGCCATTCTTGGAAGAAATGCCGACTAAGCTGAGACGCACAGAGGGTGGAGAAGCACCGGAACAGCATGTGGGGCAGCCCGAGGGGCGCACTCGCTTTCTGGGAGCTGCAGATGGTTCAGTCTGGTTCAGCTTTGTGTATGAGGGGAGGGTCCAGTCAAGAGGTGAGGCGTGGAGAGCCCAGCAGCTCCCCTGCTGGAAGCTGCCACACCCAGCCTCCCTGCCTGGATGACGAGGACTCCAAGGTGGGCCCCCGCCCAGCCCTTCCTAGAGCAGCACATGGCTCCAGCAGGATGGCACTGAGATGGTGCCTGAGTGCCCCCTCACTCTGTCCCCTTCCTCCCTCCCATTCCTCTCTCCCTAGAGTCTCAGGCAGGGCAGTGACCTAGGCAGAGCTGGGTCATCTCCTTCCGGGCCATCCACACCTCCCATCTCTGCGGGGTCAGGCTGCCTCCTCCTGCTCCCTGGGCCTCCCCCGAGTGCTCTGCTCTGGGTCTGCATCTGGGTCACGTTTGGGTTATGGCTGCAGCTCTGGTTCGGGTCCTGGGCTCAGCTGTGTCCCCAGGTGAGTCCATACACAGGGAGCCGGGCCTTGCCTGGGATAGCAAAGCAGCTTCTGACCACAGAGCCTCTTCCTGGGACGGGAGTCTCCCCCATTCTGAGCTCAGGAGGCCAGGGTGGGCACGGGTGCTGCCACGTGGAATGAGACGGCTCTGGGGCACCTCAGGAGTAGAGGCTGGAAGAACATGAAGGGCATGGAAAAAACTTTTAGAGACAGCGCAGAAGTAGCTGTTAGACTCAATTTCGTTAGCACACTTGGCTCAGGAGGAAAAAATTCACAGCACAGTTCAAGGGATTAGAGGGAGAGTTCTGGAGTCAGAGTACATGGAGTTCCAAACCCAGTTCTGCTAGTTATTCACCTTGTGACCTTGGGCAGGTTACTGAAACTCTGTGTGTCTCGGTTGCTTCATATTTAAAACGGGAGAATGGAAGTACCCACTTCGTACTCCTTATGGGAGGACTGATTGTTAAGCATGTTAAGGGTCTAGCACAGTGCCTGGTACAGGGTTAGTGCTTAATGAAAATGATAATAATGTTATTTCTTGTCATTATTTTGTCCAGTTTCTCTGATGGACAGAGGAGTGACCTTTGCCCATCACCCACTCAGGGGGGTCTCCCAGGGGTTTTTCCCCTCCATCCATTGGATGAGAACTTGCAAGTAGCAGGGTATGCCTCACCAACCTCATTTAGGAGGGGAAATGCTTAGGTTTTGGAGCTGAGATACCTGGCTTTATTGATTAATAGTTGAGTGACTGAGGGCAAATTGCTTAACTTCTCAGTCTTAATTTATTCGTCAGTAAGATGAGGCTGATGTTCTCTCAGGGGTTAGTAGTGAAGTCCAGACAGCACGAATAGATGGTACAGGGCTGAGCCCGGCTCTGCTGTGTGGCCTTGGGCAAGTTGCTTTACCTCTCTGGGCCTTTATTTCCTTACCTATACCATGTACCATGGAATTAGGGGTACTCTATATGAAGTGCTTGGCACAGAGTATGCCCTCAACAAAGAATAGTAGCCAGCCTTGTTATTCTGATGGTGGCAATGACGATGAAGAAGGGAAGAAGCTCAGGGTCTGGGAGGGAACTGGTCGAGTCTGGATGTTTCTTGGGAGTCAGTGCTACTGCAGCCTCAGGATAAGGGGCGCGTCTTCTTTTCCCTAATGCCTTCCTGAATTGGGGCAGGTTCATACTCAATGTGCGTGGAAGGAGTGAGGAAGAAAGACGTCTTCTGAGGTCTGAGGAAGACAAGTTGCAGTTAACACTGCAACAAGGAACAAGCCCAGGGCACAAGCTTCTCTCTGATTGACCCCATGTAAGCTCTGGGCCTCCTGGGCTGACACTCCACTGTGCCCAGGGGCAGGGCCAGGGAGTGCTGCTGGGCTATCCCCACCACGCCTGTTCAATTTGCTCTTCGATTTTTTTTTCTTTGCTCTTATTTTTCACAATTCTGGGGAAATTGGTGTCTAGAATTCAAATAGCAAAGAGAAAACCCAGAGGTCGTCTAATTCATTTCCTAACACAAATAACCTCCCCACAAGTCCTGTGAAATAGTTGATGTTATTTGGGCAAGGCAGGCACCCCACTGTCTAACTTCAATCCCTCTAGCTGCCTGTTAGTCGGTTCCCCATCCTCTCTGACTTTGCCCTCTAAAGGGATGGAGAGAAACCAACCAGTGCCTCCATCCAAATAACCCTCTCTAGGTAAAGAAGGGTGTTATTAAAACACCCCTTCTCCAGGCTAAGTAATCCCAGTGCCTTTAACCCTTTCCTCTCAGGTCCTGTTTTCCAAGTCTTTAATTATTTTTACTGCCCTTCTCTGCATTTTAGGATGCAACCCTATAATCATAGAATTTCAGGGCTGGAAGGTACCTGGGAGATGACATGGAGGAGAGCCAGGAGCAGACGGTTAGAAGCCTTGCCCGCCCCAGCTTCTGGAGCAGGAAGAAAGCCCTGGCAATTCCTCTTCACCAGGCTGTCTCCAGTCCTTCTCCAGCAGAGAAAATCCTGCTCATTTTCCCTCAAAGTGAAATATTCAACAAAAATGTACTGAATAGTTCTTGGGAGCCAGGCACAGTCTCGGCATTTTCACAATTTCTCACCTTCCCTAATCCCCCAACGGTCCTGCCAGGGTGCTAGGATCAGCCTCATTTCGTAGGCAAGGAGACTGGCTCAGGGAGATTAAGTAACTTGCCCAAATTCACATATCAAGAAAGTTCTGGGGCTCTTCCGCCCCAGGTCTGGCTGCACCCACAGCCAGCCAGTCCCTCAGGCCCCGGGTGAAGTTCTTCTCCCACGGAGAAACCCTGACAAAGTTCTGGGCATCCAGAGCTGGGCTGTAGCAGGACTCAGGATCCCGCAGAGAGACAGAGCCAATAGGACCTATAGTTATATGAAGAGATTTGTTTCCAGGAATTGGCTCATGAGATTGTTGGGGATGACAAGTCGGAAATCCAGAGGGCAGGCAGGAGTTGATACTGCAATCTTGGGGCAGAACTTCTTTTTCTCTGAGAAACCTCGGTTTTTAACCCTTAGGGCCTTCCCACTGATCAAATGCAGTACACCCACATTATTGAGGATAATCTCCTTTATTTAAAGTCAACGGACTGTAGGTGACTTTATTCTCACAGCAACACCCAGATTAGTGTTTGATTAAATGACTGGGTGCTGTAGCTTAGCCAACTTGACACAGGCAAGTACCCATCACAGCATTGTTTATGGGTGTTGATGGGTGGGGGGGCACAGGGCCCCCAAGGCATCTGATCCAATGGGCATTTTCCACAGAGTCCTAAGCCAGTGTTGGGAAGCTGCCAGGGGACTTGAGGACCTCCCCATTATGCAAGAGTCCTAGGTCAATTTGTACTACCAGACTCAGACCTGATCACCTTCCCCTGGGGATGCCCTGTCTTGATGCTGCTCAATTGAGAGCTACAGTTAGGACCCAGTGTCTTCTCAGGGGATAAAAGCCTTGGAAGTATAGCAGGACAAGCCGCAGACAAAACCCCTCAGGCACCGAGTTAAAGAAGGAAGGGCTTTATTTGGCTGGGAGCTTCAGCAAGACTCACATCTCCAACAACCACGCTCCCCGAGTGAGCAATTCCGGTCCCTTTTAAGGGCTTACAACTCTAAGGGGGTCTGCGTGAAAGGGTCGTGATCGATTGAGCAAGCAGGGTGTACGTGACTGGGGGATGCATGCACCGGTAATTAGAATGGAACAGAACAGGACAGGGATTTTCACAGTGCTTTTCTATACAATGTCTGTAATCTATAGATAACATAACCAATTAGGTTATGTTATCTAACCGATTAGGTTATGTCTTTAACTACCAGGCCCACGGTGTGGCGCCGGGCTGTCTGCTTGTGGATTTCATTTCTGCCTTTTAGTTTTTACTTTTTCTTTCTTTGGAGGCAGAAATTGGGCATAAGACAATATGAGGGGTGGTCTCCTACCTTAGAAGGAGCCAAGGGTAGGAGCAAGAGGACTGTTGCTTGAATCCTAAGGGACCCAGTGAACTAACAGCCCTTGAGGGTGAGGACAGTATCTTCTTATTCTCTGTACACTAGGGCTGGGACCATGCCCAGCCCCCTGGAGAGGTGCCACAAATGTCTTTTCCTTTTACTTCCCCTCCCCTCCCAGGTAGGGTACCTGAAACCCTCCGGGCAGGTAGAAATCAGTCCTATTTTTGAAGGGCTTCCAAGAAAGGAATTTATGATCACAGAAACAGTACTGCTCCATCTATAGAGTTCTTCCTAATATATAATCTAAATCCTTCCAATTTCAGGACAAATTCTGTTGTATTAGGATAACAGGCATGAGAAAATTAGACTTTAGAAATTTTATTATTGCTATAAAGTTTTGAACCGCCATAGGCTTTTTGCTGCTGTCTACAGCTAGAGGTACGAAAAGAGGACAAGGGCACCAAGAAGTCAAAAGAGACGGGGCACGGTGGCTCATGCCTTGATCCCAGCACTTTGGGAGGCCAAGGCCAGTGGATCACTTGAGGTCAGGGGTTCAAGACCAGCCTGGCCAACATAGTGAAACCCGTCTCTACCAAAAAATACAAAAATTAGCTGGGCGTGGTGGCACAGGCCTGTAGTCCCAGGCACTGGGAGGCTGAGGTGGGAGAATAGCTTGAACCTGGGAGGCGGAGGTTGCAGTGAGAGATCACACCAAGGCATTCCAGCCAGGGCAATAGAGTGAGACCCTGTCTCAAAAAAAAAAAAAAAAAAAGAAGTCAAAAGAACCATGTAAGCATTAAGACTGGATCAGACTCTTCCCCTCACAGAAACAATTACCTCACAGCTTCCCTTTTGCAGGGCCAGAGGCTCAGTTCCTTAACTCCAATTGAACAGTACACTTTCATTTATAGAGTATTTATGTTAGACCGAAAGAAGAACTTCCTGCAGCAAGCAGTCCTAAAGCTTGAAATGAATGGCTGAGGGAAGCTATGAAATCTTTTTTCTTGCCGGCCTTTTAAATAATATATAGTTCTTTAAAAGATACATCAAAGACTTTCTTGATATAGCCTTGCCCAGGGGCAAGGGGATGGACCGGTTGACCACTCCCTCCCAACCCTGGGACTCCAAGGAAGCCTGAGAAGTTTTCTCCTTTTAAGGGGTTTCCTCTTTCATCTAAAGATGATTGGTGACAGAATCAGGTGTTCCCAGGCCACACAGTAGGTAAGTGAAGGTGGCTCCACCTGCTGAATCAAGGGAGGCTGCCAGGAAGGGAACAGCTTTGAGGTGCCTCATGGGAGAAGCCTGGGAGGAGGCTTGGGGTTGGCCCACGGGTGCGTGTGGGAGGAGGGACTCTGTGGGGGCTTTCAGGCATGCCTGGTCTGACAGGGCCAAGCAGGAAGAGGTAGAAGTTGCCTCTGCTCCATAGGAATCCTTCTCTGGAAGCCACACCTGCCAGCTCTTCTTACCTTCTAAAGCTTGCAAGGGATGAGGCAGGGGCTGGCAGCCAGTCACATCTCACCACCACCTGGTATAGGGAGAAACATTGCAGCAGGAAGACTTTAAGCTAGACCAGAGGGAGAACAGGGTGAGATGTGGGAGGAGTGACTGGGGTGGGGGACTTCACGGGCTCCCTTTCTTTCAAGGCCTTTAAAAGTGAAGAGGCCTCTCTGCCACAGCAGTGCAGATGATGGTCTTCGGGGGCTTTTTGCCAAGTTGCACAGGACACATAGGCTCTGAGGGCCATTAGGAAATGCCCTTTATGGAACCTGTGCAACTGAGTTTGAGGCTGGAGAGGGGCAGGACCTCAGCAGACGCGGTTGCCTGTAGTCAGGTCCTGAGTGAGGGCCTGGGGAGCTTGGGGAGCGATCACCTTCCTATGAGGTGTGCAGTGCCCATCCAGACCTCAGACCTCCAGGGGTGGGAATCCTCTTCTTTGGTTCAGCTCCAGGAGGGATGTTGGGGTGGTGGGACGAGGGCTTGGGGACCAGCCCTGAAGGGACAATTGTTTGCTTCTTTTCAGCTCTTGGCTTCTGGGATCTCCAGGAGACTCTACCTTCTGCTAGGCATTTGGGTAGAGCAGTCCCTCAAGGGAAGAGGGGCCCTGCACCCTGGCCTAGGAGAACCAAAAGACCAGTCAACCAGCACCCACTGAGAATTCAGCTGAATAAATATCTGCTGAGTCAAGTCAAACACTGTCTCTGTGTAGCCAGGGAGGCCACTTATGTGCATGGAAAGCGAGCCATGCTCATCCTGGTTGGAGAGACCAGCCTCTCTCAGCACATGCTGGTTCCTCCCTCCTCTGAGCAGCCCAAGCCCCTCACACACATTTATCTCATTCACTGTTCATGCCAAATCCAAGTGATTTGCTTACTGATCTCTCCTCCCACTAAACTATGAACTCCCCAAGGGCATGATCTGGGACTCCTTCCTGTCCGTATGATCAGTCCCTTGCCTAACCCTGGCCCATGGTAGGATGCTCAACAAGTATGTGTGAATGAATGAATAATTAACAACACCAGGTGGGCTGAGCTAAATGCTTCCCGAGTAGGACAGGCAGGGATAGATGTTACAGGGGTTGAATGGGGGCAGTGGTCACTGGGCTTGGGTTAGGGAAAGCCTCTTGGAAGAGAGAAATTTGCCTCATCTTCCCTTTGCCTTGAATCACTTGAACCTGTTCCCCTGACATCCTCCAGCATCCATCTTTCTATCCTCCCTCTTATGTCTTCCACTTTGATCATGCACTAGTCCTCCAGCGATGCGTTGGAGCAGGCTCACTGGCTTGGGAGAGCTGACTGTGTGCATCTCTTTCCAGTGCTCTTCACATTGGTAGCTTGAGACTGACTAGGGTGAAATTTTCAAATGCTACAAACCAGTGCTTTTGTGCCTGGAAGAGTCCGTTGCTAAACTTTTATCAGCATACCTTGCAATCCACTCACTCACCTACTTACTGCCTATCTGTCTCCTTCCTTCCTTACTCTTCCCTTCTCTTTCCTCTCTCCTTCCCATGTATCACCCTTTCTTTCTCTCTTCTTCCATTCTTTTAAAAATTCTTTTACCCATTTCTTCAACTATCTGTCCATCCATCCATCCACCCATTTCCTTATTCATATTCATCTAGTTTTTACTTATTTCATTTACCCATCCATCTACCCATCCATCCATTCATCCATTTGTTCATCATCCAACCACCCACTTATCCATTATCTACACATCTTATCCATCTGTTCATTTATTTCCCAATTCACATTCATCTAGCTTTAACTTCTTCCATGCATTCATCCATCCATCCATCCATCCATCCATCCATCCATCCATCCGTCTGTCCATCCACCCACCCACAAATATTCTCTGAACATTTACTCTGTGTCAGCCTATTCCTAAGGTTCAGAATCTTTCCCCAGATTTCTGGAAGATGGGTGCATGAACTGTAAGAACTAGCGGAGGCCCTCCAGGGTGCCCCAGGCTCATCCAGCATTGATGTTGGACTGTAGCCAGAACCCAATGACTTTCCTCTTCTGTTTCTTTGTGTCCTCTCTGTTCTTTTCTCCTCACCGCCTGTTCTCTCCAGGTTAGGGAAATATTATTAGGGAAAGGGGAGGGGCATGTCCCAATCCAGCAGGCCAGGACAGGACTTCCTTCTCTCCTTCTCCCTCCGTACCTCAGGCAAGAGCCCAGAGAAATTGGGCCTGGCATTTTGAGTAAGTGTCCCCCTCCCCAGAAGGCCCAACAAGCTCTTAGCCAATTCACCAGTGAGTTCAAACAAGAGGGGGCTCCTTTGGGGCCCACAGACAGAGACCTCAGGCAAGAGGAGAATCCCCGTCATGAAGCCAGCACTCCCCACGCCAACACCACCTCACATACATCCTCTCATAAGTGAACTGCTTTGTGAGGTGGGCTTGTCTCTGCCCTTGTTCCCAGGGGCTGTTTTTGCAAAGGATTAGCTGCTCAGCCTGGTGAGGCAAAGGGGCGGGGGCTTCCTAGCTTGACATGGATTGGAGGGGAAGGAAGGGAAACCCATTCCCCTCCACACAGCCCAGAACCTGCCACGCCAGCCTCACCTACTGTCTGCTCTGCCCTGCCCAGCCTGGCCTTGGAGAGGCACGGCCCTTTCCTTAGGGGTTTGGAGGCTTCCTAGGACCAGGTCAATGGGTCAGAGCCCAGAAGTGGCTGGGGGGCATGTCCTACAAGAGCTAAGGGTCCTGGTGTTCCGCAGGGGCCACGGAGAGGAAGGGGATGAAGTTTGTTTTTCTCACTTTTCTTCCTGAGGTCTGTATTTATATGATAGTCATATTTGAACAGGTGACTTCTGAGATTATCTGAATCTCACACTTTGCTGACCTCTTTTTGGAGGGCATTGCCTGTGGCCTGGCCCAGAGAGGATGGGCAGGTGTTTTCTGAGTCACACAGCAGACCAAGTGTGGAGACAGGTGAGAGTCAAGTGTTTGGGCCCTGAGGACCCAACCACCTGGGCTGGCATTGCTTGGATTCCCCTCATTGTTGTGCCTTGGTCATTTGAATCCACGCAGGTAGCAATAATCTAAGGTCTATATGTATCTTGTTGGGGCCATTGGGATAGGACAGACTCTCAGAAGCCATCTTCTGATGAGATATTCAGGTGACTCCATGACCACCCAGCTGAAGAAGGGACTTTGGCTTCTCAAAGGCTTAGGGTTCAAATCCCAGCTCGGCCACTTGACTTAGGCCAGTGAGTTATCTTCTTAAAGCCTGTTTTCTCATCTGTTAAAAAGGGGTAATTGAACAGGTTTTAGGGAAGCCTGAATGAGCTCGTAATATATGCAATACCTAGGAAAGTGCCTGGAGGTTGGCAAGTAGGGTTCAATACTCAGTAGCCAAATCAAATGGAACCCATCCTTCCCCCTTAAGGTGAAAAGCAGCGATACAGTCCCAGGGTGGACAATCTTTCCTCTGAAACTCAGGCCTGCAAATTACAAGGCTATTTGGCTTGTGTGACCCAGTTAACAGCCCTGTGTCTGGTAGGCCTCTGCAGACACCTCACCTTCTGCCCCAGGGGCCTCTGGGCTCAGTGAAGCCTGCCCACTTGTGAAGACGGAGACTCCCCGCTCCCCGGATGAGAAGCAAGTGCGTCAGAGGGAAGCAGCCCAACTGGTTGCTGAGTTGTGGAAAATAAGCTGGGGGAGAAAAAACACTTCTTTTAAAAATCAGGTTAGGGATGAATGTGCAGGGCGTGGTTCCTGTGCAATTATCTGCTCTGCTGGCTGCGGGGCTCCCTGCTTCTCCCGGGCCGCTGTGTCAGGCTTGTGCCTGTTGCTCCTCCCCTCCACTCCTCCCCCTCCTCCTCCTCCGCCTCCTCCCCCTCCTCCTCCTCACAGGTGTGTCTCTAGTCCTCGTGGTTGCCTGCCCCACTCCCTGCCGAGACGCCTGCCAGAAAGGTCACCTATCCTGAACCCCAGCAAGCCTGAAACAGCTCAGCCAAGCACCCTGCGATGGAAGCTGCAGATGCCTCCAGGAGCAACGGGTCGAGCCCAGAAGCCAGGGATGCCCGGAGCCCGTCGGGCCCCAGTGGCAGCCTGGAGAATGGCACCAAGGCTGACGGCAAGGATGCCAAGACCACCAACGGGCACGGCGGGGAGGCAGCTGAGGGCAAGAGCCTGGGCAGCGCCCTGAAGCCAGGGGAAGGTAGGAGCGCCCTGTTCGCGGGCAATGAGTGGCGGCGACCCATCATCCAGTTTGTCGAGTCCGGGGACGACAAGAACTCCAACTACTTCAGCATGGACTCTATGGAAGGCAAGAGGTCGCCGTACGCAGGGCTCCAGCTGGGGGCTGCCAAGAAGCCACCCGTTACCTTTGCCGAAAAGGGCGAGCTGCGCAAGTCCATTTTCTCGGAGTCCCGGAAGCCCACGGTGTCCATCATGGAGCCCGGGGAGACCCGGCGGAACAGCTACCCCCGGGCCGACACGGGCCTTTTTTCACGGTCCAAGTCCGGCTCCGAGGAGGTGCTGTGCGACTCCTGCATCGGCAACAAGCAGAAGGCGGTCAAGTCCTGCCTGGTGTGCCAGGCCTCCTTCTGCGAGCTGCATCTCAAGCCCCACCTGGAGGGCGCCGCCTTCCGAGACCACCAGCTGCTCGAGCCCATCCGGGACTTTGAGGCCCGCAAGTGTCCCGTGCATGGCAAGACGATGGAGCTCTTCTGCCAGACCGACCAGACCTGCATCTGCTACCTTTGCATGTTCCAGGAGCACAAGAATCATAGCACCGTGACAGTGGAGGAGGCCAAGGCCGAGAAGGAGGTAAGTGCTGGGGCCCCTCCTGCCCCTCCAGGCCTCTCCTCTCTCACCCCACCCCTCCGAACTTCATCTTCTCCACTCGGGCTTCCTCGGGTTTGGGGCTTAAGTTTCTACTGTCCTTGGCTCTTTTAGAAAACATTTATTTCCCCTCATGCCCCCTGTCCCCCCTAATCCCAGCTGGGGATCAGAGGTTGCTCCCCAATCCCCTAAGGTCTCAGGAGACAGGGACATTTTCTAGATGAGCGGATGGAGACTCAGAAAAGGTTGAGGGCCTGACCAAAGTCATAGGATAAATTCGAGTCAGGTTAGAGAGTATGACCCAACTGCATAGACCTCACTTCTGGGCTCTGTGCCTGGCTGAGGTGTTTCTTTCTTCTTCTTCTCCTTCTCCCTCTTCCTCTTCTTCCTCCTCTTCTTCTTCTTTTATTTTTTTTTTTTTTTGCTTTGAAGAAGAGATAATTCCTCCAACCTGAGTCGGACTGGCCCCTGGGGAATGGGTTGTGGGTGAGGAAAGATACTAGAAGGAGAGAATTTTGGGGCCCACTGAAAGGTCCTTCTTGCTGTCTTTGTAGTTTTTATTGTCGTACAGTGGCTTCTTGTTCTAGCTGATCCCCAGCTGGTCTCTTGACTTCCTCCACAGCCTCCTTTATCCTTCTCCCAGCTGGGCCCTGTGTTTTGCGTGTGTGGTTGTGTGTGGACACACATATTCCTGCAGGCGGACACCGTTGGGGAAGTTTGGAGTTTGTGTGTGGATGGCGTGTACGTGTACAGCTAGTCCCTGACTTAGGATGGTTTGATTTACAATGATGTGAAAGTGCTATGCTTTCAGTACAGTATTCCATAAAATCCAACACTTTATTACAAAATAGGCTTTGTAGTAGAAGATTTTGCCAAACTGTCGGCTAATGTAAGTGCTCTGAACAAGTTTAAGGTAAGCTAGGTTAAGCTATGATGCTTGGTAGGCTAGGTGTATTAAAAGCATTTTTGACCTATCACATTTTCAACTTACAATGGGTTTATTGGTAAATAACCCCATCACAAGTTGAGGAGCATCTGTATATGTGTTTATTTTATGTGCACGTGGGTGTTTTTGTGCCTTTGTGGATGTTTGCATGTATTCATATATGTGATACGTAAGTGTGTTTGCATGAGTTCTATGTGACTGTGCCTGTACTTCTATGGGGAGGAGCAGAGGCAAGTGCAGGCTTGTGGATGTAGCATACCTGGGGAAGGTGATTTGGGCAAAGGGCCCAGCTGTGGCCACTGCCCTTTGCCCCACAGATGTGGGGCTCACTCTTCCCTAAGGTACACAGCTTCCTGCTGTGGGTGGCCTTCCTGGGGCAAACCTTCCTGGCCTCCAAAGCAGTGAACTCCACTTTCCTGAAGAGCTTCTGCACACCTCAGATCTGGACAGCAGAGGATTCCTTCCTGCCCAGCCTTCCTGACCAGGAGGAGCTGGTTGATTACTCTTTCCCTTCATCTCTCACCCACACCCCTGGACAGAAAGGGCTGAGGTAGAGAGGGGAACAGACTCACAGATTCCTTCCAGAAGCCTCGTTTGGCCCAGGAAGAAGATGTTTCCAGCTTCCCCCATCTTCTGACCCCAGCGTGGCCTCAGGTTTCATACTGAGAGATATAGATGGGACGGGGCCATGAAACTCATTCTAGGGAGTTTACTTGGGAGGTTAGACAGAACAAGAGGCAATCATCCTCATCACAGCAGCTGAGAAATTGCAGAGCCTCAGACAAGGTTTTAGGAAATGTGACCGAGTTCCAGTCCCAGTTTTTGCCTCTAACTAACTGTAAGGCTGTGAATAAGTCCTTTCCACGCTCAGTCTCATTCTCCCAAGGGGTGAGGCTAGATTGTTGGTTTTCAAATTACCCCACAGAGCCCTGGAATTCTTAGACATGTCTTCGAGGCCTCAGGATGAGGAGGGGGTAAAGAAGTGTCAAGAAGGCGGAGCATTCAGGTTCCCACCTCGACTACAAGCAAAGGACATTCTTATTGATTATCTTCTATGTGGGTTTGGCCTCAAATTTGGTCTCAACCAAGGATATCTCTGCTTAAGCCTGGGCACCCCTGGAAGATGTGGTTCTGGTGGGCAGGAGGGTCTTGGGCAGCCCTATGTGGATGTGCCAGGAGCTCAGAGTTCAGAGTTCGGGTTCTGGCATGGGGGCCGCTGAGGGACTCACAGTTCTTCCTTGAGGGAGGGCTCATGATGTGGGTCAGGAGGCAGGGCTCATACACACAAACAGGACTGGGGAGCGCCCGTCTAGTTACACAGAGCGGCTAGAAGTTAACGTCAAACCGTAGTAGACAGAATGCCGGGCCAACAGAGTATTAGCCACCCCCTCAGTGTCCTCCCTCACCTTGCAGATAGGGACACAGGCACAGAGGAAGGAAGGGGCCTGTCCAAGGTCCTTGTTTGAGGAGGAAGCCCCCTAAGCCCTCTTCCAGTGTTTGAGAGTGCCTCAGGGAAAGGGCCCCAAGGGGATGGGATTGGGATATGTGTGTTTTAGGAGAAAATGCCTGGTCCTCTAAAGTGACTGTGATGGTGGGAGCTTCAGGTAGCCTCCGTGTGTGTGCACACACATGTGCACCTGCAGCATAGGGCTAGGCGGGGAGAAGTGGAGCCAGGAAGCCAGGAGACTGAGCTGGGCACACGGGCTGTCTCGGCCTGGCTCTGCTGGAATGTCACAGGTGGGGGACATTGGCACAGAGCAGGGTTAGTGGGTAGATGGGCCAAAGTGAATGAGCATGCCAGTCCTGGCATCCTTTTGAGGCATCTCCTGCAGACCCAAACATCAGCCCACGCATAGCTGTTTGCAAGTGGCTTTGTTCAGAACCCGTTCCGCAGGCCAGTGGTGAAGGCCCAGGTGATACAGCCTCAGACCTGCCTCGGTTGGTGGTGTGAGGCTACGATGACACCCAGGGCTGTGGGTGCCTGTCTTCTGGGCCTCAGCTCTACCTACAGACTCTGAGCAGAGTCTCTGTTAGAAAAAGATCGCTTGGTGCGGCAACATGACAGCACCTTCCTCTGGTGGTCCCTGGGTCAGCATGTTTCCAGTGCCACCCCAAATGTCACAATAGGCCTCATACATGTCCTCCTGTCTTCCCCTCTGCCACTGAACACTTCCCAGGCTAGGTTAGGTGGGTGAGATTGAAATGTACACATACATCCCTTTCTGTGTCTTATGGCCCTTCCTTCTGCCTATCTCAAGCTTCAGCAGGCCAGGATGTTAAGACCTCCTGGGTGGACGGCTGGCTGCTCTTGGGGGGCCCTGCACTGTCATGGATCTGGCCTGCTCTGGGGTGGCAGCATGACGAGGCGTGTGTGGAGGTCACTCAGCTAGGAGCATTGCTTTGGAGAGGCTTAGCCTCACACCTCCTCCACTCTCTCAACCCCACCATTTGGTTCAGTTCAGTTCTCTCACCACATCTGTGGCTTTGTTTCTCGTCTCATTCCCAATTCTAACACAAAAGCTGAGCCACTGGCTGCTGGGCATGGGCAGCCGCTGGTCCTTGCTTTTCTGAGCAGCGCTGGTCTGCCCAGGAAAGCTCTTTGGGATTCGGGAAGGGGAGCCAGGCTAAAGGCCAGGGTGCCCTGGAGGGGCTGGGCCCACTTTCCCTGGAGACCTTGGTGACTTTGGGGGAGAATGCTTGCCCTGGGACAGGGTGGGTGAGAAAGGAGGTAGGGGGGCCTCTCTGGGTGCTAAGGGGGAAATAACAAAATAAAAGAAGCTTGGAGACAGGAAGCAGGGGAGCAAAGTGACAGGCAGGCAGGAGGCAACCCAGTGTCTGTGGCACACACCTGAGTGCCAGTGCCGGGCCCAGCATGTCCTACTTGTAGATGAAGAAACAAGGTCAAAGTCGTCAAGAGACTTACACAAGTTACAGCACTCAAGAGTGGCAGAGCTGGGATTCCTCTCCGCTATTTTAAGCCTTTTTGTTCCTGTAGGATTGGAAGGGTCTTCTTGAGATCACCGAGTCCAGTGGCTCCCAAACAGCAATCCCCAGACCAGAATCAGCTGGTGAATTGTTGAAACACAGATTCCCAGGCCTTAGCCCAGGAGGTATTTTAAAGGTCTCCCTAGAGAATTCTAATGTGTAGCTGGGTTGGGAATCAGAGATCTAGTCCAATTTCACCACAAGGAAACCAAGGCCCAGGAAGGGGAGGTTCCCACTGTGCCTGCGTCCCCATCTGCAAGGTGAAGGAGGAGACTGAGGGGGGTGCTAACTCTCTGTGGGCCTGGCATTCTGTCTTCTTCCCCACTCTTGGCTGGAGATGGCCAGGGTGATACCTTCCTTGCCCCATCTCACCCCTCCCCTGACCTGAGGCTGTGAGGAGGCAAAAGGAACAGTAAATCTCAGTCAAACAGACTAACTGATCCTGGGCTGTTTTACGTCCGAGTGGAAATGGGGAAATCTATCCAGCATTTCAGATTCTTATCCAGATAATTACCATTTGTCTGAGAGTACAAATTTGGCAATTAACTGGCTCATTTGGCAAATGTCACAGCCGATGGCCCATGTAGTGAATTCAGGCCAGGGGAAGATCATGGCCAGTCCTCTCCTCCCTGGAGCCAGTGCAGGTACACCTATCCGGGTGGGTGCTCAGGTGTGTCTCCACCTGAAGACCACGTCCAGGTTGAGGCACTGCTAGCTGCTGCACCACCCATCTGCTCTCGGGAAAACCTCTGCTCACCCAAGGCTGAAGGATTTCAAGGTTAGGTGGCCCATGCAGGGCCCGTTCCTGGCATCAGAGAGCAAGAGGCAAACAGACAGGTGTGGGAGAAGGGAACAAAGGAGTCATTTAGGGACAGGCCTGGGCAGGGAGGAATGAAGCGGAGAGTAGGAAGTCAGGAGGGAGGTGTGGGCAGGGCGGGACTGTGGGGATCAGAGGCCCTGTCAGCCATCAGGGCCTTCAACCACTTTCTGAGGGAAGAGGGAGAGAGGGAGAGAGAAAGCTGGGGCCTCAGAGGACAATGGGGAGGGTGCTGGGAGGGAAGCGGGGGCAAAAGGAAAGAGATGGAACTGCCAAAGTGCCATCTGCAAGGTGAAGGGAGCATGGGAGGGCTTAGGCCAGCAGGAGTGAAGGGGAAGGACGATGCCACAGAAGACACACAGGACAGCCTAGTGCCACCACCTCTAGGTGCGCCTCTTGAAGCACAGAATAGGATCTGAGTCCTGTTGTTGAAGCTTGGCCTTACCGCTTTCCAACTGTGAGAACTCAGGCAAGCTGTGTAATCTTTATAGGCCTCGGTTTTCACACCTGTGAAGTCGGAGGGATAATGCCACTTACCTCCACAGGAGGCTTTTGCTGGTTAAAGGAGAAAAGTCCTGGCACATACTAGATGCTCAGTAATCAACACTGCCTTCCTTCCCTCTCCTAGTGTTGAAGGAGAGCCCAGCGACTTTTAAACCTTCCCATGTTATATTACTTCCTATACAGGAAAAATTGCCAAGAGCTGAACAGACACAAGGTGCATCCCTAGCTGTCACCCCAAATGCTCCTCCCCCGACAGGGTAGGACTCATCCCAGAGGTGAGAAAGGACCATTCTAGCAGCACAGAGTTCCCAGTCCATGGGAACTCCAAGAGCCTGCTGTGTCCTGCCGGTCTGGTCTTGCAAGACATGCTGTGGGAACAAGGCCCCTTCCCAGCCTGTGTCCTACTTCTTCAGTGCCCCAAAGAAATAGGAGGCCAAGTCTCTCCTCCACCCTGACCGACTCTTCTGCCCACAGCTGCAGACAGTCTCCCCTTCTGGCCCTGCCCTCACAGGTTTCCACATCATCCGCCAACACCTCTGGCTCTACTCTCCACCCCTCGGTGCTCAACTAGCCCTATTGCCCTCTTCCCTTGTTCTCTTACACAGGATGGACTCCTGAGGGACTGGCCTCTCCCTGCCCTTGGCCTAGACACTTCTTTGTTCTAATCCCCATTGAATTCTGCATCCCTGAACTCACTATCTCCTTCGTCTGTCTTGGCCAATGAATCCACGCTCACCTGGGGAGACCTTTCCTCCTCTGCAGCCCCAACCATGCAGCCCTCACCTGGTCTCCCTGTGCACTTCTGCTCACTCCAGGCACTCAACTCCTGGCCTTCACCTTCTCTGGTCAGACCTTCTGCCACTTGCAGGTGGTTAGTCCACCCTCATCCCCTTTTGTCCTCCTTCATTTCCACCAGTGTCCTCCAATCTTCAATTATCCATGAGCTACGCTTCCCTCTTGCATTCAGCCCAGTGTCTTGACCTCACCAGCCTCTCTATGCACTCCCTACTGTTCACTCTGTGTCCGGACAGTGTACACACTTCATCTGGATCCCAATCTGACAGCGTACACTATCCTCACCACTGAACACCACCAACCCCTCACCTGACCACATCTGCTGTGCTCCTCACTTGCCAATGCCGGGCCCACCTGCCCACCATGCTGCACACACTGCTCCGAGCATGGTGTGAGTGAAAGCACCCAGCCTGGCCCCTGGTCCATGGAAGTTGCCCACACAATAGTGATGATGGGAACCATTGCTCAGACAGTGCTCACGCTGTGCCAAATGCTTTCTGGGGGCTTCACTCCCAATCCCAGGGCATCCCACAGCTTCCCTGGAAGGCAGGTCCTCTTCCTGCTCCCATGGACCAGACAGGGCTACTGAGGCACAGAGAAGCCAGGCAACTTTCAGAGGCACCTGCTGTCCTGTGCTCCTGGGGAGCCCCCTCTGAGCCCACCATTGCTCATTTCATGGAAGGGCTGCCCATCTCCTATTTGAGACAGGACTTTTACCAGCGCTGGGCCCTGGCCTATGGTGGGAGGGATTGTGTTTTGTTCTCTGCTTTCCTTTCCATCAGACCTTGTCCTCGGGGTGGTAAGGTGGGGTGAGGAACCCAGGTGCCAACTCCTCCATCACTGAGCTGGGTCAGGAGGTTGGGGGTCTCCAGCTGTTCCCTGACCTTGGACTTCACTCAGGAGTTCTCCAGGGATGAGAAAGGTGCTTCGGACAGACCCCCAGTCCACTCTCTTGGACTCTTCCTCACAGCTCAGATCTGCTTGCCAAATCCAGCCTCCTAAGAGGCCTTTGGGGCTGTGGGATCTGCCAGCCTGTGTTTCCTGGGCTCTTGGGCTCTGCATCGTCAGAGAGTGTGAGGGTCGAGTTTCTGCCATTACAGTGGGCCTGCTTTCTCTGTTTTCCACTCTCTCACCACCTTATTTAGTGGCTGCTGGCTTCTCTCCAGACTTTTTTCCAGAGATGGGGCCAAATCTCCATCCTCATCTCCTTAGGTCCTCTTTTCCATCTCTGGTGATGGTATTTTCCATGCTATGGCATTTCCGGCCGTTTGCTGGTGGGGCAAATGCTACTGAGAACAACTCTGAATCTCCCTGCCTGGAGAGTCCAGGAATGTGGTGGTGGGGGCGGGGAGGCCAGGGATTCAAGGACTCTCTGGGAAGCTCTGTGGCTCTTGCCCCATGCCTTCCCCACCCTCCGGGCACCTTTTCCAGGAAAGCCAGGGAAGCTCTATCTGCCATCGGATCCACTTCCCCGGGTGCCTGCAGGAGGTCCCCTGTTAGCACTTCCTTGGCCCGGTGGGGCGTTCAGAAGGTGTGCCGCATGGTGTTGCATGTGCCCAGGTGCTCATGACTCCTGGCTGATGGGACTCCCATTCCTAGAGGTTTGTGGCATCCTCACCTTGACTATTCTTTTGGGCTCCGCAAGGTGATGGCCAGAGAAAGGGGTGGGACTCTGCATTCAAAACCCAGTGGTAGTGGGGAGATCTGGAGCAATCCAAGGCTCTCTTGGATGCTTTGTTCTGTCAGGTGGAGATCATCCACCTATTGTCCATGCTAGAAGGGGCTTTGAGTGTCCTACAGGACAGCCCAGCAGAACAGAGGCTTGGCTGGATGGGATTGGCCTTAGCTTCATGCCTCTCCTTTTGTCTCTATTGTGGCTGCTTTTCAGAGAAGGGCATTTCCCCACATGAAAGGTGAGTATGGGAGTGAAAGCTAATGTCCCAGTGTGCTACTGATACAACCTCTTCCTAAACCACCCCAGACCCCAACAGTCTGTGTCCTCTTCCTGAGCAGGGGTCCCTACAACCTCTTCTTCCACTCTACACTGCCTTCCTCTCCAGCCTTCTCCTTCCCCAGAGCCCCTGGGTAAAAGTCTCCGTCTTGCCAAAACTGCAGAATGCCTTCCCTTTCCCATAAACAGGTTTTATAGCTGTGCCTGCCCAGACGGAGTCCACGCCGGCGGCAACCCTGGCTGCTGCTTGCAACACAGCCCTACGTCATGCCATAGAAACGCTGCACACTGTTACTGCCACGAGACACTCCCTGGGCTGGGCTGGGCTGAGCTGGGCTGGATCCCCTTCCTTTCTCTTCCCATTGTCCCCAGGTCCACTGAAAAGGGCAAGCACCCTGTAAATGAGTTTCCCTCCTGCTCTTGCTGGGTGGAGGAGATAGGCAGAGGTTTAGCCCTTAAAAAGACATGGCTAGGATATCCAGCCCTAGTGGCCTGAGAATACAGCAAGATGGTATTTAACTTACTGCTAGATCCTTGGCGACTGGCATGGTGCCTGGCATATCCGAGGTCCTGATGAATGTTTGCTGAATGAAGAGCTGAATAGATGAGTGATGAGCCCTGGCTGCGAGTGTGCCCCCTGAGTGGAGCCGCTCCCTGGTTCTCTGGTTCTCTTCCATCTCCTCCCCCTGACTTCTCCAATCCTGGCTCTTTCTCTGCAGACGGAGCTGTCATTGCAAAAGGAGCAGCTGCAGCTCAAGATCATTGAGATTGAGGATGAAGCTGAGAAGTGGCAGAAGGAGAAGGACCGCATCAAGGTGAGCAGCCCCCAAGCTCACCTTGCTGCTCCCTTACCCGACCTGGCCTGCCTGGAAAGACGCAGGCCTTGGCTCCCATTTGAGTCCCAGGCCCACGTAGACATCCCAATATGTTTCTTCTGGCTTCTCCCACCTCCTCTGACATTCTCACCAACTCCCCTTCTCAGTCTGAGCCAGGCACTCAGGTGGGATCCTGTCTGTGACCTAATGCCCATTTCATATTATCCCAGCAAGTAAAGACCCCAGACTTTCCTCCAGTGTGTCTTCCAATGTCCTCCAATGTCTGTTCTGCCCACAAGACTCCCCAGCCACCAAATACACACCATTTCTTCTCTACTTATGCCATTTTGGCTAAATGTATGTCTGCCATGGTTTGGGTAATTGCAAACCACAATCTGAAATCACTGCCTGCTTGACCCTGACTACATACACAGCCAGCATACACATTCATTTTCTGAATACACATTTCTACATATACATTCATTTTCTGAATAATGTTTGGTTCTGGTTAGGGTTTCAGGGAGCATATTGTGACCCATGGGAGAACTTTGGGGCCCACAGGGAATGATGGCTCATATCAACCCACCAAGAGGAAGGAGCCACAGGTAGATAAGAAGCGTGGACTGTGAACAAACCTGGCTATCTCTGTCAGTAGGTGGCATCCCTCAGTGATGCCTTTGAATGAGATTCTTGGCCAAATAGGCTTGCCAGGTTGGGGCAGTGGGAATGCCCTGATCCTGTGCTGGAAACCTAAAGACATACCCGACTAGGGTGATTTCTTTCCCTAACTAAAGCCCTGCCTAATCTCTTCCCTGACTCTGGACCTCCAGAGCTTCACCACCAATGAGAAGGCCATCCTGGAGCAGAACTTCCGGGACCTGGTGCGGGACCTGGAGAAGCAAAAGGAGGAAGTGAGGGCTGCGCTGGAGCAGCGGGAGCAGGATGCTGTGGACCAAGTGAAGGTGATCATGGATGCTCTGGATGAGAGAGCCAAGGTGCTGCATGAGGACAAGCAGACCCGGGAGCAGCTGCATAGCATCAGCGACTCTGTGTTGTTTCTGCAGGTAACAAGCCACTCCTCTGTCACTCAAGCCCTCGATTTCACAATCCACTTTTTGAGACCCCCCTCCAACATCCATCCATCCACCTATCCACTTATCCACCTATTCGTCTATCTGTTCATCCACCATCCAGCCATCCAACCATCCATCCATTCATCCATCTATCCAAGCGCCATTCTCTCTGTTTAATTTTTTAAATCCAATCCATTTCTTTACCTACTCTCAAGATGGCAAACAAATATCACCTTTTACCAACTTCAATTGATATGTGCTAGCAGTGCTCTGGGCTCAGTAGGAAAGAGTTGTGAGATCAGTGAATCGGGTAGAGGGGGAGTGGTGTAGGAGTGCTGCATATTTGTTATCTTGGATCTAGTCCGTTTGTCTATTCATCCATTCATCCTTCCATCTGCTAGAGTGTTTTAGATACTACTGCATGCCCAGTACTCTATTAGGTGCTGTGGCGAATAGAGAAGTACAAGACATGGTTTCTGCCTCCAAGCAACTGCAATCCAGCTGGGAAGATAAGACATGTACAATTAAAGAACAATATAGAAAAGTGTGTAATTAAATGATAAAGCATATGGCTCAGGAGATAAGTGCCTGTAGAAGCTCAGAGAAGGGCAGGTGGGCTGGAGGAAGCTAAGACAGCTTTGTGGAGGAGGTGGAGTTTGAACTGGGTCTTGGAGGCCGGTTAGGATTTGAGAGGGAGGACAGAGTCTTCGGTGAGGAGTAAGGGAAATGAGAAGTGCAAAGGCAGCACTGAGCATGGCGTGTAAAAGTTGAAATACCACTGTGGGCTGGGCATGGTGGCTCACGCCTGTAATCCCAGCACTTTGGGAGGCCAAGGTAGGTGGATCACCTGAGATCAGGAGTTCAAGACCAGCCTGGCCAACATGATGAAACCCCATCTCTACTAAAAATACAAAAAAAAATTAGCTAGGCATGGTGTCACACACCTGTAATCCCAGCTACTTGAGAGGCTGAGGCAGGAGAATTGCTTGAACCCAAAAGACGGAGGTTGCAGTGAGCTGAGATTCAGCCTGGGTAACAGAGTGAGACTCGCCTCAAAAAAAAAAAAAAGAAAGAAAGAAATACCACCATGGCTGACCCCAAATTCTATAGTAATTCCTTGCATTTCTTTAGTGTGTTCACTCCCAGTCTTTGCAGTTTGTGTCCCTCTCATAAACCCTATGAGGTAAACAGATGCACCCACTTTAGAGGTGGGAGTCGTGGAGTCACACATCTGAACGCTAGTGCCATCAGGGATGTTAGCATCCAGTGGCTTTTAGTTGAACCTTTTCATGTTACAGAAGAAACAAACATCCAGTGAGGAAGAGTGGGGCTTGCAGCGCTGAGACCCCCAGCTGCACTGTGAGAGCCCCTGGCAGAGAAGCGTCCTCATAGCTCATGAAGACCCAGGCAGTTAATGGTTCTTTCCTTTCTTGGTAGGAATTTGGTGCATTGATGAGCAATTACTCTCTCCCCCCACCCCTGCCCACCTATCATGTCCTGCTGGAGGGGGAGGGCCTGGGACAGTCACTAGGCAACTTCAAGGACGACCTGCTCAATGTATGCATGCGCCACGTTGAGAAGATGTGCAAGGCGGACCTGAGCCGTAACTTCATTGAGAGGAACCACATGGAGAACGGTAGGTCCCCTCTCGTGGCTGGGCCCCAAGGCCATAGACCTTTCTCTCCCAAATCAATTCCTGCTGCCTGACATGGGCTGGCCTCCAGTGAGCTTCTTCTCATTGTTCCCACCCACCCACCCACCCTTCCTCAGGCCGTTTGGACTAGGATACAGGGATTCTAACCCTCCTCCTCCTTTGAACTTGCTGCCAAAGTTATGCAACTATAGGAAGAGACCTCCAGAGCAGGGACATCCTGGGCACTGGCTCCACAAATGCCTCCTCTCTGTGGGTTGTCCATCAAACTCAGAGACTGGTTTCGTTCAGATCTACATCTAATTGCCGGGCCCAGCCCAGCAGCTGTGTGGATGCTGCCACTAGTATGGGCCAGATTCCAAACTGGTGGCTTTGCAGACTCTAGCAGACGTGACCTAGAACTGCAGCCATGCCTGGAGGGAGGACTTGCCTGTCATCATGGCCATGCTGAGCAGTGCTGAGCCCAGAGGCTGGACTTGGCCTGTTGAGCTGGGCTGGGGACGGTGGGACACAGTGTCTCTGTGACTCACCAGCTCCCTTGAAGTCAGCTCTTCTTCTGAGTCATGCTGTCCCCTCAGAGGTCAACTGAATCATCTCACAGAAAACCTCTGAACCTGAGAAACAACATCGTCAAGTCCTTTTCCACCCAGTCCCTTTAGGGCCTGAAGCCTGGGCACTTTCCCCAAGGCCCCACCCGGTGTCCCAGGCGTTGCACGGGGCCTTGAGAGTACAGCCTTGTTAATGACTGCTAGACGTGAATACCCCAAAGGAAAGGACCCCTGATTGCTCTCCAGACACAGCATATGATTCTTTGGGGGAGGAGAAGGGGGTGAGGGGGATAAAAGTGTGCAGAAGGGTTGGGGTTCAGGAGGCCATTTGTGCACCTTGGCGATGGCAATATCACATGGTGTCCCTGTGAAATGTGGGGGACATTCAATCACACACAAGGACAGATAAGCCATTTCAGCAAGACAATCATTTGGCTTCAAACGGCACTCAGATCCCGAAATCCTCCTTCTAATGACAATAGTGATGATGCTAATGGTGATGGTGACAGCTGACAATGATTGAGTGCTCGCTCGATGCCGGGCATTTCACTGAGCTTCTCACGCACATTACCTTATTTTCCCTGTGGGGTGTACTGCATTTTACAGGCGAGAAGGCTGAGGCTCAGAGAAGCATCCTTTCAAAGGGCGCACTGCTCGGTAGGGGGTACGGCGGGGTTGAACACTCTGCTGTTCAGTCTCCCATGCCCTCTCATCTGAGAAGCTGCGGCTGGCGGTGGCTGCAGAAGTGGGGTTGAGGAGTGTGATAATCATCGTCCCTGGGGTACAAACTCGGCAGGGCAGCCCCTCCGGTGAGGTCCGGCCAGGCCTGGGGGATGGCCTAGACTGGGGTGGGGTGAGCCTTGCAGAAACTGTTCAGGCTCCTGGCCGCTCACTGTCCCATTTCTAGGTCACAATGCTGGCCACGGCCTCTGTACAGGTGTGGCCCTGCGTCCTGTACGAGGTGTGTGGCGAGGTGGCAAGCAGGAGCAGGGATGGGCACTGCTGATTCAGTAGCCCACACCTGTGCCTGGGGCCGTGGGGGCGGCTCCTCTGCCTCTGTGTTGTTTTTTCGTGTGGCTGCTGGGAGTGTGTCTGCTCTAGGAGGTGGTGGCCGGTGAGTCAGACAGTGGAGTGACCATCCACTCCTCCCCGATGCTAGCCTGCCCACCAGACCAGGGACTCGTCCACACCCTCAAAGGCCCCTGCGCTAAGAGACACCAGGCCACTTCATCCTGGACTCTGTGGGGCACAGGGCTGGGCTAACACCTAGGAGGGCATTTGTTTATTCTTTGAGTATCTGCTGTGCACCAGGACACTGATAGGCGCAGGTGATGAAGATGAAGAATGAGGGTCTCAGGCACATTTCTCCTCTTGCTCAGGAGAGAGAGAGGGAAGGACAGGGAAAGTAGAAGACGGGGAAGTCGAAAGAGAAAGGAATGGGGTGGAGGTGGCTGAGGGAAGTCAAGTGTCGAGCAGCAGATCTGTTTGAGTTAGGGGGTCTGCAGTTGAGTGGCCCCTGCCATAGCAGCTCACTCCACTGCCTGGATCCCTGGGCCATGGAGGCCAACACTGGGACCTCATCCCCTCACCTTAGGCTGCCAGCAGTGGCTGGGACTGAACCCGGAAGTAGCGAGCCAGAGCTCAATCCCCAACTCTGCCCTTATCGGCATGTGACATTGGGCAAGCTGCTTCTCTTACTTCCTGAGTCTCAATTTCCTTATCTGTCTCAGGGGGATACAACCACAATTGATGTATGGATCAAATAAGAAATGGGCATTAATAGCACCTTGTAAAGGTGAAGTGCTAGGAAGTGTTGTGCACACAATCGTATTTACAAGGGCTTAGTTCAAGAGGGTGGATGGCTCTTTGCAGACACCTTCTCCACCAAGAGCTCAGGAACCGAGTGAATGCTGGGCAGGGCGTCATATTCTCTGAGAGGTTGGGGAAACTTGGATCTGCCTGGGAGATAGGGGAAGGGCTATGGGGTGACTCATCTGAGCCCCAAAAGTCCCCAGTGGCTGGCTCCTCCTTCCCACCTGGCTCCTCTGCTGACCCGACCCTCTGCTTCCTAGGTGGTGACCATCGCTATGTGAACAACTACACGAACAGCTTCGGGGGTGAGTGGAGTGCACCGGACACCATGAAGAGATACTCCATGTACCTGACACCCAAAGGTAAGAGGGAGCCCCTCACCCCAGACCTAGTGTCTCTCCTGCTGCCCAGGGGCCCCCAAAGTCCGTGCAGTGACTCTCAGCCAGGTTCCTTCTGAGTGGGGGTGATGGCATGTCCAGTTTGCCTGGGAAAGTCCTGGCATCTACGTGTTGTCCTGATGTGATGATGAACAGGTCTGTGTTAGCTCTCAGAAGTGTCCTGGTTCGAATGAGAAGTTACCTGGTGCCAGCTCCTCAGAGGCATTCCTCCCGGGCCACACAGGCAGCACCTCTTTGCCCTCCTTGCCTTCTCACTTCCAGCCCACACCTCTGCTTCTCTTTCCTTCCGGAGGTCTCCTGGGCTCCCTTCTGCCAGGCCGGTGCTGTGTTTTGCTTTGGCTCAGGTTTTGTAGGGGCTGAGCCCTGTGAGATGGCTGCCGACCCCAGGACCATTCTGCTCCCCTAGGCAGGGAGAGTGGTCCCTCCTCTTCTGAGTTTCCTGGCTCTGCACCCTGGCCCCCTTGGCCCTCCCTCTCAGGCCCTGGACAGTCCCAGCCTGCAAGGTGCCGGCCTAGCACAGACCAGTGCCTGCCTGTCCTTGCCCTGTGGTGGCCTCTCACATTCTTGGGCGCCAGCAACAAACCACAGCAATACCCGTTACATAAGGGTGGGTGTGCCAGCCCTCGGACCATGAGGGTGTGTGCCTGTGCATGTGGGAGAGGGAGGCTGGGGGAGGAGGGAGGCCTGGGTAAGGCACAGGGGCTGGGGAGGGGGAAGCCTCCGGGAGCTAATCAGTAATTCACACACGTCTTTCACACACACACACACACACACACACACACACACTCACACACACAATGGGAGAGGCTTGGGGGATTTGGAGAGATGAGCTCAACAGAAAAGCACCTGTGCCGCCCCACCCAGTTTGAAAACAACCCCTGGGCTTCTTGGTTGTTGGGCTTTCCCTCCTCTGACATTCCTGGTGTGGGCCAGGCCCCAGCCGGCCAGCCTGCCTCCTCCCTGCCTGGGGTGCTGTGCCTTTGGGCAAGTTCTGGGAGTGCCGGCCCCAGCACCCCTCTCCTCAGAACCCCTACCTGGCCTCGCCCTGGCCCTGTCCCTCCTGTCTCTCCCTTCCATCCATGGACCAGGCCCTGGGGTGCCATCGAGTGCCCTGACAGGCTCCTGCGGGTCTCTCCTGCTCTGTAGGAGACTGAGGGCCCAGTGTGAGCCTCCTGCAGGTTGTGGGAGGGGGTGGAGGGAACAGCAGCACCCACTATGATGCCACCCCGAGGGCCTAGGGCCTGGGGCATCTTGGGCAGGCCTCAGTACCTGTATCTGAAGAGAGGGGAGGTTGTGCTCACATGCTGGGAGACTTCCCAGCTCTGCACTGTGAGTCAGTCTATGATGTCTGTGATGGAAGAAACAGGTTCCCCCGGCATCCCTGCCCAAGCACTGTGGGTAGCCTGTGCCGAGGACAGGAGGGACAGGAAATCTGCCCTCTGGGAGCTCCCAGGCTCAGGGTGGAGTTGGGGGGAGAACAGGAAGCAATCACCAAGGAGATGAAAGAAACAAGGCCCCTAAAGGGACTGGGTCCTGAGTCTGGGAGCTTTGAGGTCAGTGGGATTGACAGTGGCTGTGACTCCTTCCCTGGAGGGGTGAATTTCCAGGAACCTGTGCTCAGTAGAGGGAGCATGACTGCGAAGGGCAGAGGGCATCAGGGAACACAGGCACAAAGGCTTACAGGAAGGACTGGCAGGGCCGGAAATGGGGGTGTGGTGTCATCTGAGGGTCAGGTGGGGAAGGACAGAGGTAACAGAGGGCTAGAATACACATGGGGAGCTCATTGTTTTCAGCTGGGTATCGGTGGTGGTATCAGTCCCCACTGCTTCCTCACAAGGCTGTTGTGAGAGCCCAGGTGTGCGGGAAGGAAAGCACTTGTGAAGTGAGGCTCTGATCTCCCGGGAAGCAGCAGCCTGGGTGGGCCCCTGGGAGGTGTTTCTGGCTCATTAGGCCACTTCCAGGAGGCCCCACCCTCACGTGGCTGAGAGCCTACTGCTTCTGCCCTCGTGGTTGCCATGGCCTCTCCAAGTTTATGCTGATGCTCTCTGCACGGTTACTAACAGAGTCCTTCTACTCTCAAAAGCATGCCAATTTGGGTGATAAATTAGTTGATTGACTTATGTCAGACCCAAAGGACTTCTCTCAGTGGTGGAATCCAGGTCCTGTGATGGGCACTTGGGCAACTTTTTGGGGGCAAGGAGTCCTGATGAGACAATTTTCTGCAATGACAGCCCCCTTCATCTGCTTCACAGGTGGGGTCCGGACATCATACCAGCCCTCGTCTCCTGGCCGCTTCACCAAGGAGACCACCCAGAAGAATTTCAACAATCTCTATGGCACCAAAGGTAGGTGGTGGCTCAGCTCAAGGGTGCACAGAGTTCATGTGGGGCTGTGCAGGCAGGAGGGGCATAGAGGTGGGTCCAGGGGCACAGGGCTGGGACCCCAGTGTGAGATGAATGTGGGAAGCTAGGATGGGTGGAGGGTCCAGGCATGGGTAGGGAGGGGTCCTACCTACCGAGCTTAAAGTGTGTGTGTGTGTGTGTGTGTGTGTGTGTGTGTGTGTGTGTGTGTGTACATGTGTGGGGGACACCATTAGTTAGGCTGGAGGAAAAACAGCCAGGAATCTCGGCATCCCTGGAGATCCCTGAGTCTGTGTGCTCTTCTGATCCCTGAGGAAGGATCTGGGGAAAACTGGGTCTGAGCAGCCACCTTGGGCTTAAGTGTGGGGAATGCGCCACCCCCCCCACAAGTATGAGGGCACGAGGACCCAAAGAGAATCTCTACTGATTTGAGTACTTCTGCAGTGAAAAGTCGTACAGTGGTTAGTTGTCAACTTGGCTGTGACTGGAAAGGAAGGCACGGCAGGAAATGGGGCTGGCCCTGGAGCTCCAGGTGGTGAGGCAAGCGAGCAGCACCTTAAGACCCAGATGGGATGAAATGGGTGTGGGGATGTGGCTTCCCCAGGGGAAGCTGCTAAGTTCAGGGTCTCCCTCTGCCCAGTGCTCTGAGGGGACCATTTGCTCAAGGGCAGGGCCATGCATTCAATGAGACCTGGTTCTGGGAGACCCTGGTTCTGTCCTGGGGGCTCCTGGTCACATGCCAGCCATGCACAGGGAGGGAGGGGACTGGGTCAGCCCCCACCCTAGACATAGCACTGGAGGACTCTTCAGTGAGGGCAAGACTCATGGAGACTGGAGGGTCAGGGGCACCAGAGCAATGCCTGGGCCTCTACATCCAGAATTGGATTCACAGCCGTGATCAGCGGCACCCCTCCTCCACATATGCAGTAGACCTTGGGCACCTTGAGGACAGAGCTGTGTCTGTCCTGTTCGCTGCTACAGGCCCAGAGCTCAAAAGTAGGAGGGGGTCAGGAAGCAGTTGTTGAGAGAGAGGCTAAAGGCATGAGTGAACAGGAGGGCAAGGTGTCTGGCCTCGCGGAACCCTGGCTGGACGTGCTTACTGAGGCCTTGCTACAGAAGCTGCCTGGGATCCCTGTGGGAGGGCTTTGCACAGGGGCAGGTGGCCAACCCCAGCCATCTGTGACCCCTGAGCCCAAAAGTCAGCCCCCAGCCCTCCCCACAGGCTGCTAAGGAGTGAGCTTGACTAAGGAGGTCACTGATGCTTCAAGCCTGGCAGGTGGGGGTGTGGTGCTGGAGAAGTGTGCGTCACCCATGGGGACTCTGAGCCCCCCACTCCAGTGCCCTCTGAGTGCCCTGGCAGCTTCTCCCACCCCTTTCCCACTGCCTTCTTCTCCTCTGGACTATAGAACATGTCTGCACATAGGCATGTGTTAGCCTATTCAACTTGGCAACTATCAACTGTCTTGTCCCCAAGTTTTAGGATGTGTTTGTATTCATTCGTTCGTTGGTTCATGCATTCTATCCATCAACCATACAATGAGCACCTTCCAGGAACCAGGCTCTGTGCCAGGCACCAGGTGTGATGCAGGGGCCAGACAGGCACATTCCCAGTTCACGTGAGCTCACTGCGGGAGACAGACAATTGAACATGTAATTGCGACCCAGAGGGTAGGGGTTGCAGGACGATGTGGGGATGAAGCTGAAGGCACATGCAGACGTTGGGAGGTGCCATGTAAGCTGACACTTGAAGACCCCACCCATGAATCGCCGAGGGTGGCAAGCAGGAGAAGTGTCCTAGGCAGAGGACAGGGTCTGGGCACATAGCCTGGGGCAGGAGAGAAGATGGAGTGTCTCAGACACTGAGGCTTAGCCTGGTTTGAATGTCCAGTGGTGGAGGGAGGGCAGAGGTGAAGTCAAGAAGTGGGAGATGGTGGGTGGGTGGTGGGGGTTGGGGGAGCAACTCACGACAGAGCTCTGGGCTGCTCTTGGGACTTTGTCCCTTATTCTGAGGACAGTGGCCTTTAGGTAGGGCAGGGACAAGACTATGCTTTATATTTTAGAAAGATAGCTTTGGTGGCAGAAGGATGGGGGTGAGGCGTCACTGGGATCACACAGTGGCATCCTGGCTTAAGTTGTGGCCAGCGGCTAGAGAGTCATAGACCTGGCTGTGTCCTGGTCCTGCCTCCTCTCCCACTCCCAGCTGTGGGGGCCTGACAGCCCTTCTTTGTCCTGCCAGGTAACTACACCTCCCGGGTCTGGGAGTACTCCTCCAGCATTCAGAACTCTGACAATGACCTGCCCGTCGTCCAAGGCAGCTCCTCCTTCTCCCTGAAAGGTGAGCTTGCCCACCCTGGCCCCTGCTTTCCTCCACAGCTGCCTCACACCTCCCAAGCCCTGCTTGGGTCTCTTCGCTGAGCTGCTAGTTCCTCCCTCACCTCGTGGAGGAGAGAGGCCTGGCCTGAGAGCCCGGGAGCTACCGCCATGGTCTTTGCTGAAAATGAGGGCAGGGGTGGGGGCTGGGCCACATCAGCGTTTCCCAGGGCTTGTTTCACCGCTCTCTAGTCTCTAACTACACGCTGCAACAACAGCTCTCAGTGGTCAGGACCGGGGGACATGCCATACCCCCTGCACTCGACCTCTCTGATCCTCAGGATGCTGCTTCTCCTACTGCAGAGTTTATTTAACTCCCAGCGTTGGCTGGCTCTAGGGTCCTGTGGCCATGGGGCACCTGCCAGCATCCTGCAGATCCAATCCTGCAGGCGCCCCTTTGGGAAAGGCAGGACCAGACGACCCTAAGTCCCCCCAAGGCTGATCCTCTTTTCCTGCACTCTGTCCCCCGCCTGCCTGTGGTGCTCCCAGCACTCTGACAAGGCAGAGTGATTGACGCCTCCTGTCCCCTGGGGTTGGGGGCATCCTGAGGGGGCAGGCTTGAACCAGACTCTGGCTATGGGCCCCAGACCCTCATGTATCTCCTGAAAGATCCCAGGGACAGCTCTAATGGCTGTGGTGGGAGTAACCCTGTCTCTCTTCTGGCACCCCAAACATCTGGCCTGGAAGTCAAGATCAGCACATTGGGTGGGCTCAGGAGAGGGAAAGGGGCTATGCAGGGCAGAGAGACCCCTGAACAGTGGTCTCTGAGGCCTCATCACTCAGTTGTCCCTTCCGGCCCAGGGTCCTATACTATACCCAGGACAGGGATTCTTGGAGCTGCCGGCAAGAGGGAGGAGACAGGACTATGGGTGGAGGGTCCCAGCCTGCAGGAGCCCCGGGCATGTCTTAGCTCTGATCCGGGCCTGGGGAGCTCCAGGACTTGCCTTGGCCTGTTTGGCTTCTAGCAGGCGCCTTTCTGCTCTCTGCTCAAGCCTGGCCCACAGAGCACCTGGCAGGGGAGGTGGCCGCTCTCAGGTGTGATTCAGAGCAGCCCCCAGAATGAGGTGTGGGTCCTTTTGGCCCCTCTGGGACCAGCGCTGTGCCACTAATGCCTCTCTCTCTCCCAGCAGGCACTGGGAAAACCCCTTATCAGTTCACCACCTTGGGACAGGCCACTGCAGAGTTTTCCAAACCACTGGGTCGCAGTGGGCTGTCTAAAAATAATCCCGGTATCTGCCCATTTTCCATCCCTCCCCTTTTCTCTCCCACAGCGGGGCAGGTGGGACATGGGGGGCTCTCTGCCACTTCTAGGGTGTGCCGGTCCCTTCTCCCCAGAGCTCCCTGGAGAGGGATGCATGCCCCACCTGCCACCCCAGCATACTCTCTATCTGGACTTCTGCCTGCTGCACAAGGCGGGTGTCTTGGGCCACCCTGACCCCACCCCTGTTTCCATTCTCCCCTCTCTCATGGCTGGCATGGGATTTTCTTTCTGGGAACTGAGAGATGAGGCCTGAATTACCCCTCTTAATCTCCACTCAGGATCCCTGGAACCCCCCTTTCCAAGGCTGCTCCCACCCTCAGATGCAGGAAGAGACCCAGGTTCTTTGCTCTGTCTCCTCCCCCTCCTCCTTGCTCAGTGCCAACCTGGGAAGGGCCAACCCAACTGGCAGCCTGGCGGTGCTCATCATGAGCCTGACCTGCTCATCCTCGCTTAGAGCAGGGCAGGAGAGGGGCTTTCCCGAGACAGACCGCATGCAGCCTCTCACTGGACAGAGATCTGGCCCAGGACAGACCCTGCTTATTTCTTGAGGGCCTCAGCATCCAGGTCATGGCCTGTGTCTTCCCAGGCGTCCCTGCAGGCTGATGGCTGACACTGAGAGTGCCTTCACTGTGCTGTGAACCAGAGCTCCTTTCAGGTCTGTCTGGGCTGAGGCGCAGGGAGTCAAGGCGGCCCCGTCTTAGACTAGCATCTTTGCAACCAAGCTCAGAGAGCGCACCTGCTCCAGGCCTCTTGGGCTTGCCATCCTAACCCTGGGTGGCGGCCACAATGACAGATTCCTGCACCTCTCTAGGCCCTAGTCTCTGGCTAGTGAAACAGGGGAGGGGCCACAAAGCCAGGGAGAAAAAAACATGAATTTGGGTTTTGGATTTCCGGCACTCTGTCCCCCGCCTGCCTGCGGTGCTCCCCAGCACCTGGTTTGCTGCTTATGAGCTGTGCAACTCAGGCAGACTGCTGAGCTCATAGATACGGGGCCAGGCTCAGTGAGGAGACATCTACAAAGTCCCTTCCACAGTGCTTGGCACAAGTGGGGCTCCGTGAATGGGAAGCATCGTCCAAACAGCACAGGGGAGTCCAAGTGAGCGCCTCCTGCCGGGAAACTCTGGCAGGCCATGCTTATGCGTGGCGCTCCTGGGCTCTGGGAAGGGGAGGGCCCGTGGTGTAAACCTCCGGGGTGGGTGAGTGGAAATCCCTGCAGAGCAGTGTGATGCTGCGCTGGATGTGGGGGCAACACTCCCCTGCTGCCTGGTCCAGCCCACCTGGCCGGCTCCTCCTCCTTCTGTCTGCTTTGCTGCCTCCTCCCTTTGGCCAGCCTCCCCAGGATTTTCGGTTGCGGCACCCTGGCTGCTGCACGCGTGTTCAGACGGCTGCATTTGGTAATGGGCTGGATGATGCTTGGTGGTCACTTTGGAGAAGGCAGCTGTGCTGCTCTGGGCCCGGGCACCCCTGACCACCAGCGCTGCTCCCTTTGACCTGAATCTCTTGTCTTCCCAGGCTATCCCTCCCTCATGCGGAGCCAAAGCCCCAAGGCCCAGCCCCAGACTTGGAAATCTGGCAAGCAGACTATGCTGGTAAGGGAAGTGCTGCCGGGAGGGCCTGGGCACATCCAGAGACCTGGGCACTGAAGGGGGCTCCCTGGAGGCAATCGGTTCCAGGGCCTGTGGGAGGACTTCTCTGGGCCATGGGGTGGAGGAGAAGGAGGCAGCAGTGGCCTGAATACCTGTACACAGCAGAGGGTAGTAGAGACCCAGGGCTAATGGGCAGGGGACTAGCTAAGCATACACTCTCTGGACCTCAGTTTTCTGATCTATAAAATGGGCAGCCTTGATTTTTTTATTTGGCAAATGCTTGTTGGATGCCTATGCTAGTGGAATGGCAGCTTGGGTTCTGCCAGCTCTGGGATTGTAAAACAGCCCAGTGGGAGGACAGGCCTCCTCCTAGAGATGGGTCCCACCTCCCTGGGGGCAGTTCTCCAGTTCTGACAGCATAGAGGCCATTGGGGTGATAATGTGGGGGTGGGAGAGACTGGAAAGTCGGGAATAGATATATTTAGGGTCAATATCTAATGACCCGAGGCCAGGCATATCAGAAGAGCAGCATGACAGGGAAGCATGGCTTTGGGGTCCAGGCCACCTGCTGACGGTGGGGTCCTGGATGAATTAGATACCCTCTCTGAGACTCTTCCTTGCTTTTTATTATGTGGGGACTGAGATGATCCCCAGTGCCCGTTAGATCTGACATATCTGACCCTGACTGAGACCTCAGTGATCGGGGACTGTAGTTCACATGCAGAGCCCCCATGTGCCTGAATGCCTTGCTCCTGAAGGTCCATTCTAGGCCCTGCTACAGGAGTCGGCCACTGCCGTGGCATGTGGATGGCATCAGGAGCTCTGCTGGAACCAGGGCCGGAGCCCTTGTTTCTTGCTGTCCTTGCAATTGGAGGTCAGAGCAGGAGAGGTGATTTGCCCTGGACCACAAAGAATGGCTGGGGTTGGTTTAATTGGAGAGGATCTTTAATTGCTGGGGATGGGAGCTAAGTGATCGTGTATGTAATTTGGAGCTGGACTCAGGGGCATTGCAACAGCAGGACTGCAGAAAGCAGATATGGGGAGAAAAAAGAAGGTTTCTGTTCTAGACTCAGTCCTTCCCCTCCCTACTACATACTTTTCCACCCTCTCAGAGCCTGGGGCCCTGAAGAGAAGGCTCATCAGCACTTTGAGGCCCCTGGCAGAGCAAGGTTTTGGTGTCCAGCAGGCACCCAGCACTGGGAGAGTGGAGACAGGCGCTGGGCTGCAGAGAAGCTGAGCTGGGAATCAATTTCCCTGGGGGCTGGCCCCAGCTGTCTCATTGACTTGCTGTGTGACTTTGCATGAGGAAAAATGATTCCTTTGTGCCTCAGTTTTCCCATCCATAATTAGGATGATTTTGCAGCTCTTCCACCTGCTGTATGTGCTGTGACCTCAAGCCAGGGAGGGGATGGGAGGGTGAAGGTAGCATTTTGCCCTGATGCCCACCTACCACTCCAGGCTTTTAACCAGACAATGCCATTCATTGACCTGCAACCCATATTATTGACCCAATCTTCCTCAAAGAAAGGCTTCAGCCATTTCCAAATCTGTTCACTTTGCCCTATGAATTGCTTGGGGTCCAGGCTGGCCCCTGGGGGTCAGGAGACCTGGTCCAGGCTCTGCTTTGCCAGTAAGTAGCTGTTCTTACCCCTCCCTGGGTCTCAGTTTCTTCCTTTGTTTAATAGGTGGTTTAAGCAAGGTCTGAGCATCCCTCAAGTCCTGCTGTGGACCACACAAAGGCAAGGAGCTGACCAGGAGGTGTCAGTTCCCTGAGAGACAGGGCCAAAGGCAGTGTACCCTTGAGGTGTGTGTGTGAGGGGCAAATGATGTCTCCTGTATTGGGATCTGCAGGGCATGGGAGTGGGCTCAGTCTCTGACCCAGCTCAGGGACAAATCCTCTTCCTGAGACCCCCGGGGGCTGATGGTGCTTGCGTGGGTGAGCAGCAGCTAAGCTGTGCTCTTCCACTCCATCCTGGAGGGCTGCCTCCTCAGGGCCCTGATGAAGTTATCTGGGCAGGGTGGGGCATGCTGATTTCATGAAATTACTGGGAGATACAATACATGGAGAAGGCTGGGAGAGCTGTCACTGGGCTCTCTCTCCAGAGATGCTCCCTGTACCAATGGCTGGGGGAAGAGGAACAGGACGAGAGAGGCAAAGGGCTGTGGGGAGCCTGGGACCGTGTTGGACTGGGGCAGTTCTTTACCCTCTCTGCACCCTTTCTGTAAGGGAAATTTATGCAGAGAGAGGCAAAGAAAATCCTGGAAGCCCTCACCATAAGAGAAGTGATGCCGAGAACTGGCAGCTGGGGGTGTGGGTTTTGGAGGCAGCCTGCTGGGGCTTGGATTCTGGCTCCTTGCTTACCAGCTGAGTGACCTTGGGCAAGTTGCCTAGCCTCTCTGTGCCTTGGTTTGCTCAACTATAAATTGAATATGATAATAGTAATCTATTTAATTGGGTGGTTGTAAAAATTAAATGAGTGCATCCACATACAGCCCTCGACACAGTGCTGTGAAGTTCTGTGGAGTAGAAAGTGCTATATAAATAGTAGCTGTGGTGGCGCTGGAGGAACCTCCTTGAGCTGTGGAGAGAAATTTCGACCAGTGTAATGCGGGGGCTGAGGTTCAAGCTCACCCACTAACTATGGGAATGGACTCCAATTAGGATTCCAATCTGGAGATCCTGACATTAGGGACCAGCCCCTGATCACAGGGTAGGTAAATCTTGCAGATCAGGCCAAAAAGGCCCCTAGAATTGTCGGGTCTTGGATCACTGCTGCCTCCTGAGGCAGGTTAGGGTAGGGTGGGTCTAGCTAGCAGGCTCATCTGTCGTCTGGCCTCGCTGACCACTCTTGTTTCCCCCACAGTCTCACTACCGGCCATTCTACGTCAACAAAGGCAACGGGATTGGGTCCAACGAAGCCCCATGAGCTCCTGGCGGAAGGAACGAGGCGCCACACCCCTGCTCTTCCTCCTGACCCTGCTGCTCTTGCCTTCTAAGCTACTGTGCTTGTCTGGGTGGGAGGGAGCCTGGTCCTGCACCTGCCCTCTGCAGCCCTCTGCCAGCCTCTTGGGGGCAGTTCCGGCCTCTCCGACTTCCCCACTGGCCACACTCCATTCAGACTCCTTTCCTGCCTTGTGACCTCAGATGGTCACCATCATTCCTGTGCTCAGAGGCCAACCCATCACAGGGGTGAGATAGGTTGGGGCCTGCCCTAACCCGCCAGCCTCCTCCTCTCGGGCTGGATCTGGGGGCTAGCAGTGAGTACCCGCATGGTATCAGCCTGCCTCTCCCGCCCACGCCCTGCTGTCTCCAGGCCTATAGACGTTTCTCTCCAAGGCCCTATCCCCCAATGTTGTCAGCAGATGCCTGGACAGCACAGCCACCCATCTCCCATTCACATGGCCCACCTCCTGCTTCCCAGAGGACTGGCCCTACGTGCTCTCTCTCGTCCTACCTATCAATGCCCAGCATGGCAGAACCTGCAGCCCTTGGCCACTGCAGATGGAAACCTCTCAGTGTCTTGACATCACCCTACCCAGGCGGTGGGTCTCCACCACAGCCACTTTGAGTCTGTGGTCCCTGGAGGGTGGCTTCTCCTGACTGGCAGGATGACCTTAGCCAAGATATTCCTCTGTTCCCTCTGCTGAGATAAAGAATTCCCTTAACATGATATAATCCACCCATGCAAATAGCTACTGGCCCAGCTACCATTTACCATTTGCCTACAGAATTTCATTCAGTCTACACTTTGGCATTCTCTCTGGCGATGGAGTGTGGCTGGGCTGACCGCAAAAGGTGCCTTACACACTGCCCCCACCCTCAGCCGTTGCCCCATCAGAGGCTGCCTCCTCCTTCTGATTACCCCCCATGTTGCATATCAGGGTGCTCAAGGATTGGAGAGGAGACAAAACCAGGAGCAGCACAGTGGGGACATCTCCCGTCTCAACAGCCCCAGGCCTATGGGGGCTCTGGAAGGATGGGCCAGCTTGCAGGGGTTGGGGAGGGAGACATCCAGCTTGGGCTTTCCCCTTTGGAATAAACCATTGGTCTGTCACTTCTCTTGTATTGAATGACCATTTCCCTGAGGGTCCCCAGAGGAACAGGCTGCAGTTCTTCTGAATGCACTTTTTCCCTCTGATGAAGGCACGGTCATCTTCCTGCTCTCCTCTCAGAAACGTGGCTCCTTTGAAACTCCCTTGACCTCCCTCACCCTGTCTGGGACACAGGGGGTGCAGTGCAGGAACCTGGGCCTCAGGGAGGCACGCCTTGGCTAACAATGAACACAGGGAGAATGACAGTGGGGTGTGGGCCTGGGGATATGCTCAATACCTTCTGCCATGCTCAGACCTTCTGGCCGGCCCACCCTAGAGTTCCCAGGGGGAGAAGGGCCCAGAAGTGGCTGGGAGCCAAGCACTCTGGTGCTCAGACGCAGGCTGGAGTGGAAGTCCACTGGAGGCTTCAGACCTGAGGGCCTTCTCAGTGCACAGAGGGCCTTCTGGGAAGGAGAGCTCCCCTTTGAGGCTGGCAGGAGGGTCAGGCTCCTGAAGACAGCATCATCCTGGGCTTGGGGGACGGAGGAAAGGGAAAAGGCCTTCCAGTCCCTGGAAACTCAGAGAAGCCTGGAAGGAGAGTCAGGGAAGTCTTCCTGGAAGAGGTGAGCAAGCCAGGAGGAGGCATGATGGTAGAGAGGGAAGAGGGTGTCAAACAACCACATTCTTTTTCCTGGTGTGGCAGGGACACCCGGGCCCCTCTGTTCTCACTGTTCTTCCTCACTCTGCTCCCCACCAGGGGCCTGATGACATCAGGGGAGCAGTCCCTCTGTCCTAGTAAAAGTCCCTAAGCAAGCTGGCTGCTGGTCCATCGTGGAGGGACAACACTCTTCCTTCCTCCTCTCCACGCTGCTGGGCCAGGGAGCTTTAGGAGCCAAGCAGCCAGGCTTGCCACGAAGGGGCTCTTGGGATTGAGAAAGTGAGGGAGAAATGGCAGAGAAGAGAGAGAAGGGGGAGACAGGAGGGTAAGGGTGAGAAAGGAAAGGAAGGAGAAGGGGCCAAGTGTGTCCATGGAGGACCTTCCAGCACTGTCAAGAAGAGAGACCACAAGTTGGACCCACATGCTTTGGCCACCTGGGTGGTGTTCTCCCTTGGGAGCTGGGACTGCAGAGTGTCCCTGGGGTTAGTTGCTGCTCCCTACAGCCCCCTGCCCTGGGTGCTGGTTCCCTACGTGGTGCCCCAGCAGGTCCACCTCTGTGGGCACCGTGCCCTGCAGCCTCCTGGCCCTTCTTGAGGACCCTGGGGTTGTGATGGTGATAAGGACCCATTCCTGGGCTCCAGAGATGCCCGGACTCTCAGAAAGACCCTGGCCACGAGAGGCTCCCAGTTCTCCAGGCCCTGCCCTAAGCCTACCAGCTCCAGAGAAGGGGAACTGGATGGGACACCAGGTCTGGCTAAATTCCCCTGTGGGGGCAGCCAGGCCCTTGCCTGTCCCATGCCTGGGCTGCACCAGGGGCTGCACCTGCTGCACAGAGGCTGGCTGGTGGGATGTTGGGAAGACCGCTGTGTCAGGAGGCCCAGGGCTGTGCTGGGAACTGGGCGGGGACGTCGCTGAGCATCACACTCTCCCCATCAATCCCCACCAGGTCCATTATCGTCTGAGCTGTGATTATAAAGCAATCAGGGAAATCCTTTCTTCCCAGTTCTTGAGAATGCCTCTGTCCCCAGCATGAGTGAGAATAGGAGGTTTAATCCTCCTATTAGGGAGGAAGGAGGGGGGCAAGGCTCTATATCCACTTCTGTTCCTCTCAGACCCAGACAGTCCTGGCCCATGCTCCCTTGTCTCCTGCCCTCTCCCAGCTCTGGGCGTTGGGTGATTCTCAGAGGTGTGGGTAGCCCCCTGGCAGACCAGCGAGGAGGGAGGCAGCAGAGGGGCTCAGCAGGGAGCTCTGGCAGGGTAGTTGGGAGCCCTGAGTCTCATCCAGGCTCTGTTGCTTGGCTGTGTGATCTGGGCTAATTGCTTGCCCTTTCTGGGTCTGACCTTCTCCATCTACAAAATGAGGTGTATTCATTGGATCATTTCTGGGGTTCTTTCCCAGCTCCAACAGCCTGTGAGGTGGAGACCACAGCAAAAGGAGGGTTGGAAGGGACAGGAACATTGAGCTTGGTGTCAGGTTGGGAATCCACCATCAGACCTGGGCTGATAGGCAGGCAGGTTGGACTCCCAAATCTCCAAGGCTCCCTGTACCCAGCCCCGTGCCTCTCCTTTCCTTTAGACCCTGTCAGGGGCATGGGTCCCCATCTGAGAAGCCTTCTCTGTCCAGGACGGGGGAAGGCTGGAGACGCAGGAGCTTCTGAGCTCTGCTCTGGGCCTCAGGACCTGCTGGAATGTGGACTCCGTGATAGCAGGGGTTATTCCATCATGTTGTCCTAGAACAGTGCCTGGCACGTGGGCGGGCCTTGGAGGCTAAGAAGCAGTTAACTGGGAAGAGGAAGTGGGAGAGGAAGGTGAAAAAATCAAAAGGGGAGCTGGAAGGCATCCAATAATGGGTGCCTGGTACATTTCATTGTGTGGAGAGCTGAGGCATAGGCTTCTGAGGGCACTGTGTGGAGCTGGAGCCACACTGTCAGGGCCAGAATCCTGGCTGCACTGCCCATCAGCTGTAAGACCAGGGCCAAGCTGCCCACTCTGTCTGAGCTTCAGTGGGGATAACATCTTAAAGGACTGCTGTGAGCAACAAAAAACTGCAAAGAACCTGGTTTAGCAAGGGCCCAACAGTTGAGAGATTATACTATTATTATTGTGGAATTAACAACAAAGACAATGACGACATTTCAACCTGGGATGAAGCTTGATTTCCCCTCTTTTTGGCCTTCTGCACTTGGTGGAGAGTCACAGGGTGGAAGCTGCTGGGCCCAGCCCTAGGACCCGCACCAGGGCTCCTGCAGTTCTGAGGCACGGCCAGCAGGTGACAGCATTTCACTGCAGTGAGTGGGCGCCAAACTCCTGCCCCAGCCCGGGCCGTCAGGACTGGGTCCCAGGGCCCTTCTACAAGGTGAGCCTCTCTCTCTCTCCTCCTTCCCCCACTTCTGTATTAGCTGAGTAGGCCCTTCTGTCCTAGCCTGTAGAATATATGACCCCAGGACAGCAGTCCCCTGGTCTGAGCAGCAGATAGGGGCTTACTGCTCACCCCACCAGACCTTGCCTAACCTGGCATGGAATTCTGCAGAAGGGGCAGGCTTCCCTTATGTGGGTGCCACCTTTGGGTTCCCTCTGCAGGTAGCTGGCCTGAGGAGGGGGCTGGGTGGGCACAGAAGGCTCAGTTTTGCAGCCCCCAAAGAGGGCTTGCATGAGTCGGACAGGGCTCTACCCAAGGCAGCTCTTGGTGAAGAGTGAGACAGAAAGCCAGAGTCCTCAAAGTCCAAGGGGGAGGGGACACTGAGGGGCTGCGAACTGCCAAGCTGCTTGACTCTTGTCCCCCTTCCGTGTCCCGGCTACGACATGGGGACCTTTGTCCCTGCCTCCTGATGGACCATGGAGAGAGGTCAGAAGGGTAACAGGTGGGACCCCAGGAATGCCTGTCCAGAGGGGCGGGGGCTGGATGGCTGAGGCAGGGCCATCTCATATCCCACCTCCCTTTCCCACCAAACCCTCAAATCACCTCCCAAGAGTGACCCAGACAGTTTTATCTTTCTGAGTATTGACTATTAAGGTTGAAAATGATCTGTTGTTCAGCCACAGAAACAAGGAAGATAAACACTAATTGCTTGGTGAATGTGCCAACTCCTGGCTCCTAATTCATCACCTTGCCAAGGCAGAGGCTAAGAAGAGGCAAAGGAGTGGGGAGGGGGTGAGGAAACTTGGGAACCAACAGACTCTCTTGCAAGATGTGGCAGTGGATGGGTGACCTCAACCCAGCGGATGAGGATGGTGCCTGGGATCCCTGAAGCTCCCCAGGAAGGACAGGGAGCCAGGTGAGGGAGGGAGGAGAGGTCTTTGGCCGGGCTTATCGTTATCAATACATTCATCCCAAGTGGACATATAACGTGTTTCCTCGTTGGCCTTGAGGTTGGCTCTGGTTAGCAAATTCTGCATTTTTCTGAGGTTGGTCCCATTATCATGTTAAGATCCTGAACTGGCTGAATTGAGGGGCTGCAAACCCTGTTACGGATTGGTAACTTGCAGGATTCAGATCTGGCTGTGGAAGGTGGAGCCCTGAGAGCTTGTCTGAGAAGGAGGCGGCATATTCTTTGAGGGTGAGGTGTGGGTCTTTGATGGTTCAGGTGTGGACCTGCCTGGAGTGGGGACTGCACTAGGTGACCTGAGCCCAAGACTGGGGGCATTGTACAGGCCTAGGGGGGAGAGAGGTGCACAGATACCTGATGAGGAGCAGGAATGGAGGCGTGGCTCGGGGGAGGCCTGCATTCATTCAGATTTTTGTGTTGGACCAAGATCTAAGCACAAGATATAGGAGACACAAGCTGCCTCTCTGCATGAATTCACAAGACTGGGCCTGTGAGCTGATCCAGAAGGTGATCAGAGCGTGCAGGGCCCAAAACGGTGATGAGGAGGCATGTCCCCTGAGGAGGGGACAGCTGTGCTGAGAGTGAGTTGAGAAGATCTGGGGGGACCTGAGTGAGTTCTGCATGTGTGAGAAAGGCAGGGCAGGATCATGCCGGGCTACATAGGGGCTGAGCTTTACCGTAAACACAGTGACCACCTCCATGGGAGGGTGAGTAATCAGATCAGTGCTCTAAGAAGAGGACTCAGGAATGAACCGAGGTGAAGCAAGAGTGGAGGCCCAGGTGCGCTATACTGGTGGCTTGAGACATCATTGATGGGACCGACTGTGGCAGGTGGAGACGCTGGTGGCATTGCAGGTGCAGGAGCAAGCAAAGACACAAGCAGGATGTGCAGAGGATGCAGGGTTTAGGAAACAGTTGAGAGCTAAGGGCCAGTGAGTGGAGGAGGGGAGTTGGAGAGTAGGTCCCTGTTGCAGGAGCACTAATGCCAGAGAGGGAGACTGCAGCACAGCTGCCATGGGCTGAGGGGGGCGGAACTGCCATGAGGTGGGTGTGGAAGCAGGGAACACTCTTGGGGGATGATACAGTCCCAGAGATCATCCTCTGTCTGTGCCTCTCTGAGAGAGGCAATGTGCCACTCTGTACCTGACCTGACTTGGCTGGGTCAATAGAAGAAGCTACTTACGCTTCCTTACCCTCAGTTTTCTCATCTGCCAAATAGGGCTAATCATAGTGACCGTATGGGTTTGTAAGAGGATCAAATGAAAGGAGGCAAGTAAGTGTTTCACAGTGCCTGGTGCATCATCACTTGATAAATAGGTGCCTGATGCATGGTGGAGAGCAGGACACAGGGTCCTTTCCCTGCCTCAGGCACTTCTTCCCTGACTGCTGCTTTTGTTGCTGGTGGTGATGGCAGAATCTAATCCCTGGCATTTCAGGGAGGGCCTGCTTAGCTCCTCGAGGCCACCTGGCTCTGGTGTCTGGGTCCCTCCTTCCCTGGTGGCCATGCAGTCATGGGTCCTCTGGGCTGCATCTGGCAGGAAAGCCAGACTGCAGGAGGAGTGGAGGCTAATTCTTCTCCTCCCAGTGGCAGACCAGCCGCTACATGCATGGGTGGCCGGGGTAATTAATTTACACATTTTATCCTGCTTAAACTAATAAGCTTCTCTAGCTTCCTCCACTGAGCCCGAGCCTTCGAGCTGAGCCTGCCAGAAACGTTATCCTGCCCCCCAGGAAGTCTGATGGGGCTTACAGTTGTCCTGTGGGCTCGGGCCAAGGCTCCCAGGCCCTGTGTCCACACTTCCGAGGCTGCTTATTTTGGCCGCTCCTAGCCTGCTGGTCCAGGTATGCCACAGAGGCATCTTAAGATGCCAGTCAACACTGCACACCCTGATGGAAAAGCAGGACTTGGGAGCCCATCCTTCCAGCCCCCTGCCCCACAGCCTCCCGCTCCTGAAGTAGCAGGGTCTGGCTCCAGGACGCCTGGGAACACAAAGTCCTCCTCCATGTAGTGAAAAAGAAGTCTTTAAGACAGGTTGTGGAGTGAAGATAGTGACGTGGGAATAATGTGTGACGTAGCCGCTATTTTCTTGAGAAAGGAAGAAACGCACATCCACATTTGCTTGCATGAGGATAAAGCCTCCTGGATGGGTGTACAAGGAACTGGCTACTCCTAGGGAGGAGCTGGAGAGCTGCAAGGTAGGGCGGGAGGGAGACTTTCCCCGTGGACCCCTTTGTACCTCTTGAGTCTTGAAGGCTGTGAATGTATCACATGTTCAAAATGCATCAACTGTTGGAAAATAAATACAAACACGATGGAAACCCCATCTGTGCAGCACATGTTTAGTGGGTGCCCCTCTGTGCCTGGGAGCAAGGGTGTGAGAGAGCAGGCCATGCTCACACCTTTCAAAAGAGTGAGGGGAGAGGAAGAGAGGTATGTCCGTGATTATAATCATCATTGGTGAGTTCAATGCCAGAGGAAGCCTGGAGTCCTCTGGGCTCACAGAGGAATCCAAGTGGGTAGTTAGAAAGGGCTTCCTGGAGGAAGAGATTCTTGAGCTGTTTCGAAGGTAGCATAAGAGTTGACTGGGTGGAGAAGGGAGGGAAGGTTTGGATGAGATTGAAGTGTGGGTTTCTATTCTGACTGCCAAAACCTGTGGTGCCTTTGGGTGTTAGTCTTCCCATTCATAACATAGGAAACCTTGGTTCAGGGAGCCAGGCAGGAAAGTAGTTCCAGCCCCTAGAATTTCAGCCCTCAGCTATCCCTCTGAAGCCGCTGTGGGCACCCTAGTTCTGTGCAGGCTGCTGCTTCCCAGAGAGGTGCTCTTGCTAGCTGAGGACAGCGGGCCAGCCCCTTCCGGCTGCTTCCCCTACTTATGGATTCGTCTTGTATGCTCCGATTCCAAATCCTGCAGGATTTAATATCCACTCTGTAATCTACTGGCACCAATAGGCATTATCTAACTAAACCTTAAATTGAAAATGCTAGGCTTCTATTTTCCCCGCGCCGTCGGGAGAAGTTGGGACTCTCTTCGTCCAATGTAATTTACTCTTGCACTAATTAAAGTGCGTCACTCTGCTGTCCTCGAAGGCACGCAGCCTGCCCCCGACAAGGAATGCAGCTGGGGCAGACGAGGCAAAGCAGGGGCTGGGTGGGCTGGCCAATCTAGGGCTGCAAGATGGTTCCTGCATCCATCCCAAGTGCCTCTTGCTTTAAGGCCATTTCATTTCCTGAGAGATTGAGAGTTCACTTGCTGTAATATTCATTCATTCATTCACTCACTCATTCACTCCCTACCTCCCTCCTGCATTTATTAAGCACTCAAGGCAGGCACAGAAATAAAAGCTGCTAAACATACGGTCAGGCTCTTCTCTCCAGCCCCTTCCCCAGTGTTGTGAGGGTTTCACAGGATGCAGGTTCCCAGGCCACATCAGCTCGCAGAGCAACCCAGGGATGGGGAGCAAGAACAGCTAATGTTACAGATGCTTCCTTTCACCCAACATTATTTAAATAACTCTGTTTTTTTAAAAATGAAACTTCTTATTTTGAGATCACTGTAGATTCACATGCAGTTGTAAGAAATAATAGAGATCCAGTGTGCCCTTTGCCCAGTTTCCCCCAATATTAACATCTTGCAAAACTATAGTACAAGATCATGACCAGGAAATAGACGCTGACACAGTCAAGATGCAGACTGTTCCGTCACCACAAGGATCTCTCCTGTTGTCTCTTCATAGGCACTTTCCCCCTTTCTCTTCTTTTCTGACCCCTGGCAACCATGAATCTCTGTTTCTATAATTTTGTCATTTTAAGAATGTCACAGAATCATTTAACCTTTTGGGATAGGCTTGAATAACTCATTTAATGCTTTTTTTTTTTTTTTTTTTTTTTTGAAGGAGTCTTACTCTCTTGCCAGGCTGGATTGCAATGGCGCGATCTCGGCTCACTGCAACCTCCACCTCCCAGGTTCAAGCGATTCTCCTGCCTCAGCCTCCCAAGTAGCTGGGACTACAGGCGCACACCACCATGCCTGGCTAATTTTTGTAGTTTTAGTAGAGACAGCGTTTCACCAAGTTGGCCAGGAGGTCTTGATCTCTTGACCTCGTGATCCGCCCACCTCGGCCTCCCAAAGTGCTGGGATTACAGGCATGAGCCACTGTGCCTGGCCTCATTTAATTCTTATAACAACCTGATGAGCAAGGTCAGCGTCAGTGTCTTCATTTTACAGACATACTAGTTGAGGCCAGGGCAGTGAAGTAACTTGCAGAGACAGGATTTAAGCTCAGGTCGTCCTGACAGTAAACCGGGCTCTCAAGTCTCTTCAATGTAACACTGATTGCAGGCACTGCTTGAACTGATGGCCCTCAGTCCTCCATGTGTCAGATTGAATTTCCTCTGCCTCCAAAACACAGCTGGGGGTCTTGGCTCTGGAATGCTAAGGTCTCAATCCTGGAGGCTGGAGAGGGCAATCCTAGCCTGTCCTGTCCAGCCTGAATTCTCAAGTGCAGGCCATCATACCGGGGCCCAGAGATGATGCTTCCTGGAGACAGAGGTGAAGCTCTAGCTGTCTGCAGGGGTTGGCCGGGACTCAGTGCTCACTCTTGCCTCAGTGGGAGTGGCAGAGGCTCATACGGTGATGTGCTCCTCCTCCCCAGTGCTCTCCAAGTCTATCCAGGCCTCACAGCCTGGAATTGGAGTCTCAGATACCGTGGTTAGGTTAGCTATGGGGCCACGATGGGCCAGCTCTGAAGTAGTGTCACTTGCAGAGCTAACCAAGCGTGAGATTGCTCAGATGGCTGGAACAAGCGAGTCCCCTGTGCATCCCTTCTCCCTTCAGCCAGCCACAGGCTCCTTTAGCTCTCACCTAGGTCCTGTTCCTGCCATAATGTGACCTGACACTGATGAGATCACAAAGCCAGTATCCATGGGTCCCACTCACTGTGGACAAGGGCTTCATCTCCCAGTGGGAAGCCTCAGTCCCTGGTCCCTGGAGAGGGGATCTGGGTCTCTCTGCATCCAGTGGGAGAGCCTGAATAGACCTGCAGGAGGTGGGTGCTCCCAGCCTCATCTGGGGGTCAGATGGGCCAGGGCTGGGGCTCTGCCTGTGTGTATGAGTGGGGGATGGGGGAGGACTTCTGTATACTGGAGTTGGAGTCAGTGGCATTGACCCTGGACCCTAGGCATCGGGGATTCTCTAGAGGGCAGAACCAGGGCCAATGGGAAGGAGTTATGATGGGAGATGGGTGGGTTTTGCTCAACAACAGTGAGATTTTTGTAGTAAATAGAAGAATCCAACAGCAGAGCAGACTGCTTTTTGAGATAGTGAGGTCCCCATCAGTGAAGGCATTCGTTCATTTATTTAACACACATTCATTGCCTACCTTGGCTCTTGACACTAGAGTTCCAGAGATGTGGGTTCAAGTTCCAGTTCTGCCACTTACGATTCCATGATCCACAGCGAATTCCTTGTGCCTCAGTTGCCTCACTTGTAAACAAGAGTAATAACAGTTCTTTACCTATCTCAGTGGGAAGGTTGAACAACTCCAAGCTCCATGACTTGCACAGGTAAACACAAAGAGCCTTGAATGTACTATTTCACAGGTGTAATTATCTCTATCCTGCAAGTGAGTTAAATAGCACATTCTCCATTACTAAATGTCTGAGTGGGAATCTGAATCCAATTCAGTCTAATTCCGAGTCATTATCTTCCCTCTGAACCATAAGGCTGGGCTCAGTTAGGTATTCAAATCTGAGCTGTGGGACTTGTATCTAGAATATATAAAGAACACTTACAACTCAATAATCAAAAAGACAAATAACTCAATTAGAATATGGGCAAAGGATCTGAATATCCATTTCTCCATGGAAGGCATACGAATGACCAAAAAGCAAATGAAAAGATGCTGCACATCATCAGGCATCAGGGAAATACAAATCAAAACCACGAGGAAATGCCACTTCACACCCAGTAAGATGGGGATAACCAAAGACAGACAATAGCCAGCACGAGGCTGTGGGGAAACCGGAGCCCTCATATACAGTTGTGTAGGAGTATAAAATGGGGCAGCCACGCTGGAACAAAGCCTGGCAGTTCCTCAAACGGCTAAACGGAGAGTCACCATAAGACCCAGCAATTCCATTCCTAGGCTGATACTCAAGAGAATTGAAAACATACATCCATGCAAAACTTGTACAAAAATGCTCAGAGCAGCATTATTGATAATAGATGAAAAGAGGAAACAATCCGAATATTCAGCTAATGAATGGATAAACAAAATATGGTCTATCCATACAGTGGAATATTATTCAGCCACAGAAAGAAATGAAGGGCTGATACATGCTACAATATGAATTAACCTTGAAAACATGATGATAAGTTGCCAGGTGCAGTGGCACGTGCCTGTGGTCCCAGCTACTCTGGAGGCTGAGGTGGGAGGATCACTTGATCCCAGGAGTTCAAGGCCACAGTGTGCTCCAGTGGCCTGTGAGTAGCCACTGTACTCCAGCCTGGGCAATATAGCAAGGCCCCATCTCTAAATAAATAAAAATAAATGATAAAATTAAAAGAAACAAGATTTAAAACATTCCACTGATTACATAATTCAATTTATATGAAAGTCCAGAATAAACAAATTTGTAGGGAGAGAAAGTAGAGTGGTGTTTGCTTAGGTCGGGAGCTGGGGTGTGGGGCAGGGGAATGGAGGAGTGATACCTAAATGGTAGAGGGTTTCTTTTTGAGATAATGAAAATGTTCTAAAATCGGCTGTGGTTATGGTTGCACATATTTGTGAATATACTAAAAACCACTGCAGTGTGTAATTTAAATGCGTGAATTGTATGGTATGTAAATTATATCTCAACAAAGCTGTTAAAAAAGAGAGAAAGAGAAGTAAACCCATAAAAAACGTGATGATGCACACCTGTAGTCCCAGCTACTCAGGAGGCTGAGGCAGGAGGATCACTTAGCCCAGGAGTGCAAGACCAGCCTAGGTTTTTTTCTAAGACCCCCATCTTGGAAAAAAACATCAAAGGCTGTGAGAGAAGTGGGCAAGGTGTGGGTGGAGATAGAGTCTGGGGAATCTTAGCACGCAGGTGCAGGGGAGACTATGGGGATGGGTGACCTTGCTTAGGAAGAATTTCCCAAGTGGGAAGATGGATGGAACCTGGAGGAATGCCTTCTAGGGGAATAGGCACTGCTTGGGTGTACCCCTGGGTGGGGTGGGGGAGAGGAGGCTGCACTAGTGTCCTCTGGCGGCACTCAGAGCCCAGCAGGAGAGGGCACAACACTAGAGGGATGTAGTGTTGGGATGAGGGAGTTCTGATCATGGCTGGGCAGGTGCCCCACCCACCTGCCAAACCACCCACACGATCCCATGGAGATGAACAGCACTTGACGCACTCCATGTCTCCCAGGAACACAGGTTTGGAGGCAGCAGAGCCAGGTCTGGACCTGGGTGTTTGCTACCTCTCTGGCTTTGGTCTCCATATCAATGGTATGAAGGCGGCGGTTTCTCCCTCACCGTGTTACGCGGCGTGAAAGTGGAAGCTGTGTCGAAAGCACACGGTGAGCATTCAGATGGGGGCCAGAATTCATCTCAGCCGGCCTTCGTCGTCACTTCAACTGTGGGTAGTTAAGCAGCATTACTTACTACGTCCCATTCCACAGATGAAGAAACAGAGAGGCTGTGTGTATTGGTGACTTTCTAAATGACACGTTGTGAACAGGGATAGGACGGGACCCTGCTCCAACCGTGTGCCCACCAGGCCATCCTTGTTGCCTCGTGCCTGATAACGAAGCAGGGCTGGAAAAGCGCTGTCAACAAATGACTTCTTTTCACCTTTAGGACAAACTTCTGCATATGTAGGCCTGGTGGCATTCCTCTCACCTTACAGGTGAGAAAACTGAGTCAAGGGACACGCCTGAGGTCCCACCGCTGACAGCGAGAGGCCAGAACTGTAACTTTCCTTCATTCAAACCTGGTACCCACATGACTCAAGCGAGGGAAAGGTCAGGGCACCCCTGCCTCCCACTGGCCTTAGAGCAGCCACACCCATGATCCTGGAACCTTCTGGACTCTGAGATGCAGCAGATCAAAGGCCTCGTGATAAAAGTGGAGACCTAGGTAGGTACTGTGGATGGGGAGGACACACAGACTGTGGTATGGGTCTAGGGGCTTGCAGACTCCATGCCATCGCCTGCAAAGCCAGGGTGGGTGACCAGGCAGCCCCTTCTGTGGATGCTCTACCTTTCCTGGAGGCTGCTGTGGGATGAAGGAAACTGGAGCTTCTCTGCCCAGGGAAGGCGGCTGCATTTCAAGCGGGAATCGTACAAGCGCTCTTGATAAACAGCAGGTAGCCCCACTCCCAGCAGCTAACAGGATTAATCTAAATGCACACAGATGCAGCTGGGCAAAATCAAAACAGAACCCAGGCTAACTTACACCGCTTAACCGGAGCCCTCAGAGCCTCAGAGTGCGTCACCTGACTGGTGCCCGGCATGGGGTGGGGATGTGGGAGGAGGCAGTGTGCGCTGATGCTTGCTTTTGAGGGGTCATGGAAGCCCTGCTGCAGTGTGGGGGTCAAGGGAGCCCTGAGGCAGGGCTGCAGGACCAGGCAATGGTGCGTCAGGGAGTCCAGGCGTTCAGGCTGCCATGGCGGGGAGCAGGGCAGTCTCTGAGGGCTTGGGGTGGCAGGTGGGGCGGTCAGCCTGGAAGTCCACAGCAGCTTCACGCTCTGGGAAAGTGGGAGAGGCCTTCAAGTGCTCCTGTTGACTCCCACTCCCACTCAATCAGCCCCGTCCAATGAAGGGTCCCATTCCAGGGACGTTCACAGGAAGGAGTGAATCCGGGGCTTTGGGTAGCTCTGGCATCCTGGGGCTCGTTCTGGCCTCCACACAGGGAAAAACAGAGGGAACACCACACCCAGACAGCTGCAGCCCCTCTCCACTCCAGCCATTGTCAGCTGCTTTTACAGTTGAGGACGTTGAGGCACAGCCAGTTTTCAGGTCATGCTCTTTGCCCTGCCCCAAGCTTCCTCCCAAATCGAGGCTCTGATGAGAAGCAAGTTCTCTGTGCTGCACCTGCCTCGGGCTCAGGTCAGTTCCACCCAAGGTCAAAGCAGAGCCTTGTTCCTCCCCAGGGCCCAGGGCCATCATCTGTGGGATCCTCCATGAACACTCTGTGGGGTCAGCTGCTGTGGGCTGGAAGGCCCCAAGGAGGAGCCTCTTGGGGGAAAGGAGAGTGGCCACGGGAATCACTTCCCCGGCCCCTCAAATGGGGCGAGAGCTGGGAGTTCATCATTGTCACCTCTTGGCCTCCAGAGTGGCCAGCAAGCCAGCAGGTGACCCCTTTTTCCTTGAACCACAGGAATGATGGTAACAATTGCTAATGTTTACTGAGCACTTTTTCACCACTAGGAACTTAGCTAAGCCCTTTGAGTCCACAATCTCCTCGAATGCATCCAGCAGCTTTAGGAGCTGAGCACTGTTTGTGGCACGATCTCCATTATACTGAGGAGGTTCTGAGGTCACACGCTGGGAACCAAACCCGGACCCCAAAGTCCTATAATGTCACCTTTCTAGGATTCAGCTCCATTCCCAGTCAGCTCCATTCCCAGGCCCTTCAGGAAGGGGTAATGGGAAGGGAACAGGTAGTGTCTGGAATCACAAGACTTGAGCTCAAGTTCCTGCTCCTTCCCACTAGCCGGTTCTATGGCCTGGGGAGCGGGGGGACCCTTTACTCTTTGAACCTGAAATTCCTGGTTTGTAAAACAAACACGGAGAAAAATCTTTGCCTTACCTGCACTGCTGCGTTGTGAGAATCAAATGAGAAAAATATATGACCATGGTTTTCATGCTGCGAGGCGCCACATAAATGTGAGTTATTACACCATGCCCCAGAGCAGGCATGTTTCTGGCTCTGTGTGATTTTTGTTGTTAAAACCGTTAGGAACGATAATTACTTAATAATGATCCTATTCCTAATCCATGCACCTCTGCATGGGGACGTCAATGCCCCTGGCATTGAGACATAATTGGTCTCTGCACAGGGCCCAAGAGCAGGGGATAGTGCTCCCTATTTTGCAGTAGGGTAAACAGGCTTCCAGCATGAGCAAAGGTATGCCCAGAGTTCCCCAGCCCTCTAGGGTGATGTTCTGGGCTTAGAATCCGGGGTTGGAGCCTTCCCCCTCCTGCTGCGAGGGCTCCCAGGCCGCCCTGAGAGTGATTTATGGCAGGAATCTGCAGTGAGTGCTGTGTCAGCGCTCCCAGCTCCCACCTTCCCGCTCTGTCTCCACCCCCCTTTATCTGCCTTCTCCCCATTTCTCCTGTGCTGCCACTCACCTCCCACAGCTCTGTCTTCCCTGGTTGCCCCTAGGCTGATCGGAGCCTAATTTCAGCTCCTTTCTGGGGCTGAGGAGCTCGCACTGAGCTGTCAAGAGCGGCTGGGGAATTTGAAGCGGGAGGCCCATGGGGGAAAGCGAGGAGGGAGGAGTCCCTGTCCTTTGTCCCAGGCCATCAGCCCTGAGGCCCTTCAGGTCCTCTTTCTGGAAAGGGTCAAAAGGGTACCTGAGGCAGAAAGGCCAAGTCACCTCTTTGCATTCATGTAACCTGTGTGTGGCAGAAACTGCATTTGAGCCTAGGTCTGCGGAATGCACAGGCCCACATGTGTGTCCCACACCCAGGATCATTAAAGCCCAGCACCAGGGCTGTGGGCAGAGCTGTCCCCTCAGGGCCATGCAGACCCCTTCACAGAGATCCTGGTGCTTTGCCACAGCATCTCAGATTTCAAATCCTACTGGGAAGGAAATTCGGGGGGAGTGTGCCAGGGCCAGGAGGGCAGGAGCAGACATCGGAGCCTCCTTCCTGAGCTTTGATCCAGGCTGGTAAGGTGTCAGACCAAGGGCTTCTGGGGAGGCGTTAAACAGAGCCTGTGAGTGGGCACCGCCCAGGCAAACAGCATGTCACCAAATAGTGAAAACCACACAGTTGAACATGAAATTTGTGAAAGCCTAGGATTTGTTGTATTGCTAACTCATTTTTGAACATGCATAAAATGGAAACTCAGAGAGGCTGTTTAACTTGCCCAAGGTAACACAGTACCCTCCTGGCACAGAAGCTGGTGTGTGGGTCATTCTCTGGCCAGTTGCTGGCTATGCTTCCCCTCCTTCCTCACCCCTTCCAGCATCCAGAATCCCAGGAGGCTGCTCTGCCCTCGGCTTCTGGGGTGGGCCAAATTCAGAGTGACCACACTCAAGGCCACTGCTCAGCCTCCCTCCCTGGCTGCTCAGGGCCATGGGCTGCTCCTCCCTCTGCACCCAGGACCTGCGTGGCCTGGGGAGGCTGGCGAGGACCTGAAATCACTATCTAACTCTCATTTCTGGGACCAGAGTGTCAAGTGGGTACTTTGGAGGCACTGGTGGGTACAGAAGGAACTTGGGGGAGCTGAAACAGGACTCTGAGATTTAAGGTGCTCCAAGGGAGAGCAGGTACAGAATGGAAGGGGCAGCTGTGATCTTTGGGTCACCAGTTGCAGCCTCTCAACCCCTCTTTTGGCCTTTCCCTAAATTCAGGGACAATGAAACACTAGGGCACTGGGCCAGTGGGGCCACCTGACTCTCCAAGGCCGGATCCTCCTGTGCTGACTCTGACAAGCCCAGCTGAGGAGGCTGGCACTGGCAGATTTTCCATCCTGTAGACAAACTTGTTATTTACGTTGATTGGCGTGTGATTTACAGCTAATTTGTTAATCAACCACAGCCTATGAAACATGGGTGAGGCTGCTTCTCCATAATGATCCACCAAGATCCTGTTCTGAGAGGCTGGCCCAGGCAGGCTGTGGGGAACCAGGTTGGTGATGTGGGCCTGGGAAGGGGTGCACTTGCACTCAGGAATCCCCATCAACCCTCACTGCCCCCATATGAAGCTGCTTCCTCTGGCTCTCCTGGATTTCCACCACGCCCTCCCTCACCCCATACCCATATCTTAAGGCCACTCTTGCTCTAGGACAGCAGCTACCAGTGCCTTGGGCATCTCATCTCACCCCTCTGAGCCTCGGTTTCCCCATTTTTTGGTAGAGGTAGCTTCCTGATCTCTGAGTGAGGAAGATGGGTAATTTCCATGAAGGCACTGTACTCGTCAGGGTGGTGTTAGAGCTGGCATTTATGGGCTCACGAGAGTCGAGCATTAAACCTTCAGTGATTTTGTGAGCTGGTTGATAAACATAGCCATTATTAGAAATTACATTATATAAACTACAATTAAATAAGTTATATTAAACATCAAGGTAATAAATACTCAAAACTCATTACTTCCTAATTATTTTACTACATTTTACTATCTAGGCTTGAGATTATTTCCATCTCTGGTATCTGTCTGGTGGAGAGGCTGTACGATGCCATGCCAGCAAGCATCTCTTCCCAGTGCCACACGCAATGATGTCAGCTTGAAATGAGCCAGGGTGGGAATATTCACAATATGGAATTGACAAAGACTCTAAATCAGGGTTTCATTCATTGTTCTGTTCTTTATCCAGACTTTAAAAAGCGATGGAGGGGCGGGGCATGGTGCTTCACACCTGTAATCTCAGCGCTTTGGGAGGCTGAAGCGGGCGGATCACCTGAGGTCAGGATTTTGAAACCAACCTGCTAACATGGTGAAACGGTGTCTCTACCAAAAATACAAAAATTAGCCAGGTGTGGTGGCGCATGCCTATAATTCCGGCTACTTGGGAGGCTGAGGCAGGAGAATCGCTTGAACCCGGGAGGTGGAGGTTGCAGTGAGCCGAGATCACACCACTGCACTCCAGCCTGGGTGACAGAGTGAGAGTCCATCTCAAAAAAAAAAAAAAAAAAAAAAAAGATGGAGAATATCTTAATGATGCAGATTAAACTTAAAAGTGTGCTGTGTCTGTGGCTATTACACATTAATGAAAAATGAGGAAATATTCTTGCAGTAAGTGAAACTAATATCTGATGCCACAAAGAAGTCATTCACATCGTTGATGAACAAGGGAAGTTTCAACAAATAGTTTTGTCATTTCACTTTTTTTCTTTTTTGTTTTTTTGAGATGGAGTTTTGCTCTTGTTGCCCAGGATGGAGTGCAATGGTGTGATCTTGGCTCATTGCAACCTCTGCCTCCCGGGTTCAAGGAATTTTTCTGCCTCAGCCTCCTGAGTAGCTGGGATTACAGGTGCCTGCCACCATGCCCAGCTAATTTTTTTTTTTTTTTTTGTATTTTTAGTAGAAACGGTGTTTCACCATGTTGGTCAGGCTGGTCTTCAAATCCTGACCTCATGAACTGCCCGTCTCGGCCTCCCAAAGTGCTAGGATTACAGGCATGAGCCACCATGCCCGGCCCATTTCACTTTTTTTTTTTTAAAAACCCATTAATGGAAATGAAAATATCAACCAACATTCCTGTGGGTATTACACTGGCTTGTCAATTGCGATCATAGGCTGGCTGCAAATACAGGAGTTCTGCAAAAATCAACTAAAGCATTCTGTGAGAATCAGTTGTTTATATGGAATTTATGATAAAGGATCATATATATTTTATTATTATTTGTAAGATATATGCCACACATTCTTTAGACCTGTAAAATTACACATATACATTCACGTTTTTCCCAGAGAGCCAGCTGTTAAAGATTTGCCAGCACACCACCGACTGTACTCATGGGAGAGACAATTATCCTTTTCCTCTTGAGCCCCTGCTTCAGCTCTAGGACTTATATGATGTCATCAGCCCTTAATGGCTCACCCAGATATTGGGGAAGGAGCTAGAACTTGTCCTTCTCATCATCCTTTCCAGCCCCCACCAGAGCAAAGACTATCCCTCGCTGCGAGTAGGCATTTCCCCCTGGGGTCCCAGCAAAGAAAGTGTCTTTAGGACACTTCCCTGGGCAGAGAGCAGAAGGGCCCAGAACCCTGGAACTTGTCTGCGAAGCTCTGGGGCGTCTCCATCTTTGCTTGACTCCATCCAGAGTCTGAGCCCTGGCATCACCTTGGGTGGGGGCACCAGGCCTCTGGTCTGGATTTTGACAAGAGCCTCCTAACTGGCCTCCCTGCTTCTATTCTTGCCTGCTTTACAACGTGTTCTCCACATGCTCCCAGAGGGATCCTTTTTTTTTTTTTAATTTTAAAAATTGTTTATTTTTTTAAACTGGAGATGAGGTCTCACTCTGTTGCCCAGGCTGGAGTGCAGTGGTACAATCATGGCTCATCATAGACTGTTACCCCTGGGCTTAAGCGATCCTCCTACCTTGGCCTCCTGGGTAGCTGAGACCACAGGTGTGCACCACCACACTCAATTTCAGAGGGATCCTTTTAAAACCTAAATCAGGCCGGGCTCGGTGGCTCAGGCCTGTAATCCCAGCACTTTGGGAGCCTGAGGTGGGCAGATCATGAGGTCAGGAGATCAAGACCATTCTGGCTAACATCGAACCCCGTCTCTACTAAAGATACAAAACATTAGCTGGGCATGGTGGCACACACCTGTAGTCCCAGCTACTCAGGAGGCTGAGGCAGGAGAATCAATTGAACCCAGGAGGCGGAGCTTGCAGTGAATTGAGACCACACACTGCACTCCAGCCTGGGTGACAGAACAAGACTCTGTCTCAAAAAAACAAAACAAAACAAAAAAAACAAAAAACCTAAATCAGATTGTGCTACTCCTCAGCCAGAAACCCTGCAAAAGCCCCCCGCTGGGTGTCCCCTCAGGCCTCGGGCTACCTCATTCCCATGTCTTAGGGCTCTGCCCTTCCCTCTGCTCCCTCTCTGCACCAGCCACACTGGCCTCTGCAGTTCCAGGCATCTCCCTTCTCAGAGCCTTTGCTCTGGTTATGCCCTCAGTTTGGGTTAATCTTCACCCAAATACCTGCTTGGCTCATTCCCTCACCTCCTTCAAATCTTCATGCAAATCTCACCTCCCTACAGAGGCCTGTCCTCAATTCCCTTCAACACTATTCCCCCACTCCAACGCACCTAATCACCCAATGCTGATCTACTTTCTGTTTGTTCTTAGTCTTTCTCGCCTCATAATAGACTAATTTTCTTATTATCTTTGCAATGGAATCTGAGCTCCATGAGGGCAAGGATTTTGGTCTATTTCGTTCCCTGATACACCCATACACCAAAAGCCTGGCACATGCTGGGTGTCAATAAATATTTTTGAAGAAATGCTTTGGGGAAGGAAGGGCAGCTTATAGAGAGGAGCATATGTGGAAGAGCAGGAAACACTTTCTTTCTCTATTGGTGCCGGGGTGGGAGGAGGCCAGCCTTCTCAGCCGGTTTCCCAGCTCGTCTCCTGCTCAGAGCCTCTGGGGCCCTGTATTAGTCAAGGCTCTCTGGAGAAACAGAACCAATGGGATGTGTGTATATATATGTATTAAGAAAGATTTATTTAAGGAATTAGCTCATGCAATTTTGGGGGTCAACAAATCCCAAGATCTGCAGCCAGCAGGCTCAAGACCAGGAAAAGGTGACGTTCCAGTTCAAGTGAAGAAACTACCAATGTCCCAGCTTGAAGACAGTCAGGCAGGAGGAATTCCCTCTTAATTTTGGGAGGGTCAGCATTTTTGTTCTATTCAGGACTTCAACCGATTGGATAAGGGCCACCTAGATTAGGGAGGGCCATGTGCCTTCTTTAGCAGCGATTCGAATGTTAATCTCATTGAGAAACACTCTTGCAGACACACAGAGTAATTATTGACCAAAAGTCTGAGCACCTTGTGGCTGAGTAGAGTTGACATAAAATTCACGACTGCAAGCGCTTTGCCTGGCGCAGCCCTCACAGAGCAGGTTCAGGGACAGGTGACCTTTCACCAAGGAACAGTGCTCTATCAAGGTGGCCTGTTAGCACCACTCTTTCTCTTCTCCTGCTCTCCACGGGCCTGGAACCTGGGTAGAAGGAGAGGGAAGGTGGCCTAGAATGATCTTTGAGGCCTTGGCTCAGCCTTTGTTTTCTCATCTGTAATATGAACTTAAAAAAGTATCCCTTATCTTACAGTCATAAGGCTGAAATGAGAAAATGCTTTGGCAAACAGAATGCATTTTGCAAGCCTGAGGTATTAATCTTGCAAGCTACTCACTCCTACACTTCTCTGGCAAGTGTCTATCCACAACAAGGAAAGGGTTAAACCTGCCTTCTTATTTGTACAGTTTCTCATGTCCCTAGGAGGAGCAAAGAACAAGGCTTATAAATAGGACCAGGGTCTTTGCAAACAACAGTAGCAACAACACATTTGTCTGAGAGGCTAGGTTGAGAATTGGTGCTTGCTCCATCTTATGCCCTAGAGACAAATCTCGGACTGCTGAATTTCTCCACTCTCATGGCATTGCCCATCAAGAGGGATTGCAGTTCTGAACATGATGGATCAGATGCAATATGAGGTGCTTCATGTCTGCAGGCCTGTCCCAGGTGAGTTCTGCGCAGGTATGTCTGAAAGCCAGAGGATGAATGGGAGACCCGAGATCCTAAATGCTCAAAGAATGTATGTTCTCAGTGGTGCTTCCCACCATCCTCAGCACATCATCCCTTCCTCCTGGCCCTGTGGGGTTGGGAAGCAGAAATAGAAGGCACTTTCCTTTGTCCAGACCTTTTTTCTGGCTCCTCCACCCAGTCACTGGCAGAGCCAAAGTTCAGGTAGAAACTTGTCCAGCTGGATTGCCAAAACACCAGTGCCATCCGCTGCCCACCTGTGAAAGCTGCCTGGCAAGATGGAGTATGGATGCCTGTGCCATGATACCGGGTGACGAGAGGCACAGGGTGTTCCCAGCACAGGGGCCTATCATGGAGACAAATGACTGATGGAAACCTGCATTGATTGGGGCAGGGAAGTGTCTGTCCACCTGTCCCTGCCAACAGCAGAGAGCAAGGACTCACCCAATCCTTGTTCTCTGGGAGGGCCACACCCCATTACCCATCCTTGGATACTGTCTGTGTTGGGGCTTCACTTCAGAGGTGGATATGAAGCTGCTTGGTTTCATCTCGCAGTTGAGGTGAGGCTGATTCATTCATTCGATAGTTATTTACTGAGAGTCTATTCTGTGCCTGTCTATTGGCACTGTTTTCAATCTGGGAATCCAAGAACAAACAATATAGACAAGGTCACTTCTGTCATGGAACTTACATTCTAGTTGGGGAGACAACAGCACACATGTGAACACATGTAAAGAGGAGGAAAATGGCCCAGGTCTGGGCCTTGGATCAATCACTGACTAGCTGTATGACCTTGGGCAAGTTATTTAACTGCTCTCAACCTCAGTTTTCTCATATTTAAAGTCGGGAGGATAATAACAACATTGATGTCATAGGGTTGTTGTGAGAATTATTTGAAAGTATATGAAGGACACAGTAGAGTGCTTGGCTCACAGCAGATATTCCCATGTGCACATGTACCCATTGTTGTTATTGCTGTTGTTATAGTTAACATCACTTACCTAGAAATAGAATCAGAAGAGACCAAAATGCCATATTCTTTCTTTCAGTGAAGTGACACCCAGGAAGGGGTGAGCCACAAGCCATGTCTGTACAGCATCACAAGCTTTTAGTTGGTAAAACATCAATTCAGCCAACTCCTTGTGTGTTTGGTCAACAAAGGCTTTAACAACTGACTTGTTGTTGTTGTTTTTTTTTTTCATTGGTGAGATCAGGTGGTTGTTTGAATTGGATGAACCAACTGATTGTTCTAATTGAATGAATCAATTCATTGTTCTAATGTCATGGTGACCCAAACTAAGATTGGTTACAATTTTATCTAAGGCCCTGGGTGCTTTCTCTTTCACAACGAGCCTTTTGGCCTGGTTCTGTCTTAGTTTTATAGCTGTTAAAAATACGTGATTGAGTGTGAGGATGCACGTGTGTACATGTGTGCACATACACACATATATACACAGAAGACATGCCAACCCATCACTATCCCTGCTGAGTTGAGACCAAGAGAATGCGAACTTTATATTTTGCCAAAAGCTTTTACCTCTTCTCAGCCAGTTTTTTTTTTTTTTCCAGAGCAGAAGCCAAAGAGCCAAATGGCATAGTCTGAATGTGGTCACTTTCCTGCCAGCCACTGGGCCAGACTCTGGCTGTTGGCACAGGGTTCTGCTGCCTGTTGTGAGCTAGCATCAGCTCTGCCTGGCATGGAAAAGGGAGAGTTGGCATTGTCAGCCTGTAGGTGCTTGTGGGGAGAGGTAGAGGATGTTGGTTACTGGCAGGCAAACCTGTTGCCACTAAAACTTGGCACGTCTGGGCGGCTTCAGCAGTCCAGAGAGAGAATTAGCAGGGAGGAAGAGCTCCACAGAAGTGCCCGTCTGGCTCCTTGGTACTGTCCACGGAAAGAGATTTCTTCCTTGGTAGAGAACTTGGTACCTTGCAGAGGCAAATATATTCATAGTAGGGTAAGTCTATAAGTCTAACCATAATCCTAGGATGACTCTGACCCCATCATCTAGGAGAGGTCTCCTAGGGTTCTTTTTGTCCTATGTGTGGGGAATACACACATAAACACACACACACACACACACACACACACACACACACACACATTTTAGATGGAATTTTGCTCTTGTTGCCCAGGCTGGAGTGCAGTGGTGCCATCTCAGCTCGCTGCAACCTCTGCTTCCTGAGTTCAAGCGATTCTCCTGTCCCAACCTCCCAAGTAGCTGGGATTACAGGTGCACGCCACCATGCCCAGCTAATTTTTATATTTTTTATTAGAGACGGGGTTTCACCATGTTGCCAGGCTGGTCTCAAACTCCTGATCTCAAAGTGATCCGCCCACCTTGGCTTCCTAAAGTGCTGGGATTACAGGCATGAGCCACCGTGCCCGGCCCCAGGACTTATATTTTCTAAGTGTTTCCTGTAGAAGAAATAAATGCTGCTTCTGAGCTCTTGGAAATTGGTGAGCTAGTAGTGTCTTGAAAATTTCTCCTGTCTGCTCTGGGAGCATCATCTCCCACTGTCACCCCAAGCCCTTGATGGAGTCCATAAGGGCTCTGCTTCCCTGGGCCAGGAGACAGGCTGCATACCCAAGCACCTTTCCTTCCACATGCAGACAGCCCGAGAGCTCTGCCTGAGGAGCCAGGAGACCAGGATCCCAGGGTCAACACTGCCTTTTACAAGCTGTGGGACAGAGACAAGTTGCTTAACTTCCCCAGGCCTCAGTTCCCAGCTGCCCTACCTAAAGTGGTGAGGAGTAAATGAAATACTACAGGTGGAAGCAAACTGTAAATCGATGAACTTCAAACACATGCAAGGGGTTACATTATGCTCTCCACACAACCCTCCCGCCAGATGAGCTCCCTGGGATGACTTTCTCATCCTGTCTTTTTAGAAAGCTGCTTACTTGGATAAAGCTCTCAGGAGATGCAAGATGTTCATCCCGAGGGAACCTCCACTGCCTCCTGGCCTATCTGCCTGATCCATAGATTTTTCTCCACCCTGAAGCTCTAGGTCTTCTCCAAAGCTAGTCCCTGAGCAAGCGCAGACTTCAGCAGGGGAAGGGAGAGCCAGAACAACTACAGAAAAAGATTAGGGTCTCTTTCTATTCCTTTCTTGGTTTCCTGTTCTGAGATGGGTGAGCAGCCTGATTTATTTTTGACAAATGTATCTGCATTATGAATTATATTGGGGATGGAATTGTTACATTAAATCAAAGTTAATTTTTGACTTCTGTTCAGGGCGCCATAAATAATCAACTCCAGGGTAAAGTTATGGACTGAAGTCGCCCAAATTATGCTAATGAGGATGATTAAACTTTGGAATTCTAAGTTTCTGTAAGAATAACAATCAGTTAGCATTTACATTTCTGCCATGCCCTAGGATCTGCTGCTTTCTCTGAAGCTGCTATTAAATATAAATAATAATACCATTTTTTAAAGTCAAGTTGAGCCCTTTGGGGCATATTCTATTCACTTTCCTGGTGCTCAGCTTCTGCAGATGTGTCTGAGGCAACCAGAGAAGGAAGGGAGGGTGGCACAGAGTCCGCAGAAAATGCATTTGCGTTTGCCTTAGAACTGCAAAGGGATTTTCAAGTTCTAACAGAGACAATAATTAAATTTTGCCTTGGTCCATTTGGTGAGGAATGCCAGGAAGCCCTGTTGAGCTTTAGAAGTGCTACCCTCAGTAAGCCGGCAATGACTTCCAAGGGATTTTGAATTTAGGATGGGGTAGCAATTCTTAGCCTTTTCTGCTGACATGCTGTGTGTCTTTGGGTCCGTTGCATTAACTTTCTGTGCTCTGTTGTCCCTCCACAGGCTCTGGAGACCTTATAGAGGATGCTGCTGAATTCCCTAGCTTGGCTTATGGAGGAGCAAAAAGATTCAGTTGATTTCTAACCTCATGTTTAGCCACCTGTTATCAAAGCCTGCCCTGAGAGATGTTCATCTCCCAATGTCTATGTAGGGCCCAGGCGGCTGCAATCGAAATGACAGGTCAGCTCAGAGGTTAGGTTGCTGGCTGAGTGGCTATTGTTTTCCCAGTTTCAATTTCATTGTCATGACAACCCACACAAGTCATTGTCCCGGCTGATGCCTCTGTGTGAGGGTGTGTGAGGAACGCGTTTCGTCCCAGCTCGCTCTGCTTGACGGACGAAGAGCCATCACTGATCTCAGGTGGCTGCTCCTTTCTTTCCTCCATGTGTTCACAGTGTTCTTATTTTCTCCACCACTTACCCAGAAATTGTTTTTGAAAAGTGTCTCATTTCAACTGAATTTGGCGCAGAGCAATTGGGAACATTGCTCGGCTGGGATTTGCTCTCTCTCCTCAGCAGTTTTGCAGGCCGTATCTCACTCCTGTGGGCTTCCAGAACTGCTGGGACCCCTGGCTGAGATCAAGAGGGGCAGTAGATGGGAACCTGCCTGTTTCACACTCGGATCATCCAAGGGAAGACACGAACGTTCTGCACACACAACATGGTGTAAGCGCAACACGTGCCTTAACGTGTCTTCCAAGCTGTGTGGGACCCCCTCCTTGAAAATTTCAAGAGACAGATGGCTGGTGTTTCTGTTGTGCTCCATGGCTCTGAGAAATCCTGTGTCTGTGTAGGGCTGTGGAGATGCCAGCTCTGGATGGTAACATCGGTGAGCCTGGAAGGCTTTACCTTGGAAGCATGGGGCCTGTGTCTATTGAACTCCTCTTTTGGGTCCTCCAGCACTTGATGACTCTGAGAACACATGCTCCTTTACTTCAGGAGGCAGCCTCAAAAGTGGACTGTCCTTCTTCATTTTGGCACGGTGGTGATTCCATCGGGAGGGGCTTTGGGCCAGGTTTGTCCTGCTGTGGAGGCCCACAGGCAGGTCAAGCACTGAGAAACCCTGCCTGGCCTGGCAAGCCTTCTTCTCCTGAGGATGGCTTCTCCTGTGGCTACAGGATCATCTATGTTGGTCAAACAGATGGCTAAGTGGCCTGAAATAATGGTACAAGACGTTTTTAAAAGATATTGGGATTGCTTTGACTGAAAGAGAGGATGTGAGGGACTGGAGTGTCATTAAGAGTCTCAAAATCAAGGAAGGTTTTTATGGAGACAGGTTGAGCACTGCTGTGGGAAATGCTGGGGTGTGACAGGTGGGTCACTGCCGTGGGAAATGCCGAGGTGAGGCAGGTGGACCACAGCCGTGGGAAATGCCGAGGTGAGGCAGGTGGACCACTGTTGTGGGAAATGCCGAGGTGAGGCAGGTGGACCACTGTTGTGGGAAATGCCAAGGTGAGGCAGGTGGACCACTGTTGTGGGAAATGCCGAGGTGAGGCAGGTGGACCACTGTTGTGGGAAATGCTGGGGTGAGGCAGGTGGATCACTGCCATGGGAAATGCCGAGGTGAGGCAGGTGGATCACTGTTGTGGGAAATGCTGGGGTGAGGCAGGTGGACCACTGTTGTGGGAAATGCCGAGGTGAGGCAGGTGGACCACTGTTGTGGGAAATGCCGAGGTGAGGCAGGTGGATCACTGCTATGGGAAATGCCGAGGTGAGGCAGGTGGACCACTGTTGTGGGAAATGCCGAGGTGAGGCAGGTGGACCACTGTTGTGGGAAATGCCGAGGTGAGGTAGGTGGATCACTGTTGTGGGAAATGCCGAGGTGAGGCAGGTGGATCACTGTTGTGGGAAATGCCGGGGTGAGGCAGGTGGATCACTGCTATGGGAAATGCCGAGGTGAGGCAGGTGGACCACTGTTGTGGGAAATGCCGAGGTGAGGCAGGTGGATCACTGCCGTGGGAAATGCCGAGGTGAGGCAGGTGGACCACTGTTGTGGGAAATGCCGAGGTGAGGCAGGTGGACCACTGTTGTGGGAAATGCCGGGGTGAGGTAGGTGGATCACTGTTGTGGGAAATGCCGGGGTGAGGCAGGTGGATCACTGCCGTGGGAAATGCCGAGGTGAGGCAGGTGGACCACTGTTGTGGGAAATGCCGGGGTGAGGCAGGTGGACCACTGTTGTGGGAAATGCCGAGGTGAGGCAGGTGGACCACTGTTGTGGGAAATGCCGAGGTGAGGTAGGTGGATCACTGTTGTGGGAAATGCCGAGGTGAGGCAGGTGGATCACTGTTGTGGGAAATGCCGGGGTGAGGCAGGTGGATCACTGCTATGGGAAATGCCGAGGTGAGGCAGGTGGACCACTGTTGTGGGAAATGCCGAGGTGAGGCAGGTGGATCACTGCCGTGGGAAATGCCGAGGTGAGGCAGGTGGACCACTGTTGTGGGAAATGCCGGGGTGAGGTAGGTGGATCACTGTTGTGGGAAATGCCGGGGTGAGGCAGGTGGATCACTGCCGTGGGAAATGCCGAGGTGAGGCAGGTGGACCACTGCCGTGGGAAATGCCGGGGTGAGGCAGGTGGACCACTGTTGTGGGAAATGCCGAGGTGAGGCAGGTGGACCACTGTTGTGGGAAATGCCGAGGTGAGGCAGGTGGACCACTGTTGTGGGAAATGCCGGGGTGAGGCAGGTGGATCACTGCCGTGGGAAATGCTGAGGTGAGGCAGGTGGACCACTGTTGTGGGAAATGCCAAGGTGAGGCAGGTGGATCACTGCCGTGGGAAATGCCGAGGTGAGGCAGGTGGAGCACTGTTGTGGGAAATGCCGAGGTGAAGCAGGTGGATCACTGCCGTGGGAAATGCCGAGATGAGGCAGGTGGATCACTGTTGTGGGAAATGCCGAGGTGAGGCAGGTGGACCACTGTTGTGGGAAATGCCGAGGTGAGGCAGGTGGATCACTGTTGTGGGAAATGCCGAGGTGAGGCAGGTGGATCACTGTTGTGGGAAATGCGGAGCTGAGGCAGGTGGACCACTGTAGTGGGAAATGCCGAGGTGAGGCAGGTGGACCACTGTTGTGGGAAATGCCGAGGTGAGGCAGGTGGACCACTGTTGTGGGAAATGCCAAGGTGAGGTAGGTGGATCACTGTTGTGGGAAATGATGGGGTGAGGCAGGATCACTATTGTGGGAAATGCGGGGGTGAGGCAGGTGGATCACTGTTGTGGGAAATGCCGAGGTGAGGCAGGTGGACCACTGTTGTGGGAAATGCCGAGGTGAGGCAGGTGTATCACTGTTGTGGGAAATGATGGCGTGAGGCAGGATCACTGTTGTGGGAAATGCCGAGGTGAGGCAGGTGGATCACTGCCGTGGGAAATGCCGAGGTGAGGCAGGTGGATCACTGCCGTGGGAAATGCCGAGGTGAGGCAGGATCACTGTTGTGGGAAATGCCGAGGTGAGGCAGGTGGATCACTGCCATGGGAAATGCTGGGGTGAGGCAGGTGAATCACTGCCGTGGGAAATGCCGAGGTGAGGCAAGTGGATCACTGTTTTGGGAAATGCTGAGCTGAGGCAGGTGGATCACTGCTGTTGGAAATGTCGGGGTGAGGCAGGTGGATCACTGTTGTGGGAAATGCTGAGGTGAGGCAGGTGGATCACTGTTATGGGAAATGCTGGGGTGAGGCAGGTGGATCACTGCTATGGGAAATGCCGAGGTGACGCAGGTGGATCACTGTTGTGGGAAATGCCGAGGTGACGCAGGTGGATCACTGTTGTGGGAAATGCTGGGGTGAGGCAGGTGGATCACTGCTATGGGAAATGCCGAGGTGAGGCAGGTGGATCACTGTTGTGGGAAATGCCGAGGTGAGGCAGATGGATCACTGTTGTGGGAAATGCTGGGGTGAGGCAGGTGGATCACTGCTATGGGAAATGCCGAGGTGAGGCAGGTGGACCACTGTTGTGGGAAATGCCGAGGTGAGGCAGGTGTATCACTGTTGTGGGAAATGATGGCGTGAGGCAGGATCACTGTTGTGGGAAATGCCGAGGTGAGGCAGGTGGATCACTGCCGTGGGAAATGCCGAGGTGAGGCAGGTGGATCACTGCCGTGGGAAATGCCGAGGTGAGGCAGGATCACTGTTGTGGGAAATGCCGAGGTGAGGCAGGTGGATCACTGCCATGGGAAATGCTGGGGTGAGGCAGGTGAATCACTGCCGTGGGAAATGCCGAGGTGAGGCAAGTGGATCACTGTTTTGGGAAATGCTGAGCTGAGGCAGGTGGATCACTGCTGTTGGAAATGTCGGGGTGAGGCAGGTGGATCACTGTTGTGGGAAATGCTGAGGTGAGGCAGGTGGATCACTGTTATGGGAAATGCTGGGGTGAGGCAGGTGGATCACTGCTATGGGAAATGCCGAGGTGACGCAGGTGGATCACTGTTGTGGGAAATGCCGAGGTGACGCAGGTGGATCACTGTTGTGGGAAATGCTGGGGTGAGGCAGGTGGATCACTGCTATGGGAAATGCCGAGGTGAGGCAGGTGGATCACTGTTGTGGGAAATGCCGAGGTGAGGCAGATGGATCACTGTTGTGGGAAATGCTGGGGTGAGGCAGGTGGATCACTGCTATGGGAAATGCCGAGGTGAGGCAGGTGGACCACTGTTGTGGGAAATGCCTAGGTGAGGCAGGTAGATCACTGCCGTGGGAAATGCCGAGGTGAGGCAAGTGGATCACTGTTGTGGGAAATGCCAAGGTGAGGCAGGTGGACCACTGTTGTGGGAAATGCCGAGGTGAGGCAGGTGGATCACTGTTGTGGGAAATGCTGAGCTGAGGCCGGTGGATCACTGACGTGGCAAATGCCGAAGTGAGGCAGGTGGATCACTGTTGTGGGAAATGCTGATGTGAGGCAGGTGGATCACCGCCATGGGAAATGCTGAGGTGAGGCAGATGGACCACTGTTGTGGGAAATGCCGAGGTGAGGCAGGTGGATCACTGCCGTGGGAAATGCCGAGGTGAGGCAGGTGGATCACTGCCGTGGGAAATGCCGAGGTGAGGCAGGTGGATCACTGCCGTGGGAAATGCCGAGGTGAGGCAGGATCACTGTTGTGGGAAATGCCGAGGTGAGGCAGGTGGATCACTGCCATGGGAAATGCTGGGGTGAGGCAGGTGAATCACTGCCGTGGGAAATGCCGAGGTGAGGCAAGTGGATCACTGTTTTGGGAAATGCTGAGCTGAGGCAGGTGGATCACTGCTGTTGGAAATGTCGGGGTGAGGCAGGTGGATCACTGTTGTGGGAAATGCTGAGGTGAGGCAGGTGGATCACTGACGTGGGAAATGCCGAGGTGAGGCAGGTGGGTCACTGTTGTGGGAAATGCTGGGGTGAGGCAGGTGGATCACTGTTGTGGGAAATGCTGGGGTGAGGCAGGTGGATCACTGCCATGGGTAATGCTGAGGTGAGCCAGGTCGATCACTGTTGTGGGAAATGCTGGGGTGAGGCAGGTGGATCACTGCCGTGGGAAATGCCGAGGTGAGGCAGGTGGATCACTGCCGTGGGAAATGCCGAGGTGAGGCAGGTGGATCACTGTTGTGGGAAATGCTGGGGTGAGGCAGGTGGATCACTGCCATGGGAAATGCCGAGGTGAGGCAGGTGGATCACTGCCATGGGAAATGCTGAGGTGAGGCAGGTGGATCACTGTTGTGCAAAATGCTGGGTTGAGGCAGGTGGATCACTGTTGTGGGAAATGCTGGGGTGAGGCAGGTGGATCACTGTTGTGGGAAATGCTGGGGTGAGGCAGGTGGATCACTGCCGTGGGAAATGCTGGGGTGAGGCAGGTGGATCACTGCCGTGGGAAATGCTGGGATGAGGCAGGTGGATCACTGTTGTGAGAAATGCTGGGGTGAGGCAGGTGGATCACTGCCGAGGGAAATGCTGAGGTGAGGCAGGTGTATCGCTGCTGTGGAAAATGCTGAGCTGAGGCCCATGTGCATGGCCCCTATTGTCATGGTGGGGGTGGCGGGGAGACACAGAGTTGAGCCAGGCAATGGGAAAGAGCAGAAAGCAGATATGAGAGTCTAGAGCCAGGGCTGAGCCAGCAGAACTGGGAGCAGGAGCGCTGTTAGAAGGTGGTTTGATCTGCGGCTCAGGCCGACTGAGTTGGTCAACACTAAGAGCCAGGAGGCTTCACCTTCTTCACCTTTATTCATTCAACAGACATTTTTGGAGTATTTGCTACATGCCAGGTACCATTCTAGGGGCTCATCAGTCAGTGGTGAGTGAAACAGACAAAAATCCCAACCCCAACAGGCTTTTACCTTCTAGTGGAGGCAGCCAGGCAATAAGCAGATCACTTAGACACTCAGGTTGCCAGATGGTTCCAAGTTCTGTTAGGAGAGGGGCATAGGGATGGTGGGGGTGCTACAGTTTAAAACAGAGGGGTCAGATTAGCCTTTGTGAGATGATGCTCTAGCAAAAAACTAACAGGGGGAGGGCTGGGGTCATGGGGACACCTGGGGGAAGATCAAGGCAGAAGGAGCAGCTAGGGCAGCACCCATGGGCCTGGTGTGCTGGAGACCAGGGAGGGGCCTGTAAGGCTGGAATGGGGTGACCGAGAGGCGACCTCAGGGATGAGGTCTGAGGTGCCAGAAACGAGAGCACGCTGGGCCTTGCAATCTTTGTAAGCGCTTTCTAGGTGGAATGGGAGGCCGCAGGAGGGGATGGAACAGAGCAGGGATATCACCTACAGGCTCTTACAGGATCCCTCTGGCGGCTGTTATGAGAATATGTTAAATTTGAGATGATCTGCTTAGATTAAGTCCTGACTCTGCCATTGTCACTGGGCTGAGAAGGTCTACATGACTACCAGACTATCTCAACTCTACTGGGATTTGAACATCTTTAGGAAAATGTTGAATTGAATGTGTCACAAATTCGTCAAAATGAGCAAAGTTATAAAGAGGCAGACTCAGCTCAAAGTGAATATGACCTTGCCCCACTGCCCTCCCTGGCGTTAGGGACACCAAACACTGCCAAATCCAACCCCTGGCTCCCATCCTAGTCAAATTCTTCCAGGTCCCTGGAGCTTTTCTTGGGGCTCCAGAGCCCCCCAGCCACCTGCTGCGGGCTTACCATGCAGCTCTCCACTCCACCACGAGGGGGCCTCGCTCAGGCCACTGTGCCACCCACCACCATCTGCTAGCTTCCCGCCTTTGCTTTTCCCTCCTGCCCACCGGTGGCTCTCCGGGGAGCGTCTTCTGCCGGCCCTCTTCCGAACTGAAGGAATCTGTGCAAAACCTCCTGGTGCCTAACTCAGATCTGCTCAAGCTCCAGCAACTCCAGCTCCCTGACATTAGCTGGGCCTCCATGCCTCTTGGAGTATCCCAACCCGAGATTAGCATTACCTATCTTCTCCCTGGTTTCTCTTGGGAGTTTTCATTCAAGAGTCCCAAGACCTGCCCATCAGACCTAAGAATGCTCCTCATTGCTTCTCCCATGATCCCCAAACCAGGAAGGCTGGTGATAAGCCCCAGGGCCGTGTCGCTCTTCTGCAGCCTCCCTCTCTAGGAGGAGGAAGGTACAGGAGGTAGAACAGTTCACACTCCTTCTTTCCAGCAGATTGGCCGTGGGAGTCTCAATGTTGTGAGAGGGGCTGAGCCTATGTGCCCCCCACAGTCCTTCCCCCTTCAACATTTACAGCGTCTGTGTGATGTCACTTGTTGGTGTCCAATGAATGGGAACTGATTGTCTTGTTTTGCAGGGGTGGGTCTGGAGGTGTCTTTAGGGACACTCCTAGCTGAGTTTTTTCCACACCACTGACAACCATGCTTTGTGAGTTACCAACTGAGGAGAGATCTGAACTGGCAGAATCAAAGGACATGGGTTTAGGAAAGTATCCAAATTACATTGAGGGCGGTCCCACTGCTGTTCCAAACAGTCAAATACCCCCTTTTGATTGAATAGGCTTGTTATTAAAAATGCATTTAAGAAAATGAAATCAAAAGCAAATCCCTTCAAATAAAATTTCAGCCTTGTCTAAAATCCAGGGGTTTATTTGAAAGTTCCATCTTCTCACACTTTGCACAGAGCTGTGCTGGAGAGATCATAGCCCTCTGTCCCCTGAGCATGATGAACCAGGAAGGTAGATATCAATCAGGTTTCCTGAAATCTGTGCAGAATGCTCCTTCCTTAGTTATTTTCTGGGTACTGACATGGGGGAGGTGATTGCCTAAATTGTGTTGCACGTCACTCCACAGAAATTCTCATATCCTGTAAGGACTGAAGCTTGAACTGATATGGAACCCATGACTCAGTAGCAGTTGACTGCTAGCCCCTCCTGGGCTTCTACTCCTTTGTCCGTTGCATCCCCTAAACTCAGCCCACCTGATTACTTCATATCTGTTGGCGGATTGACTCCCTCCCTCCAGACCACTTTCAATAAGAAGATCTTCCTTATTTGGCTAGGAACAAACACCACGTGGCTTCCCTATGACCTGTATGCTGCCTTGATCTTCTACCCTTGGAAGAAACAGAAGGAGTGAGAGAGTTATGTCAGCCAGGACAGCATTAACTTTAATCCTACTTAATTCCAGCTCCACGATGAAAGCCTAACTTTGAGACTTGATTGAGGTGAGTTTAGGTCAAATAAGAGGAGGTTTCATTCAGCCACATCGTCATTTATTCAGCCAACATTCACAGAGCCAGGCACAGAGCTTGGGGCTGGGAGTCAGAGGAACAATACTTGGTCCCTGCCCTTGAGGGAGACAAACAGAAGCAAATAGGAAATAACTGCAACATAGGCAATGAATTCTGAAGTGAAAGGAAGCAGGAACCCACGCTGGGGAGAGTCACTGATGGACAGTTGTAACTTTTAGGGAGGGGACACAGAGGCAAGGAGAAGGCAGAAGAAACTGACTCGAGTTGGATTTTAAAGGCTGAGTAATAAACTCACAAAAGTAAAATTATGGGGCCGGGCGCAGTGGCTCATGCATGTAATCCCAGCACTTTGGGATGCTGAGGTGGGCAGATCACCTGAGGTCAGGAGTTTGAGAACAACCTGGCCAACATGGTGAAACCCCGTCTATCCTAAAAATACCAAAAAAGAAAAAAATAGCTGGACGTGGTGGCACACACCTGTGGTCCCAGCTACTCAGAAGGCTGAGGCAAGAGAATCACTTGAACCTGGGTGGTGGAGGTTGGCAGTGAGCCAAGATCGTGCCACTGCACTCCAGCCTGGGTGAAAGAATGAGATTCCGTTTCTCTCTCTTTCTGTGTGTGTGTGTGTGTGTGTGTGTGTGTGTGTGTGTGTGTATAGTAAAATTACGGAGTTCATGACCTCCTGGAGAGATGACTAGCAGGAATTGCAATGGATTCTGAAAAGATTTGGAGAATGTGGATATCATGGGACGAAGCCAAGACTTGCACCTGGAGATGAAGGTTCAAGCTGTGTTTTCCAGGACGTCATCCTTGGCAAGTCACTCAACATCTCTGTGCCTTAACTTCCTCATCTGTACAGTTGGAAATATAACAATGCCTGCCCTGCTTATCTCATGGAGCTCCTGGGAGGATCAAAATTACCAGTGTATATGACCATGCCAGAAATCAGTTAAGTGTGAGGCACGTTAAAGCATTTTAAAGCATTATGTTTGGAAATAATTTCAAGTTTACAAAAAGTTACAAAATGAGAAATGGTACAAAGAATATTCATATTCATTTTATCCAGATTTACTTATTGTTTGTAGTTTAACCCATGTATTATTTATTCTTATTCTCTGTCTCATGTATATATACTATATGGACATGTGGTTATATATGTATGTTTATACATAATTTTTTCCTGAACCATTTTTATATTATGTATATTATGGCTCTTTACCCCTGAATACTTAACAGTGTGTTTTTCCTAAGAATAAGATTATTATATGCCACAGTATAGTTAACGGTTGTATACATTTACATTGTTACAAATACTCTTATCTAATCCATCACCCGTATTACAAATTTTTTGCTTGGTCTAATAGTACTCTTTATAGCATTCTCCCTTCCAGTGCAGGATCCAGTCTAAGGGGTCAGATATTGCATTTGGTCTTCATGTCTTTTTAGCCTCCTTTAATCTGAAACATCCCACAGCCTTTCTTTGCCCTGTGCAATGCTGATATTTGTAAAGAATACAGTGCCTCCATTTTTGCGTTCATCTACTGTTTCTTCATGTTTAATCTGGGGTTGTGCTAACCTCCCAACTCCGGCATTCTCTCTACTTTTACTAGTTGGACCTCAGAATTCTACTGCAACCAAGAGCTTTCCCTTCTTTTTTCTCTTTATTTTCTCTTTTCTTTTCTTCTTTCTCTCTTTCTTTCTTTCTTTCTTTCTTTTTTTTCTATCTCTCTATCCATCTGGCTATCTAGCTACCTATGTCTTACCTATTTATCATCTATCTATCTTATCTATCTATCTATCTATCTATCTATCTATCTATCTATCTAATCACCTATCTAGTCTAAATATATATCTATTATTGGTATGGATTCATAAGTTTCTGTCTTTTCAATGATTTATTATCTATTTTTATAGTTATTTTGGTGCTCAAACTGTTCCAGGTTGGGCCAGCAGGAGCCCCTTTAGATGGCCTCCCTATTCTGTGACACACCCCATCCTTTATTATTTTTGGAGCATTTCCTTACTCTCTGGCATAGGAAGATGTTTCAGGCTTGTCATGTACCTATTCTGCACCAGTCCTGGAATCAGCCACTTCTTTGTGGAGTCCTGGTTCCTTTTAGTGGGAAATGGTATTGGAGACCAAGATCTGGGCACTAGATGTGCTCATTGCTGGCAGAGCATCTTTGCTTCTTGGCCCTTTCCGTGGTCAGAGCTAGAGACATGTAAGCATGAAGATACAGATATCTTCAGATATAAAAACATTCATACATACACACATATTTTAGAAATTGTGAGTTCACACCAATATTTTCAATTCAAGTTCATTCCCACAGGGTTCTTCTTACCTTTCTCCATTCCATGTTTGCATATCCTTTCTTCCTCAGCGAGAGCCCTGTAGTTCCTTCCACTACAATCAATGAATCTACTATAAAGAGTTCAGGATTTGTTCCCACTTCTTTCCCTACCACCTCCCCTCCTCCCCACCCCAACACACACCCACTCTTTCTTACCCAGCCTGAGGGTACATGGTTAAATACTATGTTCATGAGTTACTTGGATTCGTTATTTCTTTCTTCTCCCACCTTCAATGTGGTTATAATTCACACTTGAAATATAATTAAGGGCCAGGCGTGGTGGCTCATGCCTATAATCCTAGCACTTTGGGAGGCCAAGGCAGGAGGATTGCTTGAGGCTAGAAGTTCAAGATGCCTGGGCAATATGGAAAACCCTGTTTCTGTTAAAAATATAGAAACTTGTTTCTACTAAAAATATAAAAACCCTGTTTCTACTAAAAATATAAAAAATTAGCTGGGTATGGTGGTGCGCACCTGTTATCCCAGCTTCTTGGGAGGCAGAGGTGGGAAAATCACCTGAGCCTGGGAGGTTGAGGCTGCAGTGAGCTGTGATCACACCACTGCACTCCAGCCTGGGTGATAGGAGTGAAAAGCTGTCTCAAAAAAATAATAATAATACAATTAGATTCATATGTTTCACTTTGCTTTCAGTCTTTTCCCCTTTCCTATTCTTTTAATTTTTTTGAATATTGGTATGCTTTCAAAAGTAAAAGCTCTTAAAAATAGGTATATTCAGAGAAGTGTTACTTCCTCCCATACCCCTTCCACCCCATTCCTTCCTACTCCTTGTATGCACCCAACTTCATTATTGTCTGGCTCATCCTTCCTGTGTTTCTTTTTGTATGAAAAACATGTATATGTACATTTTCTTATTTCCCCTTATTTCTTACACAAAAGGTGGCATACCATATATGTTCTTTTATACTTTGTTTTTTTTTTCTCAATAGCATCTGAAAACCACTTCATATCCGTTCATAGTGATTTCCTCTTTTTTAAGGTTGTATAGTACTCCACTGAGTGTATATACAGGGTGCATTCAAACAACCTCCTGTAAAGACATTTTATTTTTCAAGATGATAACACTCACTGTAGAAGCCTTGGCCTTGCTAATTGCACATTCTGTGCAACTGGACATTTTGAGCGTCTTGACCGGACATAAGCTGGGCCTCTGTCCTCATGCCTCCCATTTGGGGTTTGGGCATTTCTGACAATTGGAGTTGTTAGGCAGCACCTCTCTCAACACGCATGCACTCATTTACACAGCGACCAGGGAGCTCCTGGGATGAAAAGTCAAGCCTTGTCTATAGGGCACGGACACAAACATGCCTGATGGATGGGGAGTTGGGGAGCAGATAACACGGAGAGTGACAGGGCACTCACCGAGAACTCGCCTGAGTGGGCAAGCCAGACCCAGTCCCTGGTCCCGCCCTTCATAGGGGAGTGTGGATACTTCGCCTCTTCCTGACCCAGCCCCTTGGTGGCATGTATGTGTTTGTGGGAAAGGGGTCTCTGCATTCCCATCTGTAACATGACGCTGTTCAGAAATCCTTGCTGCGTGACATCCCTGACTGAGTGAGAAGAAACACCCTCCTTGTTCACAAAATCAGAGTTGCTAGATGAATCGGCAGAGATCCCTGCTGAGGCGGAGTCCGCAGCTATGCTTGGGGTAGAAGCAAGGGACCAAGGGGATGGGTCATTGGAGCAGCTCCTTTCCTGGGTTTTGAAGCTCTTTCATGGCCACCAGGGATGGGAGTCTTGGTGGAGGCCTCCCTACTAAAGTGCAGGGGAGCAGGTGGGCCCAGCTTGGCAAACCGAAGAGCTCTGTGGAACAGCTGCATGGCTAGCTGGATAACATTTTAGGTGCCAACCTAGTGTTGCTCTCTGTGCTGTGAGCATTTCCCCTCTCACTTAGCAAGAATGACATCCTGAGTTGCAGCTTTCTCAGTGGTGGCAAAATCTAGGGAGCCCTTCTGTCCACTAACTTTGGACTTCACTACTGTGGTGATGGGCTTGGTGGTGGCAAGATACTAGCAATAGAATAGAGTCCAAGAAGTGATGCCTTGGGCCTGGGACTTTGGTGGTGGGAGGAGAGAGCAAAGCCAGGGTGGGTCTGTGCAAGCATGGGACTTCCCTGAAGTCTCAGGGATATATGGGAGCAGTGACTCCCTAAAACCCTGGACTTTAGGCTGGACGCAGTGGCTCATTGCCTATAATCGCAATAATTTGGGCCGAGGCGGGAGGATTGCTTGAGCCCAGGAGTTTGAGATGAGCCTGGGCAACATAGGGAGACCCCCATCTCTACAAAACCTAAAATAAAATAAAATTAGATGGGCATGGTGCTGCAAGCCTGTGGTCCCAGCTACTTGGGAGACTGAGGTGGGAAGATCACTTCGAGCCCAGAAGTTGAAAGATACTGTGAGCCATGATGGCACCACTACACTCCAGCCTGGGCAACAGAGTGAGACCCTGTCTCAAAAAGAAAAAAGAAAAAAGGCCTGGACTTTCCACCACTACACAGCTGAGGGCTTAGGGCATCGAGATTTAGGCATTAAAGTTAACGGAACCACCATTTTACTTTCCAGTTGCAGAAGCCTGTGACGTTCAGGTTTCACTTGACCACAGAATCACCGCAGAGACGGGTGCCCGCCCCTCCCCGCATGCAGCTGTCCCTTGCAGCCGGCCTGACAGATGGCCAGTTTGCATCATATTAATTGGCATTTGTTCCTTGGCTCCTGTGTGCCTACCTTATGCCCTTTACTCTTGTGCTCGCTATATCCCTGAAGGAAGTGGCCGGTCTCTTCCCTTTTCCTGCGTTCACGCAGATGTGCCTCTGAACTCCAGGGACAATCAGGCCCCGGGGTTCACAGACGCGCTGTTTTGCTCATCACCCCTTGTGACGGGGGCTCAGATCAGGGCCCGTGATCTTGGATCCCAGGCTGCCTGAACACCCTAAGTGAGGGAGGTAGGAAATGGGGTACTTGGGTCCTGTGTCCCCTCCCCTGGGAGACCTCCCTGACCCCCCTATCAAAACAGCCCCTCCAACGGCCTTGCCTTCTTACCCTGACTTAGTTTCCCTTGTGGCACTTTCCACTCCCATATTTCACTGTTTGTTTGTTTATTGTCTGTCTTTGCCATTTGAATCGAGTTCTACGAAGGCAGGGGTTTGTCTGTTTTGTCACTGCCAATTGTCCAGTGCCTACAATAGTGCCTGGCACATAGCAGGCCCTCAGCAGATATTTGTGTTTGTTGAATGAATAAACATCACCCTGCTGCTGCTAATGATGCCAATGGTGAAAAGTTCCTGGACCCTTCTCAGCACCCATAGCCAGAAACAAAGACATTCAGGCATTTGGCCTTCTCGGTCTCCAAAAAAATTGATGCAAAGGTGTTCTGTGATTTGGAATTCACCTAGAAGGGGCTCTTCTCCTGTTCTTGCCTGATTCTAACTCCCTGGAGGAGGGGGCTTCTTAGGAGAAAACGTGGTGACCAGGGCCTGGGACTTTCAGAGCTCTTGCCAGTGTTCTGGAGAGGACAGTCTCAATGCCTCATTGGAGCAGGCTGGTCTCAGCCTCGGTGTCCCTCTGCTGCCTCTCTCTCAATGATGAGGCATGCACCTCTTCTTCTGAGCCCAGGCCAAGAGAATTAGTATTCCTATCTGAATGCTCAGAGATTCTGTTTCAAGTTATGCTTGCTGGTAATGAGGCCCTGATCTTGCCCCCAGTTCTAAGAACTGGTCATGTGTCTTAGCATGTGTGCCCAAACCTTGTACTTGGTGTGGCACATGTAGTAAGGTGGTACCTGCCTCACTCCATAACTCTCTCTCCAGGATGCCTGGGGTCTCCCCATCTGTATCCCAGAACCTAGGCTAGGCCCCCGCTGGCTATAGGACAGCATAGGAAACAGTGTCAGAGGCATTGTGGGGAAGGAGCAAAGCCATAGGTTCAAATCCCCTCTTCCTAGCTGACAGTCCTTGAGCAAATCTGTATTAACTCCCCTAAGCCCATCTAGCAGAATTGTTGGAAAGAATAAAAGAGAAAATTTTTTGTTTTTTAAAAAGGCTAAACAGTAGTTCTTACTATTTCTTACTATTGGTAAGTAACTGACTTCCTTGATGCTGGATGGCTTGCCTGCTGTGGTCTCCTGGGTTCCACATCCCAGGTCTGTCCCCCTCCCCCGGGGCTTGCAGCCCTTCCAGCCTGCCACCTCCCAGCACCCACCCACACCACCACGGGCTCCTCATCCCGATTCCAGACCCTTGCCCTCCTCCTGAGGCTCTTTTGTTTTTAACAAAAACTCACTCAAGCTTCTGCAAGAGACAGAGTGTGCAGTAATTCCCAAAGGATGTTGCTGTGGTTATTTACCTTGGTTCATAAAGAAGGGCAATGAACTGTCAGCCCATTCATGAGCTGGAAGTACTATGATATAAAAGAAAGCAAAAATAGCAAATGAGTTTTCATTGGTAGGACCTCAAACTAGTGTTTGGGGTTCTAGTGTGCTGCTCAAACTTTGCCTTCCTGAGAAAGATAAAGCAGCTGAGCCAAAAATAATTAGACCTCCACGTCTAACAAGGGGACGTAACAGCAAAGGGCTGCAAGGCATACCAGGGTGGGCCAGGGATGGGGGTTGGCCCAGACTCAGGTAGCAAGGTCCACACTGCAAAGAACTTGGAAACAACAGTGACTAAAAGTCAGTCTGCTTTTCTTTAATCACTATTCCCTGGAAATTCTAAACAATATCAGTGATAAAATTCTCCTTCCCAAAAAATCTTTTATTGGTTTAAGTTCTAAATAATTGCAGCAGTTACAATTGAGTATTGATAATTGCGACAGTTACAATTGAGTATTGATAATATATATAAATATATAACCTTCAAACTGGCACACTTTTACTTTTTTTTTTTTTTTTTTTTTTGAGACAGGTTCTCACTTTGTCACCCAGGCTGGTGTGCAATGGTGCTATCTTGGCTCACTGCAGCCTCAACCTCCTGGGCTCATGTGATCCTCTGGCCTAAGCCCCCTAAATAGCTGGGACTAGAGTACACCACCAAGCTTGGCTAATTTTTGGTATTTTTTATAGAAACAGGCTTTCACCATGTTGCCCAGGCTGGCTTTGAACTCCTGAGCTCAAGTGATCCGTCTGCCTCGGTCTCCCAGTACTAGGACTACAGGTGTGAGCCACTGTGCCTGGTCCACACTTTTATGACTTATTCTTTAATAAACAGTATATGCACGTGGAAGTTAATTCAGAGAATTTCTAGTTGTTTGGAGGGCCTCTGACAGACATGGACTTACCTATACGTGATTGTTTTAAGAGTCAGTTCATAATTATCTGGAGTTGAGCTTTATTGAGGTGTAGTTTGTCCCTAACTCTTGGGGTACTACATATTTCTGCATTTAAACAGTGGAATCTCAATCAACAATGGCAGCAGCTAATTTTCAAGAAGGAGCAAATCTTGAGTTACATCAAATGTCAATTCTGTCGTTCTGTGGGACCACTTTGAATTTTTTATTTTATTTTTATTTTTATTTTTGAGACACAGTCTCACTCCAACACCCAGCTTGAAGTGCAATGGCGCAATTTTGGCTCACTGCAACCTCTGCCTCCTGGGGTCAAGCAATTCTCCTGCCTCAGCCTCCTGAGTAGCTGGGATTACAGGCATGCACCACCATGCCTGGCTAATTTTTGTATTTCTAGTAGAGATGGGGTTTCACCATGTTGGCCAGGCTGGTCTTGAACTCCTGACCTTAAGTGATCCACCTGCCTCAGCCTCCCAAAGTGCTGGGATTACAGGGGTGAGTCACCACACCCGGCCTAGAATTTTTATTTCTGCTTGAAATATAAAATAATAAAACAAAGTGGAAACCACAGAGTATAATATTTTTGTTTGGTAGTTGCAAGTTTCAGTTCATACATAAAATATTTTGCTTAATATTTGGCTTAGTTTAAATATCTTTAAAATAGTATCTTTATTATTTCTTTATATTATCTCTATAATATCTTTAAAATCATGTTTTTAAAATTAAAATGTATTATTCTTTTAAAGGTTTTAATTGTTAATCATTTTAAAGCTAAAAAATGAAGCCAAAAAAAGACAAAATATAACATCATTGGCACAATTTAGTATTTGCCTAAATTGTGCCATTTGCAAATGTTTGAGTTTTATTAAAATTCACTTATTAATTACTAGACAATTATTTACCTAAAGTATTTTTTTAATCTTTTATTGGAATGATTATATATATGAGGTTCAATAAAAGAACACTTCCACTGTTTGTGTTTCATTTCTGGCCATTATTAATATTTGTTTCATTCCATGGTTATTACTGAAAATAATTTTGTTGAATAGAGGAAAGGGTTTTATAAAAAAATCCACTCTGAGTGTGGAATGTGCTAGAATGCCAGTGACTATGCCAGTGGGAGGTGACTCCTGCTTCTGGTGTCCTGGCTCTAAGTACAAGGACCCAGTAAGCACAGACTCTGCTCTGATGGGTGGGAGGGCGTGGAGGAAGCTTTCTCCTGGGTTGAGCCTTGCCATGAAGTGGGATGGCTGTGGTGAACACATTCCCTGGGTGGAAACTGCACTAAGACTCTGTAGTTAAGATACAGTTTCAACTGCAGTAATGCTATAATAAACTCCAAAACAACAGTGGCTTTTACAAACTAGAAATGTACGTCTCTCTCCTATAACAGGATTGGTGCAGCTGCTCCCTGGTACAGGAACCCAGGTCCCTTCTACCTTATTGCTCTGGCATCCTGGGATTTGGCCTTATTCAGTGGTTTAAGGTGCCTTACCACCAGGTCTGCATTCCGGCCAGTGGGAAGGGTGAAGGGGAAGAGGAGGGCATGCCCCTTTCCATAGCCCTGATTTGTAACTTGTATACATTTTGCTCACATCCCATGTGGCATCCCTTTGGCACAACTTAGTCATATGGCCCCATCTAACTGCAAGAGAGGCTAGGAAGGTGTTTTCTTTATTTTGGGCTGCTATGTGTCCAGCTAAAAATACTATTGCCACAGAGGAGAGAAAAATGAATATTTGGGAACAACCAGAGATTTCTTCCACAGAAGTGTGACTTCCCTCGTTTCTGCAACTAAACTTGTTGGTCCAGCAGTGGCCCCAGAAGGCACTGACATCATATCCACCTGGTGACATCCATCCAGAGGGAAACTGCTCCAACGGTTAGAAAAGCCTGCCTGGGGGCCAGGTAAAGGATGAAGGAGATGAGAAATTTGTGCAACATCCTTTTTTTTTTTTTTTTTTTTTGCCTGGCTGGCCCCCAAAATGGTATTTGTTTTTCTCTTTTTAAGCAACTTGGTGTTTGTACATTCAATTCAGCACACTCATGTGGATGAATTAAGGGGGATGGGAATAAACCAGTGTCTCCCAAGTTCGCCATAAGACTCACCCTGGGTGTTTGTTAAGTGCACATCTTGGAGTCCATCCTGGGCATTCTGATTCAATGGTCTGAAACGGGACCCTGGAGTCTGCAGGTTTAACAAATTGCCCATGTGATTTTTAATCAGGCAAATTTATGAACCCCTGTGCTGTTTCCCCAGCGTATCCAGAGCCTGCCAGAACATGGAGATTAATTGCAAGGATATTCACGATAACATCTAGATCAGGAGCTACGGCACGGGGAGGCCCTCATGAGGCTCGGGCTGGGAGACTGGGTGAGGCGGGGAGGTCAGGATCCAGTGGAGCTCTCAGGGCATGGCTTTCTGAGGTCTTACAGCAGCCAGAGTTTGTGGCTCTTCCTTCCAGACTCTGCCACCAGCCGGACTCATCTGCTGTCAGGGAGTCTCCGTTCACTTCTCTTACTCCCACCAGCTGCTTTATTATTTCCTGTTTCCATTGAGAGAGAGCCTGATTGGCTCAAATAACTGCAGTTGAGTGAATTGCCTCCTGCACTGAGTCATTTATCAGGCCTCTGGTCAGCCTATGAGTTGGCTGCCCATGGCTCAGGTGCCCACCCCCTGTCCAGCCAGTCATAGGGTTCTAAACAGGAGTTTAGAATCCTGCCTCGGTGAATAAGACCATGCCTGGTCCCACCCTGAGAGACAGCATGATGAAGCATGGGAACATGGTACAGCCATGGAGGCACTGGTGGGGTTGGGTCTCAGGCGCCCACGGCTGTGATGCTGCACTCTGCCAAGTGGCCTCTCCCTGTGCTCCAGCAGGGCCTCACCATGCAGCCTCCTCTGCCTTCCAAGCACATCAGCGAGGTAGGGGATCCACACAGCAGATGCGGAAGAGTTAATCCAATAGAAGAGATTGTTATTCACAGGTCCTTCTACTGCACTTAGGAAGTGTGCATTATTGAGTCTCCTTAGCTGCTGAGGAGGAGATCTGAGGATCAATGGAGAGGAAAGTGAGCATGAGGGATTTTCTTGCCAGCTGCCCATCTTGTCACCCCAGGGGAGCTGCTTCCTCCCTCTGACAGGCAGTGGGGAAGCCAGGCCATAAGCCAGGGCCTGCCTGGGCTCTGGTCCTGCCCTCCAAGCACCTTGTGCCTCCTCTGAGGTTGGCAACAAGTGGCAGCCCCCTCCTGTCAGCAGGCGAGAGGGGCGATCTGTCCTTCCCAGCCCATTAACACAGCACACACAGAGCGAGGTTAATGGACTCAAGATGGAGCTGGCAGGAGAGGGAGAGCCCTATGGGAGCACGCAGCCCACCTTCTGTCTCTTAGCCCACTCTCTCCTCTTGCCAGCTCTGGGCACATTCACACAGTGGTCATCTAGGCACCTCAGCCTCAAAGACACACAGGAGGTGGGGCAGGGGGCAGAGGGGCAGAGAAGCAAGGGGATCATTGGTCTCCAGCACTCTCACCCACAGGTCCCTGAGGGATGGCAGCTGTCAGCTCGGTTAAGGGAGTCATTAGGACAGAAAATCAGCTTTTATGCCCACTCAGGGTTGTGTGATTGAATTGTGGGTGCAGACAGAGACAGACTGCAAATCTCTGTGGCGCTGGAGCCTCCGTGTTTGCTAGACGAGGCCCCAAAAAGGCGAGAGAGAAGAGAGGCATCCACATGGTGTGGGCGTTGTTCCCATCAGCCTAGCTCCTTGGAACCATCATTTACTCCGAAGTGGAAAGAAACAGCTCCAAGAGATGCAGATGGGTCTGAGGTCTGCCAGCATATCAGACGCAGATTAAATTCGAGGTAGGAGGTGAGAAAGTCCCCCATTTTCAGGGAGGATATGAGGTCAGCGGGTGCAAATTTCACACATGAAAATGACACATTTCATAACCCGAGTTCTGGGTGGATTTTCATACCCATTGATTTGAAAAACAGTCAAAGCTGCTCAGATTGCTTTCTTCTTATGAGGTAAGGGGGACACCCTCCCAGCACTCCCACCTTACTGTGACTTGTTGGGCAGTGGCAGTGGTGCACTGCTCAAAGTTCTGCAGGTCGAGGCCTCAGATGTGAGAATCTCCCACACTGACCTTCCTCTTCCTCACCAAGAACATTCTCCTACAGTGGGGTGTGCACAGAGTGTGTGTGCACACACGCAACACACCAAGAACAATTCAACTGTCTCACACACACTCAGGTTCACTTCCGACATGCAGGACAAGTTGTTTCAGAAACAATTCAGGTTGGATACTGGGAAGGACTTCCCAAACAGTTATGAGACAAGGGCAGCTGTTACTGGGGGAGCTACAGGATCCTTTGCCCTGAAAAGATTTATAAATAAGATTGCCAGAAACATCGTCTAAGATAAGTACCCCTAATAGCTCACCTTTCCAAAGGACTTGGCAAGGCATTTTCACACCCCTCCTCATCTGTTTCTGGCAGGCAGTCACGTTTCACTACACTCATTTTCACAGAGGAAGAAAATAGGCTCAGTCATCCAGTGAATTGACCAAGGTCACATAGCACCAACTGAGGAGCTGGGCCCACAGCTGAGGTCTCTGGACTCCTATTCTGGTGCTCTGTGCACCTGATACTGCATCTGGCATTGGGGGTGGAGAGCTGCCCTGGATGCCTCTGGAAGGTCCTGCCCAGCAGAGAGAGGATGAGAAACCTGTCTCAGGGCTGCCCCATCCTCTTCGTGTCCTTGTTCTTAGTCCAGGGTCCTTTCACCAAAACAAATTAAATCCAGGCCCGAGCTGTGTGTCTGGAGCCACCACTGGCCTTCTGAAATTCTTCTTGGTGTGGGGCTGAGTGGATAAAGGAGGACCCTGCAGGGCTGCTGGCATCATCAGGCAGGAGTGGCACTTCGTCTGCTTCTTCCCAGTTATTGCAAGTTCTTCCCAGGTTCCCTTCCATTTCCCAGCAGATGCTAAATGGAGAAGAGGAAAAAAGTGCCCTCTAAAGCTTGGTTCATGGGGATATTCCCGTCTTTGGGTTTGGAGAGATTAGAATTTGAAAGGAGTGGGGGTTATGCCTATGTATCTGTGCGTACATGTGTGGTTTGGGAACAGGCAACTTCTGCTTCCTAATAAAAAAAAATTAAAGCTTGAAAGGGATTTGTTAAATCAACTAAAGGGGGCCCTTGGGGTCTCCATCTCTCTTCTGTGCAAACCCTTGCCCAGTGTGTAAATGAATGAGGACCGCATGGATTTGACTTCACTGAGAAATGGCACTGGCTTATAAAATCCAGGGAGAAACATCATCAAGAGCCAGGTTTGTTTTCATCTCTCTGTCCACACACTCCCAGCAGCTTGTTCTAGCCGCTCCAGCCTCCAGGCAGTGGGGTATTTGCATGTTTGGGTGAGAGAAGGAGGAAGAAAAGTCACAGTCATGAATCAACCAAGCCCAGGCCATGTGAGCACTTGGAAGAAAGGAGACTCATCACTTTATTTACCAAAAAGGGGCTGGGTCCTGCTCCCCAGATGTGAGGATTCAGCCTGCAAAATGGAGCGGGAGGTAGATACTTAGATCCCCAGTGCATGGCTTCAAAGCAATAGCGAGAGTAACTTTGTCTTCCTTTCCATTTCTCCAGTCTTCCTCTTAGGGCCTGATTACCAATGTGATGTACAGGATGATGCTGGTCTAGAAAACATTCCCCTCAAAGGAAGCCCATGGCCTTTGTGGGGAGGAATCAGTAGGGGGTCGGGGGGCACACTGTTGGTGTGCATTGGGGGGATCTGGTAAAGACCTCCTAAAACCCTTGGAATCTACTGAGTGATAAAAGTCTCTGGAGTGTTAATGAGGTGACTCTGAAGAGTGAGTTCAGTTACCAATGGCCAATGATTCACTCGATCATGCTTATGAAATTAAACTTTCATAAAAATCCCTAAGCCACAGAGTTTGGAGAGCTTGCAGGTGGGTGAACAGGTTGAGGTTCTGGAAAGGTGACATGTCTCAACTCAAGAGGGCGTGGAAACTCTGCTCCTCCCTACCCCCCACCCTGTGTACCTTGCCCTACACGTCTCTTCCATTTGGTTGCACCTGAGTTGTACCCTTTATAATAAACTGGTATATGCTTGGTGATTCGGTATGAACTAATTACTGAACTCCAGAGGGGACCCTGAGAACCCCTGACTGGTGGTGGGTGGGTCAGAAGTATGGGTGGTCCCTGGGACTAGTGACTGGCATCCGAAGGGAAGGCAGACTTGTGGGACTGAGGCTGAAAGCGGTGGAGTCTCATGTGAACTCTGGGCAGTTCGTGTCTGGACAGGACTGAATTGTAGGACACCCATTTGTGCTGGAGAATTGCAGAATGGGTTTGGTGGCAGAAGCGGTGGGAGAGAGGGAGAGGGAGAAAGACAGCTTCTGTCTCTTCTCATAAGGACGCTAATCCTATTGGATCAGGGTCCTACTCTCATGACCTCATATAAGCTTATTTACCTCCTTAAAGGCCCTGTCTCCAAATGCAATCATACTGGGGCTTGGAGCTTCAACAGATGAATTCTGTGGGAAGACACACACTCAGTCTATGGCAGGCAGGGAGCTGGGGTGATGAGACTCGGGTCTGACTGGGCCCCTTCTTGCTTTGCAGGGACTTCAGAGGGAGAGCCAGCTCCCTCCGCATGGCAGAGGGTCTCTGCCTTCTAGAGGGAAACAAACATGCCCTCTGCCCTGCTCCAGGTGTCCAGACCACACGGTCCCAATCCACCCATGAATGCTCTCAGTCACATCTTCCAGCTTAGGGGAGAGAATGCTCGGTAACCCTCTTTCCCCTGCAGCCTCCAGCCCTGTTTCCCAAGCCTTGTTCTAAGAGGAAAGCAGAAGCGCAGACAAGTCACACAGCTTGTCCAGGCTCATACAGCATCTGGTGGCTGTTTCTGGGAACAAGAACATACGTCTCCTCTTTCTTGGGAAAGTGTTAAAGCAGCCACAGGCCCAGTGGCTTCTCCCATCTCTAGGAGAGCACGGGGTATCCTGGTGCCACACCCCCCTTTCTCTCCCTGGCTGCTTTTTTGTCTGACAGTGGGCCTGGTACCTGTGTCCTGTGAACTTTCAAGGGCCTCCAGAACTGCTGGATACCTGAAAAAAGAATCGATTGGCTCCAAGATGCAAAAAGGGAACTGCAAAATCAAAATTAATAAATGATTACAGGTCTACAAAACATGCCAACTAGTCAACAGCCACTTAACTCCTAGTTGTATCCAAATTATAATTAGTGTAGAATGTGTCTGCAGTTTAAGAAGACTGATATGCTCTGGGCCTCCAAATATCAGACTGAATAGCATACGGAGGACCCTGGCCCTCCTCGTCTCTGCCTCTGACTCAGAAAACTCAAGAGGGATGGGAAGGCTAATCCCTCCCTGGGGAGGGGCTCAGATGCACTCCCGTTACAGGGGTCCTGGACTACCCCCTCCATGAAACTTTACATAACTCCCATTCTTTGTCTTTCGGGGCAATGTTTCCAAACTACAGTTGATCCAAACATCACTTGGGGGTTGGCTTTAGGGCAGGGTCACACCTGAATATCCCTAGGTTGAGCCTCCAAGTTTCCTGGGCTCCATCTGTGTATGGATGACTAAAGGGACCACCAAGGCAGTGAAAACTCCATGTTTACTCAACAAGACCCAACAAATATTTGTGCCAGGCATTATGTTAAATGCAGGGGGTCCCAAAGGGAGCAAGCTTACCCCCTTCCTTCATGACGCTTGTGTCTAATAGAGGATAACCGCCAGCATTTGGGCCATAACTGTTCCTCATTTGATTCTTACAAAAACCCTGGGAGCAGACAGGGCAGGTGTTAGTTTTTAGTTCAGAAAACGGGGATCTGAGAAGGCATTCCAGGTGTCTAAGGTGGCAGCTGAAGAGCCTGGAGTGAACCCCCCAGGTCCTGTCTCCACATGCCCACTTCTCCCGACTCCATCAGGCTTCCCAGCCATGGTTGCTGCGGGCTGCCGGGACACTAAGGAGAAGCGTCTGGGTGGGCTGCTGTCTAAGGCCACTGGCTTCAGGACCCCCCTCAGCTCCAGCTGAGCCCTGTGTCCAGTGAGGCAGGGGTGGCTGCCGCCCACTGCAGTGCACAGCGACCTCTTCTGTGAACCTCCTAAGCTATGAGGAACTAATTAGCTATTTATTTCAGCCAATTCATTATGTTCTCTTTGAACCTCGCTTCCCTTTCCCCAGAAAAGCTGCCCTGGAATTTGTTTGAGTGTTGCAGGCAAAATGTGCTTGCAGGCTGCATTCCGGAGCCAGCTTCGTGCTTCTCCCCTTGGCTGCCACGTCTCCCTCCCATCCCTCCCTCCTCCGGGCCTCCTCTGTCACTGCAGCCTTCAGCCGGGGATGGATGGGAGCGGCCTGCGGCTCTGTGCCGAAGCACAGGTCCTGCCTGTCCTGTCTTCCAAGGCGCTAAATCACCCCTCTGCCTCCGCCCCCGGGGGCCGCAGCCTCTATCTCCTGCATCAACGCGTCCCCCGTGCTCCATCAGGGCTCTGGGTTCTGCAGCAAATCCTTTGTCTCCAGCTTCAATCCCTCCCGACGCCCAGTTCAATCATCCTCAGCGCCAGCGCCGGGCTGAGCTCTGCTCTAGCCCTCCCTGTTGGTTCTGCCCCCTGATGGCCCTGCCCTGGTCCTGCCGTCTGCTCCAGCAGACCCCCTCACCCCTAGCCACCCCAGATGAAAGCCCACCACTTCCTGCTGCCCCTCCGCTTGTTCCCCAGCCACCCTCCCTTGCACCACATTCTACCACCCAATGTGCTTGACTGGGCCTGTGCAAGCCACTTTCTGAAACTGAGAGAGGCCGGGAGGTAAGCGCAGTGGGAAGATGGGAGGGATCACAGGGGAGCGCTCCTCCTCCCAGCCTCCAGACGCTGCGGGTGCTGGCCACGGTGGGATGACCTGGCCAAGCCAGCTGGGAACACCTTAGAAACCATGGCCTAGTTCTCCTCTCAACCTCTCCCAGCCCCAAATAGGCAAGCACCAGAAAATGCAGTTTCACCACAGGACACCCTCTCTCTCTAGCTTAGTAGCCCCAGTGTGGGGCTGCGCGACGGGACCTGGGTTGAAATGTTGTAATTTTCAGAACATATCATTAGGAACTCCCCAAGATGGTGGCCTGGGCCCACAGGTTCCCTGGGAATCCAGTTGCTGTGGCAACAGGAAAGCATCCCACGGAGGCAGGGCGAGGTGGCCTGGAAAGTGCAGAGGCTGTCTGTGGTGTTACTGCCTGGGGACCGGAGGCCTTTGTGCCCTCCTTCCCCCAGCTCAAGAGAAGTGGCCTTTCTAGAGCACAGGTGGGTAGCCATCCTGTGGTGGGCATAGGGGACACCCAAGTCTGTTCTTTTAGCAGAAATGGCAGGGGAGCAGTAGAAATGGTACCACTGCAAATTCGGTCTGTCATCTGGGGGCGGGGGGGTGGGGGGCGGTCCTGTGGGATGTGGTGTACAGAAATAGAAGAATTATCCCCCAATTCCAAACCTGTGACTCATCTGTCTGGCCAGAGCTCGCCTGTGGCAGTCTTTCCAAGGCCATCTAATGGGAAAGGCTTTATCCTAGAGCTCACAACCTCCGAGTTAGGGTCATGCTGAACACCTGCCTCCCCCTTAACAGCCCATTCAGACTCATTCATGAGTGTCCTAAACCATTCCATTACCTCGTTATGTTTTCTGACTGTGATACTTCTTAGGGAAATAAGCTCCCTGTACCAGCTGCCCAGAGGAGCATTTCCCTCTGACCTGTCCTGTGACCATTTGATGTAGGCTGTGAAGGACTCCCTTAGCGTCAATGTTTTGGGATTTAGTGAACTACTCTCCAGCTGACTGTTCCAACCCTTATGATGCTACACATTTTCTTTTTTTTAAGACAAAGTCTGGCTTTATCGCCCAGGCTGGAGTGCAGTAGCATGATCTCGGCTCACTGCAACTTCTGACTCCCGGGTTCAAGCCAACCTCCCACCTCAGCCTTCTGAGTAGCTGGGACTACAGGCACGTGTCACCACCATGCCTGGCTAATTTTCTTGTATTATCATCATTATTATTATTTTTGTAGAGATGGGGTTACACCATGTTGCCTAGGCTGGTCTCAAACCAGTGAGCTCAAGTGATCCACTCGCCTCGGCCTCCCAAAGTGCTGGGATTACAGGCACTGAGCCACTGTGCTTGGCCGATGTTACACAATTTAATTTCAAGAATGAATATTTTAGAGTGCCTGCTGCTTCCATATGACTTTAAAATATGATCTTATTTATTCCTCGGGACCATGTGAGGTAGAAATTATAATCCCTATTTCAAAGATGAGGAAACCAACTCGAGGAGGGTTGACTTGTCCACCCAGCTAGCCCAGGCAGGGTTAGAATCTGAACTCAGGTCTGAATATTACTAGCAGTCCTTTCCCCACGGAGGCTCAACTACTTCTAACCCTATTGGTCCTGGAAGGGCGAATACAAGTTTAAAATAAGAAACTTAATTCTCCCTGCTGAAAATAAGAGAAGAGACTTCTCCCCCTCTTTCTTTTCATATCAGAATTTCTTTCTAGGTCCTTTTCAAACATACATAAATCTTTATAATGGTGAAATAAGCCTCTTGCCAGTCATGGTTCAAGTTACCTGGTAGCCATTTTTTGAAATCCTAACATTGGAGGAGAGAGTGTCCCCTCTCTCCCAGTTCTTGTGAGAGAGTAAGAGCCTAACTTTGGTGGGTCTCCTGCTTCTATTTGCAAAACTTGTTTTTCCTCTGGATAAAGCCAATAAGCTAACAGATGGTCACCCTAATTACCAGGTGAAGTTAGGACGAGCTATGTGTTACAAATGGGGATGTTGTAAAAGTTGCCAGTACCGAAATGGAGTCACCTATGTCAAACGCTTAACCAAACGGAGATGAGGGAGGCCATAAGGAAGCTGTCACACACACATCCCTGTAACAGGACTATCACAAGAACTTCCTCAAGATTGCAGTGTTCCAGCTAAGCCACTCACACAAGGACACTCACCTTGCAATGGCTGATGAACAAAGGCTGGCTCCTACGACAAGCTTGTGACCTGTGATCTTTGTTTCAAAGCGGCTTGTGTGGACTTCTCTGTGTCTTTAAGACTCCCCTTTGCCCTGACTCCTCTGGATATGCCTGTGGTCTGTTATAACACACATATCCCAGATTGCAATCTTCTGCTATTCCCAAATAAACTCATTTGTTCTGGAGAGCCTGTCTTTCTGCATTTCTTTTTAGGTTGAAGTTTTCGGGCCCTCTTCCTTGAGGACTAGTTTCTGTTTATCTTGAAAACATGTATGCAGTGGATTGTATCTATCTGGCTATATAGGAGTTGAGATTGCATTTTGCATTCTGTCTCTGCAATCTCTCAGTGGATTGCCTGTGATGTATATCACATCCTGGTTTAATGCTTACTCAATAATAAAACTGTTTTCTGTCTCTACTACCTTTGAGGAGAGGTTTTCTAGGTTGAGAGAAGATTTTGTTTTCTTAATTATATTTCTCCAACATTCTCCCTGGCCTCTGCTTGCTTTCCAGCTACAGATTTTGGGTCTTCCGAGTCTGTCTTTCTCACCCCTGCCTCCTCTAAGACCCAACTTCCACTGACCTCCGGCTCCCATCTCTCTGGGGTGTGACCTCTGTTCTGAATTCCGCCTTGCTGGTGTGTTCATTAGACATCAGATCATGTTAAGGGGTGTCCCTCCCTGCCTTCTTAGGGAACCCTTGGGCCATTCAACATTTCGATGGAGACTTCAGTAGCAATAGCTTTTTAGCCCACAGAGCTGCCTTTATGTCATTCACCTTTTCAAAAATGTTGAAGATCTAGGAGGTAAAGTCACAACTTGGTCATATGGGGACACTACAGCAGACTCAGCCTCCCTTCCAGCTGTATCTTCTGCTGCTCTTCCAATCCATCTCCCTATTCCCCAGGCCCCTCAGTCCACTCAGTACAGGACTCATTCAACAGGGCCTCACTTCATTCCCTCCAGTCTGGAGTGTTTCCTCCTCTGCTCCTCACCTGGGCAAGGTCTACCACAGCTACCAAGGTCTTCCTCCTGGAAGCCTTCTCACTGGGAGGACCTGCTCCTGCACCTTGGGCCATCACCTCCGTGTTTTGTCTGGTCAGAGCTTTCCCCCAGGTCTGCAGCATGCGTGCTGCAGTAGACAGTTCTTTGAGGACAGGACTCCTCTCTCTGCTTCACATTCCCCACCTACACCAAGCCCAGGCTCATACCTGGCTCCCTGCATTCATTTTCAGGCTGGACCATCCTTGGTGACGTGGTGGCTTCTACAGTCTCTAGCTGCGAGGGCCAGGGTTTCCCAAAGAGGAGGAGCTGCACGGCTTTACGTTTCTTCCTCCTCTGCTGTTTGGGGGTCACTGACCCTTTCTCAGCTAATCGGTAGGTGGAAATGTAGCCATCCCACTTGGGCCACCCAGCGCACAAGGCCTTCTTGCTCCCTTTCTCTCTCCAGAGTAATAAACAGAGTTGTTACCAGGTGCTTCTCACAGCCTCCAGTGCTGGCAGGTTATTTATATGCAAATTTGCCTGTCTGTGGTTGTGGAGGCTCATAAACATGATAACAGCAGCTTCTGTAGGGGCTGGGACGTGATGGAGGGTGGGGAGAGGCCCTCTAGCTTCTGCGGGAGAAGTTAATATGGGATTAGCCACAACCAATTAGATGGTATCAAACCCAAAGGGATCCAACAGTTTAGCTAAACTGAAGATTGGGCTGAAGGAGGGGGGCTGCGGCTGTCAGGAGGGCCTCAGCAGACCCCTTCCCCAGGAAGCCAGGCTTCCGGCAGCATCTCAAGTCCCACAGGCCTTGGTAAGGAAAGGCCAGGAGAGGGAGGGCATCACCCTGAGCTTCTCACAGGCCCAACATCCTGGCGGGAAGCCTCCTGGTTTGGGTGGGGCTTCGGCGGGGGTGCGGCTGGGGATGAGGGAAAGCTGCTCGGCTGGGCAATTAAGCTGCGTGCTTTCCTGCTTTGGCCCCTTGGCCAGCAAGCAGTTCTGCCCATTGCTCTGCTCGGTAACTGTGACTCATCCTCTGGGACTCTCCTTCACGTCACCTCCCCTGGAAAGCCTTGTTTCCCCTGTCCTGGTCTGAAGTCCCACAGGACTTTGTCCATGCCTCCCATGTGTCACTCATTACACTCTATGTCTGTCTCCCCTCTAGACTGCGACTGCTTGAAGGCTATACAACATTGCTTCATTGGTCTTTGACTCTGCAGGGCATGGTACAGTGATCAGTGCAAAGTAAACGGTCAGTAAGAGTCTTTTTGAGGGGATGGAAAGGAAACACAAAGAAGCCAAGATTTGTACCGCTTTTGTGGTCTTGGGTAAATTCTTTCACTTTTTGAGATTTAATTTCCTTATCTGCAAAATGGGGATAACACTTTCTCATCTGACTGTCTATGCACTGCCATTGTAAAGCTTGGCCCTTAGCAGTTTGCTTAGCTAAGTTGGTTATGTTTCTCTTGCTAGGAACTGCTTCCCTTCCCACCCCTCCAGGGCATCAGGCCATGGGTCAGATATTCTCTTGTCTCTCAGAGGAGTCTGTTCCTGGGGAAGGTAATCAAGTAAGAGGAATTCGACAATCAGGAAAGCAGAGGTTTCTGCATAATGGAGAGCAGGGACGGAGAGGAGAGTTGGTTGGTGAAAGGAGGCACCTTTTTATTTTTACTGCATCCCTAAGCAGTAGCAGGAAGTGCGGGAGGAACGGTGATGAAGAATGTGAAGAGAAGGAGCTGTGAGCCTGGAGCCAGGGGTGGCGGTGCTGGTCTGCTCCCTGGCCCAGTCAACAGGTAGGAACTAGCACCTGCTATGCCCTCGGCCCTCGCCAGGCAGCTGCCCTAGACCCAGCAGAGGAGACCAGAGTGAGGCTGCAGAGAGAGTGGCTGTTGCCCTCAATTTACTTACAACTGAGGAGGCTGCTGCCAGGTCCCCTAGATTCTGCTCTAGGAATCCATCCCTGTTGACCCCATGGGCATCTGGCCACTTCACACTCCTGCCAATGTGCTGTGACAATGCATTCTGCTTCATCTGGTGCTCCAGCCAGTCCTCACAGGCTCAGGCTGGAAGAAGCCGTGCAGAGAATCAGGTTCAAAGCACTAGTTTTACCAACGAGGAAAATGAGGCCGGAGAGCCCGTGGGATGGGCTCTGTCTCACACCCCTCTTTGTGGCCCAGCCCGGCCCTCTGAGTCCATGCTGGAGGCTGGAGCCTGCTCTGAAGATTTCCCATCAGTGCAAAGGGTGGTCCGCTCCCTTCGGCACCAGACTTGGAGACACTCTCACTGGCCAGTGCTCAGGCAGGAGAGGCCAATGGGGCACTTGGCAGCAGGGTTGCCACTTGATTTCTTTCTCTCCCCCAAGGGTTGTCAAGGTGCCAGTTCCTGGCTGGGGTGGGAGTCACAGCTGTTTGTGGCTCAGATCTATGGGGACTTTCTCTCCCATGAAAGAAAGAGAGAACGCATCCTCTCCTCTATTGTGACTAGTAGCACCACCCATTTCCCCATCAGTCCAAGTGGAAACCCACAAGCCATTCTCCACTCCTTCCTCTCTTCACCTCCATAACCAATCACTCACCAAGTCCTGGGGACCTCAGCCTCCCTTGAACCCCCGGACATCTCATAAACTCTCTGAATTCGGTCATTCCTCTCTTTAATTCTTAACCTCAACACTCTCTGGCTAGGCCCAGGCCTTCAAATACAAAGAGGCAGAAAGGCCTGGCAACTTCTTTTTTTTTTTTTTTTTTTTTTTTTCTTCAAGACACACAAAAACATTGTCAGCTCCCCCTGTGGCAAGGAAAGCCCAAGTCTCAAAGACATAAAAGCCTGGCTCCCTTCCTGGGGTGGGAGTGAGGAGGAGAAGAGCTGAAATACCTTTCATTCTTTAGCAAGAGCCTACAATGGAGAAAGCAAGATACAGCTAGTCTCTCTCAATAGGCCATTTGGCCACATTACATTCTTGGTAAACCACTCTGCTACATTTCTATTAAAACAAGTCCCATCATGTCTCCTCTCTGCCTAAGATCTTTCAATGGCTCCCATTGCCCTCTGGATAAAACCCAAGCTTCCAGCCACATAACACATGTCAGGATCTGGCCAGGGCTTATTCCTCTGGCCCTGGGATTACTGCTTCCTTCCCTCTCTCTGCTGTGACCAAACCAATCTAGAAGTCAACCATTTGTTTAAGGCACAGAATGCTCTCTCTCAGTCTCTCTTGCTCTCTCTTGGTTCCTCGGACACACTATTCCTTCAGCCTGGAACACCTTCCATCCTTTGTTTGAGCTCCTCTTCATCATTCAAGATTCAGAGGGTAGGCCTGTTGCACAGTGGAGGCTCAGTAAGTGTTAAGTGAGTTCCACTCTCTGAGATGCCCAAGAAATCTGAGATGAGCCCCATAGTTGTATCCAGGGCACCATATAGCTGCTTTATCCTTGAAAGTATTGGTATTAGCCCAAATATCAGGACTAGCTCGTTTATTTTTATGAGACTCATAGTTTCCTATGCTAACTTTAAAATAATTTGATGGAGGAAGTGTCAATGCAGAGGGAATCAGGTCAGGAGCCTTTATTCCTAGTGAGGAAAAGAGTGGCTCTCTCCTGTTCTCTCCCACATTAGTGTCTCCAGTGAGAACCATTATCTAAGTTCAGGGGTCTCTCTTGAGCCTGAGGGAGGCTTTCCCCAACTCCCAGGATCACACTGAAGTTCCTGACCCTGAAGAGCATCAGATCTAGGGCAAAGCTTAGCCCAGAGAGAGCTACTGGAACAGTATTTGTGCCTCCGGGTGCCTAGGCTCATTCAAGTCCCAAGTGTGACTGTCCAAGAAGCAGAACGAGTGAGCAGTTTCCTGAATTATTTTCACCATTCTTGTCCTGCAACCCAACCCACACCTAAGCCATGAGGGGCCTGAGAAAGAAGCAGCCAGGGAGCACCCCCCGGGAGGGCTTTGCAGGCCATCCTGATTCAGCACAGCCCATTAGCCGGGTGGACCAGAATCCCTGGGAGAGGCCCCTTGGGGTAGAGGACACAGAGGGTCATTCCAGAAGGACACACTGTGGCTGTTGAGCATGGGATCCTTCTTCCTCAAGTGCTCACAGGGGTTCATTACATCCTCTTTCTCTTGACCCGTTTCTTGACCATCCTAAACAATGGACAATGGCTGAGGATGGTTAGGGCAAGGGTGACCCCAACTCCTAGAGCTATGTGTGAGGTTGCTCATAGATGAGCTGCACCATGGCCTTTTATGTCCTGCTTCAGTGCCAGTGGACAGCCCTTGCTGCTGACCACATTATTGAGCTTGTCACTGCCTGGGAAGGAGCAGCTGCATTTGTCCTCAGTGACAACCTCAGAGTCCCCAGAGACACACTAAAGTTAGCTTGGCTGGTCAGAGGGTCTCTGGGACAGCATTCGGTGATGAACACATCCTTGGAACTGCTGGGGAAAGAGGGTGGGGACTCTGAACTTGAGCACTTGAGTAGCCAAGGCATGTGGCAGTAGCCCAGGATGGGAGAGCAGGCATTTTCGGGTTGACATGCTCACAGTACCCTCCCCAGGAAGCATTCCTGGGCAGGTCCACCAGGCATCCCATTTCCCCATCAAAACCTCCTGGAACAATGGTTTCAATGGCATTCCCATCCTCTCAGCTACCAGCACCCAAAACCTTGGAGTCAATCTTTTTTGATAGGTCTCCATATCAATTTGTCACTGGGTCATTTCCATTTCTCCTAAGCCATATGCTTTGTTTGAGGCCATTTCCTGGGTTGACACCCTAGGGGGACTTCAGACTCTAGACTCTGGATCCTCTGGTCTACTTTTCATGCAAATGCCCACATGACTCTTCCTCACATTTTGCTGTCATCATGAGGCTTCCACACTCAAAAACCTTCCATGGCTACCTCCTTCCTTGCCCATAGAATCAAATGTGCTATCAAATTCTTTCTTGCCTATTCATCCTAATATTCTTCTGTTCTTACCCTGGTCACCAATGACCTTCACATTGGCAAATCAATGGCCTCTTTTCAGTCTTCATCCTACGTGACGTTTTGTGAAGCTCTCCTCTCCTCAGATTTCCTTAGAAACACTCGTTCTCATTTGTCTTCCTGTCTCTTGGCCGGCTCCTGCTCAGTTTCTTAGATCACTCCTGCTTTTAAAATTTTTCCCCAGCTTAAATATTGTTGTTTCCCAATTTCTCATCCTTGGAGCTTTCTTCTGCCTCTATTTGTCTCTTCTTGGGTGATCCCATTCAACTCCAGAGCTGCAGCCACTGCCTATTTGCTGTTGATTTACAAATCTGCATCTTTAGTGATCTCCAACGAGGCATGTGCCAGATGATCTCTTGGGGTATGAGAAGAAAAATATCACATTTATTTTTATCTAAAAAGTAAGGAAAAAATAAGCTTTACAAGGATTTAATATACATATTGGCATAGATATTAATTATGAACAAATATAAATATATTGGGGTTTATGTGCTCAAAAATATTGTGCTAACAGGGGTCCATAATCCATTCTGAGGGGTGTATGGCAGAGATTCCTAACCACCCCTTCTCCTCTTCTTTCATAGCGATGAAATAAACCATGTATGTGGCTGCCTGGAATAATGACTACACTGCCCTGCCTCCCTTTCAGCTAGATGCACGCTTCTGACCAGTTTCTGGGATGTGAGCAGCAGCAATGTGTGCATGTCTTAGCATTATGCCCCCAAAGGGAAGGAGCTTGGTCTCCCTTGCCCAGTGCACCCTTTCTTCTGGCTGGTGTGTAGGTGGTAGTGAGGCATCTTGGACTACGCATATGCAACCAGATGGAGGAACCTGGGCCTTGACCCCTCAGAGCATTATGTCAGTCCTTATGCTTGTGATTCCTTATGCCGATGAGAGAGTGGATCCTTATCTCATTTATGTCACTGTTATTTTGGGGTTTTGCAACAGCAGCTGAGTCTGTAGCCTATCAAATATAAGATATGTGGATTACCTTGGTCTGGATTTCTCTTCTGGGCTCTCAACCCATATATACACCTGGCATCTGTAAGCACAAGATGTCTGAGGCAGATCTCTGTATATCCTCCCTCCCACCACAATCTGCTCCTCCCTTAACCCTGTTTGGGCTCATTGCATCCCTTTCACTGCAGCAGGGTTCCCTGAGGACTCCTGGCTGAGATGCAGAGCTTAGCTGCTTGCATGCTTGCAGGGCTGGGGGCCTTCAGGGTGTTAATCTTCTTCAAGTCATATCCCCCAAGCTGGCCTACGGAGGCAGAAGGAAGTTCTTTTTGTCTTCAAGGGAGTCTTCAAGGGAGGCTGAAGGGGACATGAATGGAAGGAGATATCCAGGATCATGGGGGGAATGGGGTAGTAGGAGTCCCTGATCTGACCTCTTGGACTTCCTTGGGGCTCTGACGGGGAGAGGATGGAGGCCTGAGGCTGATGGGTCTCATTGCAGACTTTCGACACAAGCTGGGCTGCCTCAGTCTTGGGTAACCAGGCAGGACGGAAGTGCAGAGCAGGCTCTTCTTCCTGCCGTAGAGCCCGCCCTGCTCTGGCATGTGAAGATGAGCATCAGGAGATAGCATCTTTGGTGTGAACATTGGTGTTTCATGATTAGGGACCATTGTAGGGCAAACCAGGAAGGGCAGAAATGATGCTATAAAGACATAGAGCAAGATTGCATTTCCCAGCCCCCTTGTAGCTAGATGAGATCATCAATCTGAGTTATGGCCAAAGGAGAGTGGGCAGAAGTTATGTGCTCCATTCCTAGGCCTCGCCCTCATCTCGTCTGGTTCCATTTCCACAATCTTTCATTTGCTGACTGGCTAATGCTGGGTTGATGTTCAAGCTACAGGATGGTGGCAGCCTAGGTCTCTGGTACTACTAAGAGGAGAACCTCCCAGGAGAGTCGTCCAACCAGGAACATCCCAAATATATGTTATGAGCAGAAATTAATTTTTATTATGTCAAGCCACTGAAATTTTGGGGTCATTTGTTACAGCAGCTACCATTTATTTTCCTAACTAATAGAGTTCTCTAGTGACTTTGTGAGTGAAGGACAGTGACAGACGGGAGGTGAGGCAGAGAGGGAACAGGGGCATTGTGTATCGACTGGAGCTGGCAGGCAGAGGTCCAAGTGTCTGTGTGAGGTTCCCTTTAGGGACATCTAGGAGATGAGATCTCATTAACCTCTGAGTCTGGATGACCCTTCTCCACAAGAGATTTGTGCTTTCCCCTTCTGTGGGCTCTGTACAGACATTTAAAAAGTCCATGCATTTCTCTGTCTCTCTCCCTCTCTCCTTCTCTCTCTCTAATATGTATATATATTATATATAAATGTATATATGAAATATACATTCTGTATACATATACATTTCCATATACATTTTTTAAAACAATTTACACTTAAAAAACAAACTCATTTATTGGAAGCTTGCCCTATGGAATTATAAACTGCATGTGCTTTTATAAAAATTAAACCTTTTTGGTTGGGCGCGGTGGCTCATACCTGTAATCCCAGAACTTTGGGAGGCCAAGGTAGGTGGATCACCTGAGGTTAGGAGTTCAAGACCAGCCTGGCCAACATGGTGAAACACCATCTCTACTAAAAATACAAAAATTAGCCGGATGTGGTGGCACGTGACTGTAGTCCCAGCTACTTGGGAGGCTGAGGCAGGAGAATGGCTTGAACCCGGGAGTCAGAGGTTTCAATGAGCCGAGACTGCGCCATCACACTCCAGCCTGGGTGACAGAGCAAGATTCCATCTCAAAAAAAAAAAAAAAATTAAATCTTTTCTTTTGAGAGAATTGTGGATTCACAGGCAGTTGGAACAAATAATACAGAAAGATCCCATGTGCCCTTTACCCAGCTTCTCTGATGGTAACATCTTGCAAAACTATAGTACAGCATCAACCAGGTTACTGACATTGATACAGTTCAGATACAGAACATTTCCACCCCCACAAATGACCCTCGTGTTGCCTTTGTGTAGCCACACCCACCTCTCTCCCATTGCCCTCTCCATCCCTAGCAACCCCTAATTTGTTCTGCATTTCTATAATTTTGTCTCTTCAAAAATGTCGTATAAATGGAATCATACAGTATGTAACCTTTTGGGATTGGCTTTCATCACTCAGCATAATTCTCCAAATTGTTGCATCTACCCAGAGCTTGTTCCCTTTTTATTGCTGAGAAATATTCCATGAAATGGACTTACCACAGTTTGTTTAACTATTCACTGATTGAGGGACATCTGCATTGTTGCTAGGTTTTGGCTATTATGAATGAAGCTGCTATAGCATTCACTTACAGGTTTTTGTGTGAACAGAGTTTTTATTTCTCTGGGATAAATGCCCAGGAGTTCAATTATAGGTTATATGATAGTTGCAGTTTTAGTTTAGTTTATTTTTTTCTCCTTTAATGAAACTGCCAAACTGTTTACCAGAGTGGCTATATCATTTTACAATCCCACCAGCGATGTATGAGTGCAGTTTTTCTGTATCTTTGTAAGCATTTGGTATTGGCACTATTGTTTATTTTACCCATTCCGATAGGTATGTTGTAGCATCTTATTGTTATTGGTTCTAATTTGTATTTCCCTAATGGCTAATGATGTTGATCATCTTTTCATGTGCTTATTTGCCATTAGTACATCTTCTTTGGTGAAATGTCTCTTCGTGTCTTTGCTCATGTTCTAATTGAATTGTTTGCTTTTTTTTTTTTTTAAACCACAATGTAATCAAGAACCCAATTTAGTCAAGGTGACATTTAATTTGATTGTTTACTTTTTTTTTCACTATTGAGTTTCGAGAATTCTTTATATATTCTAGATGCTAGTCTTTTGTCTGATATGTGGTTTGCAGATATTTTTCCCACTCTGTAGCTTGTCTTTTCACCCTCCTAACAGGGTCTTTCATGGAGAAAAAGTTTTTAATTTTGATGAAGTTCAATGTATTGATTTTTCTTTTTATGGGCTGTGCTTTTGGTGTTAAGTCTAAAAGCTCCTTGCTTAGCCTTAGATCCTAGAGATTTTCTTCTGTGTTATTTTCTAAACTTTTTATGTTTTTACATTTTTCATTTAAGTCCCTAATCCATTTTGAGTAAATTACTGTAAAAACTGCATTAAGTCCATGATCCATTTTGAGCTAATGATGGTACAAACTGTTTGACTTAGGTCAAGGTGGGTTTTTCTTTTTCTTTTTGGCCTGTGGATGCCAATTGCTCCAGCACCATTTGCTAAAAAGGTTATTTTACTCCACTGAATTTCTTTTACATTTTTGTCAAAATCAGTTGGGGATATATTTTGGGTCTAATTATAGATTCTCTATTTGTTTTATTTATCTAGATATGTATGACTCTCCAAATACCACAGTGTCTTAATTATTGTAGCTATATAGTAAATCTTAAAATTGGGTAGGCTGATTCTTCCCACTTTATTTTTCAAAATTGTTTTTGTTGGAGAGAATTGAATCTTTACTATGCAGAGTTTTCCAGTCCATGAATACCATATGGCTTTCCATTTACTTAGATCTTTGATTTCTTTCATCAGCATTATGTAGTTTTCAACATAAGTCCTATGCATGTTTTGTTGGATTTATAGTTAAGTAATTAATTTTTTGAATGATTAAAAATAGTATTATATTTTTAAATTTTGGTGTTGAGTTTGACATTTCACTTTAGTATGCATTCAGTCTTCATAACTAAACATAATGTCAACTGTTGGTTCTTTGGTGGATGCTCTTTATCAAGCTGAGAAAGTTCCCCTTCATTTCTATTTTTCTGAGAGTTTTAAAAATGGATATTGAATTTTATCAAATGCTTTTTCTGCATTGATTGATATAATTATGCAATTTTTCTTCTTTAGCTTGTTAATATAGTGGATGACATTGATTGATTTTCAAAACATTGAACAAATTTTGCATCTCTAGAATATGCTCTATTTGTGGTATAATATATAATTCCTTCTATATGTTGCCAAATTAAATTTGCTAATATTTTGTTAAGGAATTTTACATCTACTCATGAAGGATATTAGCCTGTAGTTTCTTATTTTTATCCTTTATCTGATTTTGATATCAGGATAATCTGAGCTTTGAAAGATAAATTGGGGGCTGGGTGTGGTGGCTCATGCCTATAATCCCAGCAATTTGGGAGGCTGAGGCAGGTGGATCACTTGAGGTAAGGAGTTCAAGACCAGCCTGGCCAACATGGTGAAACCCTGTCTCTACTAAAAATACAAAAATTAGCTGGGCATGGTGGCACAGGCCTGTAGTCCCAGCTACTCAGGAGGCTGAGGCAGGAGAATCGCTTGAACCTGAGAGGCGGAGGTTGCAGTGAGCTGAGACTGCACCACTGCACTCCAGCCTGGGTGACAGAGTAAGACTCCATCTCAAAAAAAAAAAAAAAAGAAAAGAAAAGAAAAAAAAGAAAATTAAAAAGAAAAATTGGAAAGTTTACCTTCCTCGTCTATTTTCTGGAAGAGATTGTATAGAGCTGGTATTAATTCTTGCTTAAACATTTGGTAGAATTATCCTGTGAAGCCATCTTGGTATTGAGATTTCTTTTTTGGGAGTTTTAAAATTGTGAACTCAACTTCCTTGATAGTTATAGAACTATTCAAATGAAATTCCATTTCATATTGATTGAGTTGTGGTAGCTTGTATTTTCCAAGAAATTGAGCCATTCTGTCTAAGTTGTCAAATTTATGTGTGTGGAATTGTTGTGGTACTCCCTTATTATTCTTTTGATGTCTGTAGGGTCTTTACTAATAGCTCCTGTTTCATTTCTGATACTGGCAATTTGTGAGTTCTCTCTCTCTCTCCCTCTGTTTTTGTCAGAGTACCAGCTCTTTGTTTCATTGATTTTCTGTATTATTTTTCTCTTTTCAGTGTTATTGATTCTGCTCCTATCTGCATTATTCTCTTCTTTCTTCTTCCTTGGGGTATATTTTGCTTTTCTTTTTCTAGATTCTTGAATCAGAGATTATTGATTTGAGACTTTTCCTATTTTGTAATATATGCTTTTGGTGCTATGCATTTTCCTCTCAGTGGTGCTTTGGCTGCATCCCACAAGTTTTTATATACTGTAGTTCCATTTTCATTCACTTCAATGCTTTTAAAAAAATTTACCTTGAGGCTGGGTGTGGTGGCTCATGCCTATGATCCCAGCACTTTGGGAGGCCGAGACAGGCAGATTGCTTGAGCTCTGGAGTTCGAGACCAGTCTGGGCAACATGACAAAACTCTGTCTCTACAAAAATACAAAAATTAGCTGGGCATGGTGGTGCACTCCTGTACTCCCAGCTGCTCAGGAGGCTAAGTTAGGGGGATTGCTTGAGCCCAGGAGGTGGAGGCTGCCATGAGCTGAGATTGTGCCAAAACAAAAAACAAAACAAAACAAAACAAAACAAAACAAAAAAACACAACCATTTACCTTGAGATATCCTTCTTGACCCATGTATTATTTGAAGTGTGTTGTTTAGTTTCCAAATGTTTGAAGATTCTCCTATTATCTATTTTTATTTCTATTTTGATTTCATCATAGTTGGAAAACACACTCTGTGTGAGTTTAACTCTTTTAAATTATGTTCTAATTAATTCTGTTAACTTTGTCCTATGGGCTAGAATATGATCTATCTTGGTACGTATTTTATGGTCACTTGGAAAAAAATGTGTTTTCTATTGTTGCTAATTGAAATAATCTATAAATGTAGATTTACATCAGTTTACTCTCCCCTGTTTATAAGATAGTTGTGTTAAATATTTTCTCTTCATACATTTAGAACCACATTAGACAGTGTGATAATCTTTGCTTCAATCATAAAACATAATTTACAAAACTCAAGAGAAAAAGGAAAGCCCATCTACTCATAGTTTTGCTTACTATGCTCTTTCTTTCTTCCTGGCATTATAAGGTTTCTTCTTTTATCTTTTCCTTTCTTTTTAGAGGACTTCCTTTAGCCATTCTTTTAGGGTAGTTCTGCTTATGACAAATTCTTTTAGTTTTTCTTTATTTGAGAATGTCTTGATTTCTCCTTTATTCCTGAAAAATAACTTTTGCTATAGTATTCTGGGTTGCAGTTCTTTTCTTCCAGCACTTGAAAAATATTGTCCTATTTCCTTCTGGCCTCCATAGTTTCTGATGAGAAATCTGCTATAATTAAAATTGTCTTACCCTATAGGTAAAGTAGCTCTTTCTTTCTTGCTGCTTTCAAGATTTTTCTTTTTGTCTTTAGTTTTCAGAAGTTTAATTGTGATGTGTCGTCATGTGGATTTCTTTGAGTTTATCCTGTTTGGAGTTCACTCAACTTCTTGAATGTGCAGGTTGATGTTTCTTGCTTAATTTGGGAAGTTTTCAACCATTATTTCTTTGAGTACTTTTCAGCCTTGTCTACTTTCTTCTCTCCTTCTGAAACTTCGATGACTTGAATGTTAGATTTTTTTTTGTTATACTCCCACAGGTCCCTGAGGCTCTGTAAATTTTCCTTGTTTGTTTCAATCTATTTTCTCTGTGTTTCATAATGGGTAATTTCTGTCTTCCAGTTTATCAATTAATTCCCCTGTCCCCTGCATTCTTCTGTTGAGCCTACCCATTGAGCTTTCTATTTTGGTTACTGTATTTTTCTGTTCAAAAATTTTCATTTGGTTCTTCTTTTTATCTTCTACTTCTTTGCTGACATTTTCTATTTTTCATTTGTTTTAAGTGTGTTCATAATTGCTCATTGAAGCATTTTTATGATGACTACTTTAAAATCTTTGTCATATAATTCTAACATCTCTATTATGTCAGTGTTGGCATTTGTTATCTTTTTTCCCTTCAGTTTGAGATTATCCTGGATCTTGGTATAATAAGCAATTTCAATTGAAACCTGGACATTTTCATATTATGAGATTCTGGATCTTAAACTTTCTGTTTCTCTGAGGTAGAAGTCCAGGTTCCCCACTCAGTCTTTGTTGATGTCTGATTTGGGATGGAAGTAGGGAAGGTTCCTCATTTTGCTAGGCAGGGATAGAAGTTCCAGGTCCACAGCTGATCTCCACTGACACCATGGTGGGTATGTTCTTTTTACTAACAGGTAACAGTAATAGTTCAGACTCACCACTAGACCTCCTCTGGCACCTTTTACCTAGAGGGAAAGGCACCTTTTTACTGTTGTGTGGGGATGGAAGTCCATGCTTCCCAGGTCATCTCCAATAACATTGCATGATGATTCTGGGGGCTTGCTACTGCTTGGAGAATTAGTCTAAGCTCCCTACATGGACTTCTCTGACACAACTTCAGCAACTTCAGGGGTGTTGAGGGGCCTCGTTACAGCCTCACAGTATGGAAGTCTAGGGTCCTCACTTAGTCTTTGCTGACATGAGAGGATGTGGGGGCCACAGCTTTTTCTGTGGTGTTTGACTGAAGTGGAACTGTTACTGTATAAAAGTTATCTGTCTTCTGTCTTACTGGAGAGAGTAGCCTTTTGTTGGGGCATTTATTTTTCTGTACCTGTTGGCATTTTCAGGTTGCCAGCTTCTTCAGCTAAAAGTTTGGGATATATGAGGCAAAAAAACAAACCCAGGTAACTCCCCACTATGTCATTCTTGAGGTTCTGAGGTCCTTCTCAAGGCTGTTGATATGATATGGTTTGAGTGTTTGTCCCCTCCAAATCTCATGTTGAAATGTGATTCCCAGTGTTGGAGGCAGGGCCTGGTGGGAGGTGATTGGGTCATGAATACAGATCCCTCATGCATGGTTTAACACCATCCCCATGGTGATAAGAGAGCTCTCACTCAATTATTTCACACGAGATCAGGTTGTTTAAAAGCCTGGGACCTCCCCGACCCCAGTCTCTTGCTCCCACTCTCATCATGTGATGTGCCTGCTCCCCCTTCACTTTCTGCCATGATTGGAAGCTTCCAGAGGCCCTCACCAGAAGCAAATGTTGGACCCACACTTTCTGTGCAGCCTGCAGAACTGTGAGCCAAAGTAAACCACTTTTCCTTATAAATTACCCAGTCTCGGGTATTTCTTTATAGCAATGCAAGAATGAGTTAATTAAAAAATTGGTACTGAGGAGTAGGGTGCTGTTATAAAGATACTAGAAAATGTGGAAGTCGCTTTGGAACTGGGAAATGAGCAGAGGTTGGCAGAGGTTGGAGGGCTCAGAAGAAGACAGGGAGATGAAGAAAAGTTTGGAACTTCTTAGAGACTTGTTAAATGTTGTGATCAAAATGCTGATGGAAATATGGACAGTGAAGCTTAGGCTGATGAGGTCTCAGATGCAAATGAGGAACTTATTGGGAAATGGAGCAAAGTTCACCCATGTTACACCTTAGCAAAGAGCTTGGCTGCACTGTGTCCAGGCCCTAGGGATCTGTGGAAGTTTGAATCTAAGAATGATGAGATAGGGTACCTGGCAGAGGAAATTCACAATCAGCAAAGCATTCAAGAAGTGTCCCAGCTGTTTCTTACAGCCTATGACCAGATGTGGGAACAAAGAAATGACTCAGAGTTGGAACTTATACTTAAAAGGGAAGCAAAGCATAAAACTTTGGAAAATTTGCAGGCCGGCCAAGTGGCAGAGAAAGAAAGAGTGTTTTCAGGAGAGAAATACAGGTGGGTTGCAGAGCAACACTTGCTAGAGAGAGTTGTGTGACTAAAAGAGAGCCAAGTGTTAATATCCAAGACAATGGGAAAAAGGCCTTGAGAGCATTTCAGAAATCTTTGAGGCAGCCCCTCCCATCACCAGAGGCTAGGAGGAAAGGATGGTTTTGTGGGCCAGGCCCAGGGCCCTGCTGTCCTGTGCAGCCTCAACACACCACTCCCTGAATCCCAGCCACTGTAGCTACAGCTGTGGCTCAAAGGACCCCAGGTACAGCTCAGGTCACTGCTCCATAGGGCACAAGTCATAAGCCTCGGCAGCTTCCACATGGTGTTAAATCTGCAGTTGCACAGAATGCAAGTATGAAGGAGGCTTGGCAGATCCCCACTAGATTTCAGAGTTGTATTGGACAGTCTGGGTGTCTAGGCAGAAACTTGCTGTAAAGGCAGAGCCCCTAGAGGATACTCTACATGGGCAATGCCAAGGGGAAATGTGGGGTTGGAGCCTCCGCACAGAGTCCCCAGTAGGGCACTGGCTAGTGGAGGTGTGGGAAGGAGGCCGCTGCCCTCCAGACCTGAGAATGGTAGATCCACTGAGAGCTTGCCTCCTGAGCCTAGAAAAGCTGCAGGCACTCAACTTCAAACCATGAGATCAGCCATGAGGCTACACCCTGCAAAGTCACAGGGGTGGAGCTGCCCAAAGTCTTGGGAGACACTCCCTTACACCAGTATGCCCTGGAGGTGGGACATGGAGTCAAAGGAGTTGATTTTGGAGCTTTAAGATTAGTGACTGCCCTGTTGGGTTTCAGACGTATAGGGGGCCTGTTGCCCCTTTCTTTTGGCTAATTTTTCTCTTTTGGAATTAGATTGTACACCATTGTATCCTGGAATTAAATAATTTTGTTTTTTAATCTCACAGGCTATTGGATGGAAGGCATTCATCTCCAGTTGAGACTAACGACTTGGGACTTTGGAGTTAATGCTGGAATGAGTTAATACGTTGGGGGAACTATTGAAAAGGCATGATTGTATTTTGAAATGGCGAGAAGGACATGAGATTTGGGAGGTAGGTGGATGAAATGATACGATTGGGATGTCTGTCCCCTCCAAATCTCATGTTGCAATGTGCGTCCTTGTGTTGGAGGTGAGGTCTGGTGGGAGGTGACTGGATCATGAGGGTGGATTCCTCATGAATAATTTAGCACCATCTCCTTGGTGAAAAGTGAGCTCTTACTCAGTTCACAAGAGATCTGGTTGTTTAAAAGTCTGGGACCTCCCCTCTTTTGCTTTCTTGCTCCTGCTCTCACAGCATCATGTGCCTCCTCCCCCTTTGCCTTCTGTTATGATTGGAAGCTTCCTGAGGGCCTTACGAGAAGCAGTTGCTGGCACCATGCTTCCTGTACAGCCTGTAGAATTGCGAGTCAAAATAAATCACTTTCTTCATAAATTACCCAGCCTTGAGTATTTCTTCATGACAATGCAAGAACAAGCTAATACAGCTGTCTTCTTCTTTCCATCTTACAGGTCTTTTAATGCTGGTTTTATATATAATGCACAGGGTTTTCAGTGGTACTTAGCGAGAGGAATAGGGAGAAGTATATCTACTCTATCTTCCCAAAAGCAAAAGTCTCCCCATTATATTTTTAACAGCTTAATTGAGGCATACTTCATATGCCAAACAATTCACACCCTTAAAATGTATAATTTAAAGAATTTTAGTGCATTCATAGAGTCATGCAAAGATCACTACAATCAGTTTTAGACATTTTCTTCATCCCCAAAATAAACTCCACACCTTTAGCCATTACCCCACATACCTCCTCACCCCCTACTCCAGCCTCAGGCAACCACTAATCTACTTTTTGTCTCTATGGATTTGCCTATTCTGGACATTCCATTTAAAAGGAATCATACATTATGTGATCCATTGTGACTGGTTTCTTTCACTTAGCATAATGTTTTCAAGGTTTATCCATGTCGTAGCATGTATCAGTACTTCATTTCTTTTCATTACTGAATAATATTCCATTATATGGATATATCACATTTTATTTGTCCATTCATCAGTTGATGAACATTCATCAGTTGTTTACACATTTTGGCTCTTATGAATAAGGCTGCTGTGAACACTTCTGAATAAGCATTTTTGGACATATGCTTTCAACTCTCTTGCATAAATACTTAGGAGTGGAATTTCCAGATTGTATTGTAACTGTGTCTAACCATTTGATGAACTACCAGATAGCTTTTCCAAGTGGCTGCACCACTTTACATTCCCACCAGCAATGTACAAGGGCTACAATTTCTCCATATCCTTGCAAACACTTGTTGTTATCTTTCTTTTTGGTTATAGTCATCTCAGTGGGTGTGAATTGTATCTGGTTGTGGTTTTCATTTGCATTTTTCTGATGACTAATGATATTGAGCATCTTTTCATGTGCTTATTAGCCATATATGTATATCTTCTTTGGAGAACTGTATATTCAGAGCCTTCGCCCATTTTAAAATTGGGTCATTTGTCTTTTTATTATTGAGTCGTAATGGCTCTTTATATACTCTAGATACAAGTCCCTTGTCAGACATATAATTTGCAAAGAGTTTCTTGTATTCTGTGGGTTGTTTTTGTACTTTCTTGTTGGTGTCATTTGAAGTACAAAAGTTTTAAATTGTTGATGTCTAATGTATCTGCTTTTTTCATTTGTTGCTTGTTCAAGGAACCATTGTCTAACCCAAGGTCACAAAGATTTATGCTAATGTTTTCTTCTGGGTATTATAGTTTTAGCTCTTATATTTATATATTTAATCCATTTTAAGTTAATTTCTGTATATGGTGTGAGGTAGTGATCTGACTTCATTCTTTTGCATGTGGATATCCAGTTGTTCCAGTACCATTTGTTGAAAAGACTATTCTTTTGCCATTGAATTATCTTAGAACACTTGTTATTGATCTTAAATGTGAGGGTTTATTTCTGGATTCTCAATTCTATTCCATTGATCATTATGCTCTTATTATATTTTAAACCGCTGAGGACAGAAGTCATGCCATATTCATCTTCATATCTCTCATCTCTTAAGGGTCTGGGTAAAGGTAGGTAAGTCTAGGTGTATTAGTTGGCTGGGGCTGCCACAACAAAATAGCACAGAATGAGTGGCTTAAAAACATAAATTTATTTTCTCATAGTTTTGGAGGCTGGAAGTCCAAGATCAAGGTGTTAGCAATGTTGGTTTCTCCTGAAGCCTCTCTCTTGGGCTTGGAGATGGGCACCTTCTGCTGTGTCTTCACATGGCCTTTCTTCTGTGTACACTTACTCCTGGTGTTTCTACCTCTTCTCATAAGAACACCAGTCCTATTGGACTAGAGCCACACCTTGTGATCTCATTTTACCTTCATGACCTCTCTAAAGTCCCTGTTTCCAAATATAGTCACACTGGGGGTTAGGGCTTCAACATATGAATTTGGGGCCGGGCAGGGAGCAGGCACAGTTCAGTCTATAACACTGGGTAATGTCTGTTGAACTGAATAGAGGGCAGGAGTGCTTGCCCTCAGCTGTGAGGCTGCACGGCTGAGCATCAGTGGCTTGCAATGCCCCAGCATAGTCCCTGGCAAGTAGAGGCCAGTCTGAGAAGTTAACCTGACTTCCTCAAGTCAGCTGAGGGCTGGCAGTTAGGAGAGGGCTGTGTGAGTGGGGATTGTGAGGGAGAAGTCGACATGAGAGGGTCTTCTGAGAGGGTGGAGAGACATGTGCATATGTGTGCTGCACGTGCCCCAATGGAGAGTGTGTGCAGGGAAACACTCCCAGGCACCTGGTAATGCTGAGAGGGTCTGGTGACAGCTGTTTTCCCTACAGTGATTTCTGCCTGCTGTTGCTAAACAATTGGTGTGAACATTCTTAGGGCAAACAAAACAGGCCAAGCCTAGTAGAGGCAGGACACACACAGGGAGGCCCCTTTGCTGAGAGAAGCTGATAGCGGAAGGATACCCAGCTTCTCTGTTGCACACCTGAGTTTCTCTTAGGCTGTTACACATGATCCATTCTTTGCTCTACCGTAGGCCTGGGGTGGTGGAGTGAGAAAATACCTCACTGAGATGCAGCTTCACTGTCTTTATAAGAGAGATGTGAAATGCTCAACCCATGGGCTTTTAGAGAACCTTAACATCCAGTCTCAATGGGGAGAATGAAAGGGATGGGAAGGGGAGGTTGCTGGGGGTGGGGTAAGCTGGGCCTGAGTAGAGGAAAGAATAGGAGTGATCATGTGTAAGGAGCCTCCAATGCCTCCCAAACTGGAAGAAAGGTTGTGTTATTATTCCTGGTGGAGGCCCAGACAGCTTTCTTGCAATGCAATAACATCAGAAGGCTCAGGAGTAAACAATAATAATAGTTTTCATTGATCAAGCCTTTAATCTCACTCACTGCCTTTAGGAAGTTCAAGTCGGGGGTGGGAATGGAGTTAGGCAGGAGGGAGGGCTGGGGAAGTTAACTGAGAACTTGGCTCTGCTCAGCCCATTGCCAGTGGAGAACAGACATGACCTGGGCACTGGGTTTATATGGACATCAAAGTCAGTTTTCCTCTGCACCACTCAGATGCACTGGTTAATGTCACCTCCTCTGGGCTGTAGAGATAGGGGGCAGGCCTGGAGATCCAGAGGCTGAAATGGATCAAAGAAACCTGAGTTTACCACCTCTGCCTCCTTAGGGGAGCTTGGGAGCTTTCTCAGACCAATTTCTTCCTCCCTCCCATGCTGCAGTGTTGAGGTGTTTACAATTTTCTCCTAATTAACAGGCCTCAGCTGTGGAAAGGCATTTTGGACACCTGGGTCCTTCTTCCCCACCTCCTTGTCTTCCTTTTGGTACATGACTTTGGGGCACAGGCCCTGAGGATGCCATCTGACATGTTTGTAGGACTCTCTGCCTTCTACCACATGTAGTGTCTGTACCAAGCCCCACAGCAAACCTGCATGTGAGGCACAGAGAGCCTAGGTCATAGGCCTTAATGACACAGAGTAAATTGGTTAAGGCCACCAGAACCAGACCTCAGGAGTTTGGATGTTCACTTGCTTTTTCCAGTATACCTCATTCCCGAAATAGTATAACTACTCAAGTGACTCCTCCCCCATTGTGTCTCATTACCCTTTCCCTTCACTTCCCCATCCATGGTGTGTAGCAGGAGTTTCTAAGGGTGGTGGGGGTGGATGGCTGGAGAGAGCCCTCTTGCAAACCTTTCCTTAGGGGCCTGGAATTTAAAGTAGAGCTTCTCCATCTTGGAGGGGCTTCCACTGGCAAAAGCTGGAACAATCTGAGCATTAAAAAGAATATGAAGTAGAATTTATTGTAAGTCATTGAACAAATATCCAGCAGAGTATGACAATAAGATATAGATAGATAAAAACCGGATGAGAAGAGAAAGGGAAACTCACTTACCATCATTGAAGGTGATTATTGAACCAATTCCTTATTCAGGAAATTAGTAATTAAAAAGAAAGAACCAGGCATTTGCCTGTCCTTTTCAGGAGGCAATGTAGTTAATTCCTGTTGATAACAGAAAACTCCACTTTGTGAAAAACACTAGTCAATAAATATGGACATAATGGTAGAATTAGAAAAACGATCATTTTGTTATATTGAAAGAAATAATTGATTAAGGCAAAGATCATCAATAAATGTTCAATGCATCAAGTGAAAAGTTTTTGGAGAATAAGATATTCTAGGGTCCAATGTATTGTTTCACAGATTACTTGCAGATTGTCAAAGGGAAAATGACCTTTTCAAGGGCCAGATACGGCAGGGGCCACCTTAACCAAGTGATAATGATTAATGGGACAGCCTGACATTATGTGCCTTTGGATGTGATGCAATATGTAGTTTATAGCATCACCTGTGAAGTTGTACTACTTATCTATTGACACATATATTAGTCTTTTTAGACTGTCATAACAAAATACCATAGACTGGGGGCTTAAATAACAAATTTATTTTCATATAGTTATGTAGTCTGGGATGTCCAAGATCAAGGTGCCAGCCAATTCGGTTTCTGGTGTGGGCTCTCTTTCTGGCTTGCAAATGCCACCTTCTCCCTGTATCCTCACAGAGCAGAGAGAGAGAGAGAGAGAGAGAGAGAGAGAGAGAGAGATCTTCCTTTTCTTATAAGGCCACAGTTGCTAATAAGAAATACCTGAGACTGGGTAGCTTATAAAGGAAAAGGGGTTATATGGCTTACAATTATAATGGCTGGAAAGTTCAAAATTGGGCATCTTCATCTGGTGAGGGACTTAGGCTGCTTTAACTTACGGTGGAGGATGAAAGGGAGTTGGTGTGTGCAGACATCACATGGCAAGAGGGGAAGCAAGAGCGAGAGGGGTAAGGTGCCAGGTTCTTTTAAACAACCAGATCTCATGGGAACTAATAGCATGAGAGCTCACTCATCCCAAGAGAGCACATTACTCTATTAATGAGGTATCTGCCCCCATGACCCAAATACCTCCCATTAGGCCCCTCTTTCAATACTGGAGATCAAATTTCAACATGGGGTTTGGAAGGGACAAACATCCAAACCATAGCAGGGCCTCACCCTTATGACCTCATTTAGCCTTGTTTACCTCCTAAAGACCCTATCTCCAAATACAGTCACTTGGGGATTAGGGCTTCAATATATGAATTTAGGGTAGGAGCACAATTCATTTCATAGCTATGCATAGCAAAATGCCCCAAAACTTAGTGGCTTAAAACAACAAATATTTATTACCTCAGAGTTTCTGTGGGTCAGAAATACAGGCACAGCTTAGCTAGGTGCTTTTGGCTCCAGGTCTCTCACAAAGTTGTAGCCGAGTTGTCAGCTGCAGCTGAGGTCTCATCTGCAGGCTTGACTGGGGTGGGTTGGGGAGATGTGCTTCCAAGCTCATGCACATGGCTGTCGGTGGGCCTCAGTGCTCTGCTAGTTAAGCCTCTCCCGGGGCTGCTGCTTCTCCCAGGTCTAGAGATCCAAGAGAGTATGAAAGAGAACATGTGAGACAAAAGCCACAGTGTTTTAGTAACCTAATCTCAGAACTGACATCCCATTACTTCTGCCATATTCTATTCATTAGAAGCCAGTTTCAGAATCCAGCCCACATTCCTGTAGAGTAAGAATGTGAATACTTTTGAGGTGGGATCGCTGGGACTGTTGTAGAGGCAGCCTGCTACAGAGCATTCTTACCAAAAATCTTTAATGCTAATTGAATCAAGCTCAAGATCTAATGTCCAGTCTACAGGAATTACAGGGAGTAAAGTGACAAATTAAATAGCACTACAAGGAAGTGATCAGACAAGCCCAGAAAGTAGGACATTCTACAAGACTACCAGCTTGATTTCTTTAAAAAAAAAAAAAAAAAAGTCAATATTATGACCAAAGAAAGGGGTGGGGAGACTGTTTTAGGTAGAAGAGGCTAAACAGACATAACAACCAAATGAAATGCATGCCCTTTGATTGAAGTCTGGCATTACAAAATAGCTATAAAAGATATTTCCGAGACAATTACAGAAGTTTGGAGACTAGCTATTAGATGATGTTAGGAAATTATTGTTAATTTTTCTTAGGTATGATAATGGTGTTTTGGTTATGGAAAAGACTGTCCTTATTTTTAAAAGAAACAGGTTGAAATACTTAGGTATGTACTGCCTTGATGTCTGCACCTTATACCCAAGTGGTCTAGAAAAACACAGAGATAAAGCAAATTTGACAAAAATGTTAATTGTGGATTGTGAGTATATGGGCTATTAATGTATTATTCTTTGAGCTTTCCCGTATGCCTGCATTTTTGGTAGTAAAAAATTGAGAGGGTAGAAAAAGTCAGGCTTCTAACCACAACTATCGGACCCTCAGAGATGAACTTCAACACCTTTCTTAGGCTAATGAAAAATGTCCCCAATTTTTTTTTTTTATTTAGACACTTAGTGTTTGCTTGTGTCTTTCTTCATGATCCATCTTGTTCTAGAAAAGATTTGAGGTGACTCCTGCCCTCCTTACCACCTTCCTGGGGGCATCAGGAGCCTAGAGGAGGAAGAGGAGGGAGCTGGCTTCCCAGTTTTCTCCCAGGGCTGGCCGGTGTTTGGGTCTCTGGTTATGCGGAGGTGAATAACGGGTGAACACTCAAACAGACCTGATCTGATTCCTGGCATTGCTGCTTGCATGGATCCTGGGAAAGCCTCTTAACTGTTCTGAGCCTCAGGTGCCTCAGGTATCCAAGAGGAGAGTAATCTGCCTCAGGGTGAGGGAGACTGGAAGCCATGATGTGGGGAAGCTCTATGCAACTGCGGCTCTTGGAATGCTGGCTGGTCTGTCCATGAGATCCACGAGTGTGAGGGTCTCAGGTCCTGGAATCCCAAATGCTCTCTGTGGGGACTCAGGCAGGGCAGAAAGACTCTGGGGGTTCCCTGAGAAGCAGAGGAGGAAGTAGGGTGGGCAGTAACTCCCACCCCCCAGGGACACAGAAGGAGCCAGGAAGGAGGGATATTCAATTAGCAGGCGCCATGGGGGCTTTGGGCCCTGCTGGATTGTGTGTGAGTCCCAAGGCAGAACACAGCCCAGGAAGTGGCTCTTCTCATTTCCTTTCTTACCTGTACCTTTCCTAGTGAATCAGTCACTCAGAAACAGCTACACAGCCTTTTCCACTTGTATAGCCTGGGATCACAGCTGATATCCCTCTCCTGTCTGCCTGCTCCCCTCTTGTTTATGAGTCCAGCTGCTGTGAGGGGGTGGCTTGGCTGAGTGACAGAAGATCACTCAAAAGGCTTCCAATGCCAGCCACCTGCCCGCCACTGTATCCTGAACAAAGCCCCTCTCTTGTGATGGGAAGCTCGATGGCCTGCAGGATTATCTGCAGAAGGAAGGAGCCGGCGAGATGCACTCATCTGTTCAAAACCCCAGGAAGTGAACTTGGTTCTCTGAGACCCCAGCCAGAGTGGCCACTAGCCTGGCCAGAGCCTGAGAGAGGCTGCTAAATGAGACTGTCAGATTCCCTGGCTTTGCTCGTAATCTAGAAATTCACAAGCTGCAGAATCACAAATGGAGTCCGGGGCTTTGTTTTCAGCTGACAGGGGGAGGGATGAGGAGCTGAGCCAAGGTGAGCCGACTCCTCAGTCAAGGAGAGCCACTTGGAACCATCAGCGAAAGAAATGGAGAGGCCTGGTGATCCCTCTTTGGGAAGTCAAAAGGTCTCAGGGCACCTCTGAATGGTGTGGCCCAGAGGGCGGGACCAGACTCAACCTCTCTTGGAGCATGTGGAACCCTAAACATTGGGGATTTCAGAGGTGTCAGAAAGACTCCTCTGACCACAAAGCCTACAGTTCCATCAGTCGCATGCTATACCTCTTGAGTTAGGCGTCACCCTTAAAAACAGCAAATATCCTCAAAAGAGTAAGTAATGAAGCCACTAACCTAGTCCCTCAACAGAGCACTGTACATCAACAAATAATGTATTATTTGAGCTCCTTCTGCTCAGCCAGGCCCAGTGCTGGGCTCTGGGGACACAGAGAGTGGGACAGAGCTCCTTTCCTGGCGTTGCAGTCTGCGGTGAGCCAGCAGGTAAACAAGCAATTACAATGCAGTGCGATAAAGGCTGCTGTAGAAATGGGAACCTGCTTTCTGCTTGGCTCTGCAGCAGCCTGATGCTGAGGCCAGGTGGGGAGAGCATGGATGGGGAGAGAGAAGGAGGCAGGCTGCAGAGGGGTTGAAGGGTCCAGGCACTAGCTGGGCTCTTTTACCTCTCCTCTGAGGGCCAGCGAGGGACAAGCTGAGGCAGTGCAGGAGCTCAGGAAGCCAGAAGGACTAGCCTCTAGGCCAACCTTCTGTACCATGTGGCCTATGGCAAGTCACTTCTCTCTGACCCCATTTGTTCAATGAAAGGTGGGATGAAGAGGCCACTATGGCGGCTTTCTCGGACCTGCCATAACAGAGGTTCCCAAACTCTGGTATGTATAAGAACCGCCTGGGGTTCCCTGGCCAACCCCAGACTTACCCAATCCCTGTCTATAGGGACAGGGCCTGGGCAACTTATTACCAAAACCCCTCCCCAGTGAGAGCTGAGGATCAGTGCTCCGGAAAGCAGCAGGGATAAGAATGAGGAGGGAATGCCAGGGCACATGGAAGCTTTCCTCAAACCTCTGAAATCCCAGGACTTCTTTGTGAAAGTATCCAGAGTTCAAAGGAGTCCCCTGAGGGAATTCAGAGCCTCCTACTGATGGATTAAATAAGATAATGCTAACCAAGAGTGAAGCATAAGTCGGAGCTGAATAAATATCCATCTTCCCCCTCTCATTCCAGTGAGTCTCTCGCTGAGTGGCTGGGTTGGGAGAGGGTAGTCTGAGAAATGTGGCAAAACACCATCAAATATTTTCCAAGAAAGAAATGGGAAGGGAGTGGGGGTAGTTTGCAAGAAATCTTTTTTTTTTTTTTTTTTTTTTTTTTGAGACAGAGTCGCTCTGTCACCCAGGCTGCAGTGCAGTGTCACGATCTCGGCTCACTGCAAGCTCCGCCTCCCGGGTTCATGCCATTCTCCTGCCTCAGCCTCCCGAGTAGCTGTGACTACAGCTGCCCACCACCAAGCCCGGCTAATTTTTTGTGTGCTTTTAGTAGAGACGGGGTTTCACCATGTTCACCAGGATGGTCTCAATCTCCTAACCTTGTGATCCACCTGCTTCGGCCTCCCAAAGTGCTAGGATTACAGCAAGAATTCTTTTGAGGTCTCTAGACTTTTCTTCTTCCAGGGCAGTGACAAAACTGGTTGGCCTGTCTGGGGTGAAGGGGCCTTAGATGGAGTGAGCTGTCCACTGTTGGCAAGGTGGAGGGGCATCAAAGACTCTGCCAGACTAAAACTGGAGGTCTTGGTAGGAGCGTGGGTCACCCAGAGGAGAACAGACTTCTGGCTCCTCCAGAACTTGGATGGACAAAGTAGACAGGGAGTGTCCCAGCAGGGCTCCCAGCCAGGGCCATTCCATTGCTGTCTAGATAAGGACAGCCCATCAGTGCCAGGCTTGCTCTGTGATGAGAGCTGGATTAGAGCTCAGGCTCCCTCGAGAATCTCCCAGCATCAGTCCTGACACTGACCAGCTGGATCCAGGCTGGGCTTTCAATGAATCCTAGGCAGGGATCAGGACACCACCTTCGGGAGGACTTCGGGGTGGGGTGAGGTGGGGTGGGCAGGCAGGAGCAGCAGCAGAGGGAAGAGATGGCAGAGGGTGGAAGGAGGGGGAGGGTCAGGAAGCGGGTTAGGTTCTCCCAGTACTCCCCGTTCCTCTCTTCCGGTCCGTGGTCTCGTTGCTCCATGGACCCCACCTGGCCCCCTGCCCCCATTTCCACCCCCACGCTTGCCTGTGTTATTTGCTCCCTTTGAATGCTGTCCCTTTCCTGCTTCTGCCAATTCAAATCTCTTCCCTCCTCAAGTGCTGTGTCCTCAGTGATGCTTTCCCACCCAGACAACTTCAGCCCTTTCCTTCATTTCATAGAGGCAGTTTTTTTTTTTTTTCCCACTAGGGGCCAGAATATGAGATGAAGGATCCAAGATTCTCGCCTTCAAGGAACTCAGTCTAAAGTGGGTGGGTGACTGATATGTAAATAAACAAAAAAATTAAGACACACAGGTGGGACACAAAGGGACTTAAGGACTGAGGGGCTGTCTGGGGTGCCAGGAGATGCTTCACGTAAGAGGACAGTGACATGGAGCAGTCCAGGGAGGCTGGGGTGCTCTGAAGGCAGTTCCAGGTGAGGACGCCTGGTAGGGAGAGGCAGGAGCTCATCTGCTGAAGGGGTAGGTGGCAGGCAGGCAGCAAGGACCTGGGGAAGCCAAGCTGCTGGAGCACAGGAAAGGGACGATGAGGGAGGGAGGGAGGGAGGGAGGGAGGGAGGCACCTGCATCCCCTCTGTAGCTCTGGCAGCTCCAGGGGCACCTGGTACACGAGGGCACTCAGTCTGTGCTGGGTGCTGCAGACTCCTATGCTCCACTGAATCTGCCTCTTCATCCAGCTCCCCAGGCTGGGGCCACCCTCTCCTCCCTACCTCCACTCCACCTTACCTGACCCTTTGGTCACACAGTGTTGTCCTGAGCACACAGATGGGATTTGACAAATCACTCTTGATAGAGTCTCCCTAATCCCCTTCCCATTCCTTCGTATATCTTCACTATAACCCTGAGGCCAAGTGAATGAGTCTCCCTGTTTGTGTAAGATGTGTCAGTCAGGGGGCCTGCCTGGCTCAGACCCCTTCTAAGAGAAACTGTGCTCCCGTTCCCTACACTCGGAGCCCTTGCTGCAGGGGCAGCCCTCGCTGGCTGAGTTTCATATCACGTGATTCCTCCAGCTCTGGCCACTTCTATTCAGTCAAGAATTGGCTTCAAAGGCTCTGCCCAAATGGGAAGGGCCGGGCCATTCAGTGTCTTGTTCTTGAGAAGCTGAACTGGGAAATCCAGAAAGCATCAAGCAGGGAGCCCAGAAGTAGAAGCAAAAGCCAGCATGGACAGCAAAGGCCTTGGTGTGGAGTCTGGACCCCCACGGGTCAAAAGCCACCATTATGGATGAGAAAGAGATGCTGGGAGGCAGAAAAGGGCTCAGCAGAGGGTGAGGGTGTGAGCAGGCAGTGGGGAGAAGCAGAGAGAGCTGCAGGGACTCCGAGAGCAGCTGAGCTGCCTAGGGAACACAGGAAAGGGACAATGCAGAGTCAGGTCCTGCTCTAAGATCCGGATCGTATTGATTCATTTAATCCTCACAAACACCCCTAGGGAGGAGCTACTCCCCCCATCTTACAGATGAGGAAACTGAGGTACAGGGGGTTTAATGTCTTTCCCAAGCTCACACAGCTAGAGAGTGGCAGAGCCGGGATTTGAACCCCACAGCAAAGCTCGGCTGCGTCGCGGGTCTCACTGGAGAACGGGACAGGCCTCGCTTCCCAACAACCCTTAGGTTTTCCTGTCTGGGAGCTTGGCCCCACTGTTAGAATTTCCTTGGGAGTCTGTCTCCTTATTTATTATTCTGTGTCTCCTTAAAATACCGCCCCATCCCCACGTTTACACTTGAGCTTATCTAAGGAAGGTGGTGTCCTTTGTGTAAGTGATTTATCATTCAGGCTCCATTCAGTTGGGAACATGAAATATTTATTTAAAAATTTTTTCTTATGCCACTTTTTCAACTGTACTCTTTTGACTGTCCCTTTTCTGTCCCTTGACAATGTCTTGGGCAGATTCTATGAGTTAGTTTTGATTACTGAATAAATTGAGTTTAAGATTCCAATCTTGCAGGGGATTGAAACTCACCTTTCCTCACGTAGGACACCCTCTGGCTTAGGGCCTGGAGTGGGGCAGGAGGTGGTCTCCTCCTCCCTGTTCCCCCAGGAGTGAAGAGTGGGGGTGGGGGAACACCTTCCCTCTGGCATGCCGGCTCTCCCACCCTCCTGGAGGCTCCCACAGTGTGCAGGTGAGAAGAGGGAGGGAAGTACCTTGTACTACCAGGGCACTGGGTTCTTCTCAGTGGGGTGTTGCTGCCTCTCAGGCTAATGTTAATCAGCATTAGTGAGCGCCAAAAGTGGGAGGTCTATTCCAGCTCAACTCTTTCCAGCCTCTTTAAGTGGGGGGACTGTGGGGGACCCAAGAGGGTCCCCTGGCCTCACAGGCTGTGTTATCAGTGAAGTGGCCTAAGCCACAACCTTCTGCAGGGTCTCTTGAGCCATGGAAAACTCGCCCATCTTTTGCCACATCAACAAGGGGCGTGCAGGCCCTTTCCCCTGTTCAGGTTGGCTTAAGGCATCTCACCAAGTCTGCTGCCTAAGCAAATGGCCTACTGCTGGAGAATGGGGTTGGTCTCTGAATTCCCTCCCTGTAGGTTTTCCCAGTCTCTAAATGAGTCTTGATATGGTTTGGCTCTGTGTCCCCACCCAAATCTTATCTCAGATTGTAATCCCTACATGTCCTGGGAGGGTCCTGTAATCTCCAAGTGTCCAGGGAAGGAGGTGATTGGATCGTGGGAGTGGTTTCCCCCATGCTGTTCTCTTGACGGTGAGTGAATTCTCTGGAGATCTGATGGTTTCATAAGGGGCTCTTCTCTCTTTGCTCTCTCTTCTCCCTCCTGCCACCATGTGAAGAAGGTCCTTGCTTCCCCTTCTCCTTCTGCCATGACTGTAAATTTCCTGAGGCCCCCCCAGCCATGCGGAACTGTGAGTCAATTAAACCTGTTTCCTTTATAAATTACCCAGTCTCAAGTATTTCTTTATAGCAGTGTGAAAATGGACTAATACAAGTCTCTTTGAGCTGCAACCCCTCCCCGAGGCCTGTGGTCCACATATCAGCAGACAAGAGCAAGAAGCCATGGCATTTGGGCTAGCCTCTTAGTAAGCCACAAGGAGTGGTCAAGGCCCAATTGTTTTATGGTATAGGGTTCTTGATGCTCTTTGTTTTCAGCTTTGGGTCTTAGTTATCTACTCTGGGATAGTCAAAAAAGGTAGAGGTGCAGCCCAAGTATCCAAGATCACTGCCCCCAGAGGAAGCCGGATGCTTGAGGACCAACTCACTCCTCACAGCACAGGGATGGCCTGGCTCACCCTTTGATTGGGTTCACTTCTCCCTGCCCCTACTGAGGGAAGAATGGTCCTGATTTCCCACCCTCCCCAGATGAGCAGGCCTGGACAGGTCAGGGGTTTCTGAATAGGCCACACCCCTCAGGTGTGCCCATCGCCCATGCTGCCCAGGAGCCCTGGCTCCTCCTCTTTTTCCCTGCCCCTGCCTGACACTTCTCTTCTAGATCCTTCTGCGAGTTTGCCACTAGGACCACCTTTTGTTCTTGGCCTCCCGGGACATTCCTCCCACCCTTTAATCCACAGCCCCATTGCCTTCCAGAGTTCCCTGCTGCCCTGCTCCCTGGACTGCTCTTCTGTCCTCCAGCCCTGGTTCCCTCAGACAAGCTTGGCTCATCCAACCCGGGAAAACTCCTGGTGCACTCAGGCTCCATCACGCCAGTTCCATTTCGGAGGCTCCAACCCGAGGGGCTAAGAATGGGCAGGGGAGAGGGTGCCTAGGGGAGAGGGTGCCTTGTGCACTGTGACTCCTGGCCACAGAGCTCACACTCCATCCTGCTGGGTGACGGGTCCTTCCCGCGGATCCACCAGAGGCCCTACTTGCTAGAACTGAGCTCACTCTCTCTCGCACAAATATGCACACAGATACAGAGAAGCCAGTGCACAGGGAGGTTGTAGACAGGGAGAAAATTATAAGGTTCATTTAGAAAGCAGTAAAGAGGGGATTTCAATTTCCTTTCAAAATCACAACACGATTATTCTTCCATGGTGACTTCTGCAGGAACACTGAGATTCTGCTCTTGGACCCAGGGCACTGGCGTTGGGGGAGGCTGCTGGGAAGACATTAGGTGGGGGCGTCACATGTGAGATGACTTCACCGAGGGAGCGGGTTGTGGGAGCGAGGCATGGAAGGCTGTGTGTGGGAGGGGTCAGGGAAAAGGTGGAGCTAGGGCAACTGTATGGGTGGACTCAGGGATGGAAGATGACAAGACACCTCACATGAGTGTCTGCGTGCATGTCAGGGGCTGGACCGGAGCCATGCCAGCAAGGTACTTCAGGCACAAAGTTAAGGAGGCATAGCTCTCAGATTTGTGTAAGTGGGTACTATTTGCACAGGATGCCGGCTGGGTTCTGCACCATTTTTGAGGGGACATTATTTTATCTACTGTTATCTCATGATCGCCCCCTCCTCTCCTCTTCCATCTCCCGCCATGGGTGCTTAAAAGCAAACACTAGAAATGTATCTGGAAGAGGAAAGGCAGTAGGTGAGCAAACATCTGTCCATTTGTCAATGAAAAGAGGAAGTGGGTTTAAGTAACAAATAGAGGGGATTAAGGTAGATATCACAAAGCACTTATATTGAGGACTTTTGAGCAGAATTATGGAGGAAGACCCTCAGCTGAAAGGCAAAGAATACATTATAGCTGCATGGGGAATGGTGCTGACTGCAGAGCCAGACAGACTTGGGTTTGAAGCCTGGCAACTGCTACTTTTTAGCTGTGTGACAATGGCAAGCCACTGGACTTCCCTGGGCCTCTTCTATAACATGTTGATAAAAATATGAACTGCACAGGGTTATTGTGAGGGATAATGAGATAGGTTAGAAAGCGCTGAGATTCTCATGAGATCATTGAACGTGGTCCTGCCCTGAGGAGGGCAGTGGGAGGAAGTGATCTTGGAGTAAGGTGTGAGCTCCTTGAAGATGGGCTGAGCCTGCACCTGTGGAAGCCCTGGGTGGCTGTGCAACCAGCTTTTGCTGTTAGATGAATGCAGAGCTGGACTGCCCTTTGTCAGGACCTCCTGTCTCTGGCTTCTGAAGATCGGCTGTTAAAGCTGTGGTCTGGGGAAGGGTTCCTGCAGAGGATCCAGATAAATCACATGACCTCCGTGCTACCCTGTGGAGCTAAGAGCAGGTTGGGGCCGCTGGCTTGGGGCCCCCAAGTGGGTGGGACTCCTGACAGTTGAGGACGAGGTAGTGGCACCTGCCTGCTCGGCAGTGGAAGAACACCCGACCCCTTTGCGACTACACAGGCTGGCTCTGCTTGATGTCGATATGCTTAATGATTTGTGACATGATTGATACAGAAAGCGAACTTGCTATATTCCATCTGTTGAAAGGGAAATGGTGGCAAAGTGGCACATTCCAGGGAAAATCAGGATGCTGAGTGGAGCACGCTGGTGGGGCACTGGGCTGGGGTAGGGGAGTAAGAGGACAGATTCCAGCAAGATTGAGCCTGTGTCCAGCCGGGGCAGCCTAGACACGGAACCAGAAAAAGACCAGACATCAGGAAGAGCGTGAGGTGGGGGATCGGGGAACTATTCAGAAATTAGGGGCCCAGGGGACTGGAAGCCCTCACTTCCCTCTGTGCCTGCTCCTGCGGGGCTTGGGGCAATTGGAGAACACCTCTGTGCTTTTGCCCCTGTACCAGATATAGACAGCGTCCGCCTAGGACCCACGTATTCCCCTCACCACTTCTGTGAACCGTGGCTTTACTTCTGCCTGCTCTGCTGGTCAAAGTGTGTCCGGAATTAGTGGGTTCTTGGTCTCACTGACTTCAAGAATGAAGCCGCGGACCCTTGTGGTGAGTGTTACAGTTCTTAAAGGCGGCGTGTCCGGAATTTGTTCCTTCTGAGGTTCGGGTGTGTTCGGAGTTTCTTCTTTCTGGTGGGTTCGTGGTCTCGCTGACTCAGAAATGAAGCTACAGACCTTCGCGGTGAGTGTTAACAGCTGTTAAAGCCACGCGTCTGGAATTGTCGTTCCTCCTGGTGGGTTTGTGGTCTCGTTGGCTTAGTAGTGAAGCTGCAGACCTTTGCGGTGAATATTACAGCTCATAAACGCAGTGTGGACCCAAGGAGCAAAAGAACAACCCCCCCCCCGCCCCCGCCCCAACAGCGTGGGAGCAGACCCAAGCTGGTTGCCACTGTGAGTTCAGGCAGCCTGCTTTTATTCTATTATCTGGCCCCACCCACATCCTGCTGATTGGTCCATTTTACAGACAGCCGATTGGTTTGTTTTGACAGGGTGCTGATTGGTCCGTTTTGACAGGGTGCTGATTGGTGCGTTTGCAATCCCTGAGCAAGACACAAAAGTTCTCCACGTCCCCACTAGATTAGCTAAATACAGAGTGTGGATTGGTGTGTTTACCAACCTTGAGCTAGACACAGAGTGCCAATTGGTGCATTCATAATCCCTTAGCTAGACATAAAGATTCTCCAAGTCCCCACCAGATTAGCTAGACACAGAGCGCTGATTGGTGCATTTACAAGCCCTTAGCCAGACAGAAAGATTCTCCAAGTCCCCACTAGACTCAGGAGCCCAGCTGGCTTCACTCAGTGGATCTCGCACCGGGCCGCAGGTGGAGCTGCCTGCCAGTCCCACGCCGTGCACCCGCACTCCTCAGCCCTTGGGCTGTCGATGGGACCGGGCGCCGTGGAGCAGGGGGCGGCGCTCGTTAGGCAGACTCAGGCCGCGCAGGAGCCCACGGTGGTGGTGGGGAGACTCAGGCATGGTGGGCTGCAAGTCCCGAGCCCTGCCCCGCGGGGAGGCAGCTAAGGCCCGGCGAGAAATCGAGCGCAGCGCTGGTGGGCCAGCACTGCTGGGGGGCCCGGCGCACCCTCCGCAGCTGCTGGCCTGGGAGCTAAGCCCCTCACTGCCCCGGGCCGGCAGGGCCGGCCGGCTGCTCCGAGTGTGGGGCCCACCAAGTCCACGCCCACCCGGAACTCTAGCTGGCCCGCAAGCGCGGCGCGCCGCCTCGGTTCCCGCCCGTGCCTCTCCCTCCACACTTCCCCGCAAGCCGAGGGAGCCGGCTTCGGCCTCGGCCAGCCCAGAGAAGAGCTCCTACGGTGCAGTGGCGGGCTGAAGGGCTCCTCAAGTGCGGCCAGAGTGGGCGCCAAGGCTGAGCAGGAGCCGAGAGCGAGCCAGGGCTGCGAGGGCTGCCAGCATGCTGTCACCTCTCAAAAGCTTGCACCTGCAGCCTTCAGAGGATTGCTCTGGGGCACCTGAGGCCACCACAGCTGGACGTGCCTGGGTGTTTAGCACCCTCTCCCCTTCCCCCATCCCTGTAGAGTGCAAGGATAGGAAAGTCCAGTGCCTTTGCCTTAAGATGGGAAAAGAATGTCTGTGATGTAATTCACACGCCAGGGCTTTCCATGGTTGAGGCTTTTCAGGCTGAGGCTACGACTTCCCTGAAATCACAGCCTTTCTTGTCTTCTTCCCCTTCCTTGTTCGGGAGGGGCCCACTACTGGCCCACTAACTGTTTGGTTCCTTCATGTAGCATTCCTCTGATGAATACCTTCCCCAGGTATCCTTTGCTCAGGATCTGCTTCTAGGGAATCCAACCTCAGTTGGCTCCTAAGCAAGTTCAGAAGTAGGTAATAGCGACAGCACACATGCTTTTTTTATTTTTAAATTTTAGAGACAGGGTCTTGCTCTGTCACCCAGACTGGAGTGCAGTGGCACCATCATAGCTCACTGCAGCCTCAGATGCCTGGACTCAGGCAATCCTCCTGCCTCCGGAGTAGCTTGGACTACAGGCATGCACAGACATGTCTGGCTAAATTTTTTTTTTTTTTTTTTTTGTAGAGACAGGGTCTTTCTGAGTTGCTTAGGCTGGTCTCAAATTCCTGGCCTCAGGCAATCCTCCAGCCCCAGCCTCCCAAAGTGCTAGGATTACAGACCTGAGCCACTGTGCCCAGCCAGTATGCACACTCTTTAGTTTATATCAGTCATATAGCATGACCACCTGGCCAGGATGGTCAGGTCCCAAGTATCCATGCCAGTGGCTGGAGACAGCGAGGCTGATAATCCCAAGCTATGTAGGAAGTGTATGCTCATGTGCTTGGGCTCGCCCCAGGAATGGCTCTGCGAGGGTTTCTGTGGCTTCCCACCCAGGTCCCACTTTCTGCCTCTTCCTGCCAAAAGTGGACTTGCTTTCCTGTGTCTGCTTTGCTCGGACAAATATGACTGTGAGCTAGCATTCCCTGAGCATGCACTGTCTGATAGCCTGAGTAGAGGCAAAGCTTGCTGAATTACGGAATGTTCAAAGTAATGTAGTCTGGCCTTCTGCTTTTGCTTAGAAACCTGCAGTGCTGCGGGACTCAACCTGGATAGTCCAGAGAGAATCTGCCACAGACAGATAATTGAGAATTCACTGTAAATGCAAACAGGTTCTTAGGACACAGCATTTTTTGCTGGCTCAGACTTCTTGAATAGGAAAGAAAAAAGATATATCTTCTTTCCAGAATACTTGCCTACTCAGGCACAGAGGGTGAGTGGCTCATTTGTTCACCCCCAGGATAAACACCTGCTAAGCATCCATTGTATAGGCTTCTGCTGTTCCGACTGCCCAGCCTCCGCTCACCCAGTGGGATGTTGCTGCTCTCCAGTCTCTCTCTGAAGAAATCCTCTTTCCTCACTCCCTTCCTTGTAGGAGGCCCTGACTCCCCCTCCAGGGGTAGGCGTGTGATCAGGCCTGGCCAATCGGAGTGCTGTATCTCCTAGGCTCTTCCTTCAAGGATGGACACATGACAAATTTGGACCAGTGAGAGTGGCTTTGAGTTTTTGACTCCTGGAGAAACAAAGCTCTAACTTCAACCTGCTGGACATTAATTGGTGAGGATATGGGTCTGGAACGCTGAGCAACCACAGGGAACTGGAGAAGAAACCAAAACATGGAAGAAAGATGCAACAAACAGAAAGACCACGCACGTACTGATGACATTGAGCCCCTGAACCCAGCTGTGCCAGGAGTCAGACCCTGGCATTTTCAGATCTATGAATCAATGCACTTCTTTTCACCTGGGATAGTTTGGTTTCTTTTGTTACTTTTAAACAAAATTGATGCAGAAGTTGATTCCAGGAGTGGAACGTGCAAGTGGCAAGTCACGCGTACGTTGTTGGCTGAGTGGAGTGGAGGTGTCAGGTGGTGAGGACTCACGGACCCTGGCTGAAAGGTTGGAGCTCTTGCTAAACAGAAGTGACCTTCAGTAAGGTCCTATTAAAAAGTGACAAGCTTAGGTTGAAAATGGCTGGTTTGAAAGCAGGTGGCATTTACATTAAGCTTTACTGAGAGAGGCACCTCTTGCCTATGACCTGAAATTCACAGCAGCCAGAAGTATGGAGGAATGCAGCGTTGGAAAGCTAAAGGACCGATTCCAACCTAAAATTAGTGTGCATAAAGGCAGGAAAGCAAGCAACCTGGGGACACACTGATCCCCTAGACCCTTCCCAAGCACCTCCTGTGATGAGCCCCCCACTCAATGCAGGGGATGTGGCTGGAGTCAAGGAGCCAAGTAATCCCCTCCCCTCCTTCAGGCATTGTTTCAAATTGCCTCCTGGAGGTGGAGTCTCAGATGGATGCCGGTAAGCTGTTGGCTGGGGGAAGGGCAGAGCACTGCCCAGGTTGCACATCAAAGTCAATGGCTCAGTGAGGGCTGGGGCTTCAGGTACTAACCCATGGGGAAGGCTAGAAGTGGACACCAACAGCTTGCTAAAGATCTGAGAGAATTATTCTACAAAAGAAACACCAAATCTGCCAAATAACCTAAGATGCCCATCATTTACTTAAGATCTGAGAGAAGTTTTTTACAAGAGAAACACCAAATCCGTCAAATAATCTAAGAAGCCCATCATTTAAGGCAATCAATCCTCAGGTCCCCACTACCCCATCCAGTAGAGAGCTGCTTCCCAGAAGTTGCATCTTCCCTGTCGCCCATCCCAAATGTGGGCTTGGGAGAGACAGTGGGCAAGGGAGCTCTCCTGGAAAATACGCTGAAGGACAAAGAACCTTGCTTCCTGCCAGGTACTGAGAGCACTGCCGCTGTGCTGTGGGCGGGTGCCCTCTGTGCAATTCTCCTTTAATTGAAGTTATTCTGCTCCTCCTCTACCATTCTATGCTGTTGACATTTCAGGGGACAGGGACAGGGTGTTAATTGTATAGGCTGGTGCAAAAGTAATTGTGGTTTTTGCCATTGAAAGTAATGGCAAAACTGCAATTACATTTGCACCAACCAAATATCATCTAGACGATGGTGGCCTGGCCATAAGGGGCCACATTTGGAACTGGCCAAGAAAAAGGCATATTTTGGGGGGCAGAATTATAACGTGTTTAATGCATGAGTTCTGGAAGCCAACTGCTTCCTTCGTTCCCTCACTTTTTCACCTCATACTCGTGTGATCTTGAGCAAGTTACTTCACATCTTTGTGCCTCCATTTTCTGTTCAATAAAAGGGATTAGTAATGATGTTTATGCATTTTGGATTGTCTCTCTTTGGCTGCCATCTTGCTACTGCCTGGGCAGGAGATGGAAGCTGAGTGCAGGGGAGAGGTGGGGTGAGGCAGGAGTGGTTGACATCATGTGAACCCCAGACTCAATTGTGCCTGAATTCGGCCTACGCCTTCTTGGCCACTTTTATGGAGAATACATTTTCTGTGTACTTAAGAGAGTCTGATGGAGTTTTTATGACTTGCAATAAAAAAAAAGGCCAGTTGATATACGAACTGTGTGTGTTAACCACTGTATATACAGCCTTGGCTCTCAGGAGCTCTCAGCCTAGTGGGAAGACAGACACGTAATGCAGCGTGGAGAGAATTGAGATAAGAGAGGTCTAGGGGGCCATGAACACATAGATGGAGAGTCTCTAATATAGATATTGGGATCCTAGAAAGCTTCCTGGAATAGGTAACATCTTGGCTGAGTCCTAAAGGAATGGTCAGAGCCAGCGGAAGAGGGCAGGGGAGAGAGCACACAATCCCAGGTCCATCTCCCAGTCACTGGAGATTTCAAGGATGGGCTGGAAAACCGCTTGCTTGGAATGTTGAATGGAGGATTTATGCCTTGACCAGGAGGTTAAAGCAAATCCTTTCAGTGGAGAATACAGCTCTTGGGCTCTGCTGTGGTTCCTGCCCCAAGGGGACGTTGACCTCTAGGGCCTTATCACAACCTGGCCTTTGGCCTGAGAATGTGTTTTGTTTGGCCCATACCGTATTTCAAATTTTTTGGATTTGTTGTCGATATTTAAAATTGAAACAGTTTACAGAAAAGCTTGAATTTTTGGCTTATCTTGAAAAATCAGGAGGCCTGATTACACTGGACATTACCAATCATGTGGGAATGTAGGCCCTGAAGCATGGTGCTCCTCTTACACAAGACTTGTGCGTTCCTGGGTCCACCCCAGTCCCCACCCCTTCCTCTTGTCTCTCCGTGGGCCCACTTCATCCACTTACTTACCTTCCCTAGTAGGCCTCTGTAGGAATTTGAATTTGTGAACCCCATTTTAGACTAAGGATTCACTGGACATGTATTAGGCTGTATGTGCCAGTGGGTGATGCCCTAGAGGATGAAATCAACCCGAGTGCATGAATGCCCCTCTCTGGTTCCTTTTCCACTGGTGCTGGTGGATGTGGCTTACGTAGGAAGAGCAGACTCTGAGGCTTGGGCTTGGGCACCAGGAGCAGGAGGAGGGGTTGGGGCTTATCTGTTTTTATGGCTTTCCAGGCTGCCTGGTCTAGCAATGGTGCTGTCACATGACAGTGTCCAGCTCTGACCAGAGTTCTGCAGTGGGTTGAGGACAAAACTATGTCTGATAAAAACATATTTCTTTGTCTTGCTTTTCCTCCTTTGTATCCATTCCATCTCTTTAAGGATTCTTCTTGGGGATAGTTTTCAGTTATTCCTGGGTAGCCAGGATGGAGTCCATCATAATAGCATCTTTGTGTGTGTGTGTGTGCGTGTGTGTGTGTGTATTCTTCTTTTAATTTTTTTTTGACATTTGTTCTTTTAATTACAAATTTGGGTTAGATTTAAATGTTATTAATTTAAAGGTGTTTCTCTAAATCCAAAATTAAGGTTGTTTGTAATAGTCTTATACGTGGCATTTCCCCAACTCGACTGAAGTATAATTTATAGACCTATTTTATGTGTGTAGAGCTCAGTGAGTTTTGACAGATGTTTTCCCTTATGTAACCACCACCACAATCAAGATATAAACATTTCCATTACCCCCTGGCTTCCCTGGTACTCAGTCCTACTCAATCTCCCCACGACTCATGGTCCCAGGCAATCACTGATGTACTTTCTTGTCGCTATAGATTAGATTTCTCTTTTCTAGAGTTTTATATAAATGAAATCATATAATATATACTCTTTTGTGTCTGTCTTCTTTTACTTGGTGTATTTTTTTTTTGAAATTCATCCATTTTGTTGCATTTAGTAGTTTGTTCCTTTTTCTCCTGAGTAATATTCCATTGATTGTATAGCTATGCTAGGATTTATTTATCCATTCACCTGCTATTGATGGGCATTGGGGTTGCTTCCAGCTGGGGGTATTACAAATAAACTCGCTATGAACATTCATGTATGAGTCTTTATGTAGACATATGTTTTCGCGTCTCTCGGGTAAATATTGAGCAGTGGAATCGTTAGGTCTTAAGAGAAGTGTTATGTTTAACATTTTAAGAATGGGCCTATTTTGCCAAAGTGGTTTTTGCACCATTTTCTGCTCCCTCCAGCAATGTAGGAGAGTCCACCTAAAGGAGCCATGCAGGACGTACACAGTGCTCCCCATCCTTGCCAACATTTGTAATTTCATTCTTTAAAATTTTAGCCCATCTAATGAGTGGGTAGTGGCATCTAATTGTACTTTTAATTTGCATTTCCCTGATGACTAAAGATGTTGAACGTCTTTTCATGTACTTATTGGCCATTTGTATATCTTTTTGTGCATCATAGCATCTTAATACCAACTCTCCCAACTTCTAAGAGTCAATAGAAGATTATACAGAAAATTAATACACAGTCTAGCAAGTCAGTTCTATGAAAAGGACTGATAAAAAGCTGCCAGAGAGCTCACATCCAATCTCTGAGCTGAATGTGGAATGCTGGGATTCTGTCATTTTTTCCAGAACTAGGCAGCTGGGGAAAGTGACAGGCAGGATTCAGACCTGTTCGTGTGATGCAAATGGTTCAGGGTGTGGCTGGAGGCTGCCTCCCCTGCAGGCCAGGTACCTGTGGGGTGGAGGCTTGATAGAGTGGCAGACCTGGAGATGCATCTCCTTTCATTAGGTTTGCTTGCTCCTGGGTATAAGTTCTGAGCCTGCCTGGGTATAAGCCTTTCTCCTGGGTATAAGTTCTGAACCTGCCTAAGTCCACTGAAGCCAACTTTGCCCTTGGCAGCAGACTCAGTATAAAACAGGTCCTGACCTTCTGTCTCCCCATTGTGGTGGGAGTGGGGCTGAGGTACACAAACATGCCCAGATCTCTCTGCTGACTGTGGCCCCATGCAGCGGGGAAGTGGGAGAAGAGGGCGCATGAACTGATGGTTGGACCAAGTTGAGCGAGGTTTCTGCCGTTGGGTGTGGAGACATAACCTTGACATCACTCAGCCTGCCGGCATCATGGCTTTAACTCAGTCTGCATGACCTGTTTGACCTGAACTGATCAGCTCCAGCAATTGACCAGTCTGCTGCATCTGAAAACTGCTTTGATTGATTTTTTTTCAATGACTAGGACTTTTGTCTGACTGCATCAATGAAAGTGAAATTTGGCTTCAGGAAGACTCAACTTAAGTGTGGAATGTCTTGTTCCCTTTGTCAGATTGGCTTATCTTCTACTCCAAGAGCTCACAGATTTGTCATACGCGTCAAAGTGCTGGAGTCTTCTGCCACTAATTGGCTGTATTCTCAACATGACACAATCAAAACGGTGTTGGTTTTGGGATGTTCTGAAACCTAGGCTTAGTCACAGTTCTGTCTATAAGCTGTGTGACCTTGGGCAAGTCACTCTTTAGACCTCAGCTTCCTCTGTAACATGAGGGCAGTAAAATTTACCCGACGGTATTGTTTTGATGATTAAATTTGACAACGGACGTAAGATTGAGGTGTGCTTGTCATTTTTAATGGCACTGGGTTTCAAGCCTCTGTCTCTGAAAATGGAGTAGGCTGGACTGGGTCACCTCCCAGGCCTCAGCCTTCTCATTCCTGTATGACTCTGGGGAACAGAGCTATGTTTTTATCCAAATCACAGAGTAACTTTTCTTCACAGCATGCTACTGAGTCTCAAGAGGGGAGGACACACTATGGTATGTAACCCCCAAAATCCAGATTTCTATAAGTAAGAAGAAATTTGAGCCTTAATGATAGCCAATTTAACACCTACAAAGTGCTACCCCTGGGCTAAACTACTTTCTTCTTCCTGCCACCTCTTCAGGCAGCAGCAACATCAAATGGATCTATTTGCTCAAGCAAATCCCCTATCAAGACAAAGGCAAGTCTTGGATTCAGTGGTTGCCTCTGTCACAAGGAAGTACCTTGTGGTGCCTCAGTTTCCCTTTCATATCAGGAATTCTTCAGGCCTTGCTCATTCCCTCCCAGGTGGCAGAGCTGTGAGTTATCCTCTCCAGTGCCCTCTGAAGCCCTCCAATGGGAGTTGGCAGGATGAGTGGCAAGAATTATTAATTAGTGAAAATATGTGTAATCACATAATTGGAGTGTATAATTGATGCTTCACTGCTGCAGGCAGAAATGGAGGGATGCAGAGATGAAAGCCAGGAAGAAGGAGGCTGCCATAGATCCCAACTGCTGTAAATGCAGGAGAAATGCAAAGAGTTTAGCACTCCTGGTACCCTGCAAAACGTGGATGGAATAAAGGTCATGTGCTGGGGAACAAAACAGCACAAATAAACAGCGGATGAACAGGACCTTAGTACTCGTAGCCGACACAAATAAAGCTGCTTTCCCCAGGAGACCGCTTTGTGCCCACATTTTGAGGCTGCTGTGTATTTCTCTCTCTCTCTCTTTTTTTTTTTCAACAGCAGCATCAGATTTCTAATGAAAGAGCTCAGCCGATCATCATCGCTGCAGTAGCAGAAAAGAGATGATAACAATCTCACATGTAGCCCGGCTTCCTGAGCTGCCCCCTTGGATTTGCATATCTTTGAGTCCTCAGTGCTCTCTCAGCACCCAAGCAGAGCTTCCATTCCCTCTCTGGTCCCAAGGTCCTGGGTTTTTATACATAAGTCGTGACATCTGGGATCTATTTGTTTCAGGGCTCATTTGTTGGAAGAGGAGGAATAAGGTAGTGACTGAAGAGTGTCTTCTCAGTATATTGCACTCAGATTTTCCTCTACCTGATTGAGGATGTGGAAGGAGGGTAATCGGGGGATGGGAAGCTGAGGCAGGATGGAACAGAAAACAGGTGTGGGTGATTCTTGGAAGGGGGATACAATAATAACAACAACAATAACAACAGCAAACACTCCCATCTGCTGACTGTTGAGACCAATGTCAGGCTCTGTGCTGGAGGTGCGTGGTCTGCACAGCTCATAGAGTTGTCACACACCTCTGTGCTCTGTGAGGCGGGTGCTGGAATTATCCTCATTTTATAGTGAAGGAAATGAAGCCAAGGGAAGAGAAGTCACTTGCCCAAGGTCACCCGGCTGATAGATGATGGAGCCAGGCCTCCAATCCAGGTCTTCCTCCAAAGCCCACGTTCTGTAACCCACCGGCTCTGCTCATCCTGGCACATGGTATTATCAGTTCTGCTGCCACCGCCACTGCCACTGTAGCCACCTCCACCTGTGTTTGTGCTTCCTGCATGAGCTCCTACCAACCCCATAGGCTTGTTGTCAGGATCAAGTGAGCTGATACTTATTAAGTATCTTGAACAGTAGTTGGTCCTTTATAAGCATGCAATGAATGCTAGTTGTTATTTTTTCCTAACATGCTGTTATTATTTATCTGTGGCAAAACTCTGCTGGGTGCTTCAGAACCATACAGGCGAAACAGACGAGTCCTCACCCTCCTGGGATCTTACATTGGGAGAGAGGACAGACACAGAAAGAGAAGAAAATGTCATGTTTGATACGCATCAACTGCATGGCTCACAGTAAAGTCCAGCATGAGGAGTGACCGACCCTGCTTGAGTTGAAGGAGGGCTCCATGGAAGAGGTGAGGTATGACCTAAGGCTGAAGCAAAGGCTGAGTTTTTAAAGTTTAAGATGCAGTGTGTGAGGCCAAAGCACAGATGGAAATCATGACCAGAATGTCAGTGTCTCCCTCTACTCTGCACCAGGCACTATTCCAGGTACTGAGGATGCAGCAGTTACAGCAGCTTTGTAGAAGAGTGCCTGGTACAGAGTAGAGTCTGAAAAGCCATATGTTGAAAGAATAAATAAGAAAAAGGAATGTTAATAGGAAATTGTGATGGGATAAGATCAGCAGACTGATTTGGCCAGAGTAGAGAGTGGGTGGTGGGGACTGAAGGAGAGAAGGGGGAAGCAGCATTTAAGCAAATATTGAAGAATAAATCAGATTTGGCAGGTGTATAGAGATGAAGGAACTGCATTAGGCCTGACGTGGCTTCGGACGAATGCCTGGAACAACCGGTGGGAAGTTCAAGATGTTCCAACCTGGTATGTTTTTCCCACCCTTGACACCTGGAATAGGAGGTGGAAGGGGAGTAGGAGCCTGCTTCAGAGCAGAGCTCAGTTCCCCAGGCTGGTCTGGAGCACAGAAATAGCAACGGCAGCAAGTGGACACCTGGTTCCCTTACCCTGCATCCCATCAGCACACATGTCCCCGTCACGACGTGCAGTCCACAACATTCATCTGCTTCGGTTGATGGCAGCATCTCCACCTTGCCACAGGCTGGTCTTAGCTAACTCCTTGCACTGACTGCTTGGCATCTTTAGTCTAAGCAACTGCTCAGTGGACTCAGTGTTCCTGCTTTCTGATAGCCTGCTGGGAATTGTGCAAGAATGGTCTGTGCATTTGTCAGTAAGTGTTAGAACTCCTCATGTGTATCCCCGGCTCCCAAGTTGGACCTTTTGCTCTTGGAGGAGGAGGGTCTGTTCTCCATTTTCTCTGCTAGTTCTCTGCAGCAGGCCTGAAATAAGTGATACTGAGCAATTGATTGGAAAAAAGAAAGTTCCTGTGGTTACGGTGCACCCAAGCTAATGCTTTCAAATTGAGTGTGGGTAAACTTGGAGAGTGTGGGTTAGACTCGGAGCAGAATCATCTATGAGTTGATCCCAGTGACACATATAGAAGATTAAATGTTGGGGTAAGGAGTGATAAAAGTGGAAAACATAGTGACATTTTCCTATTACTTTCTCAGATGAGACTTTGTCTTAGGAGGTTGTATGGGGGTAGAAGTAAGAAAATTATTTGAAGCTGACAGATCTGAATTTAGTGTCTGTTACTTACAAGTTGATTGATTTCTGCAAAATTCCTTTAACCCAGTGGTTTTCAGCTGGAGGTGATTTCACACTCAGAAGGCATTTGGCAATGTCTGCAGACATATTTAGTAGTCACAACTGTGTGTGTGTGTTGTGGGGGGGGGGGTAGTTACTGCTGTCATCAAGTGGGTAGAGGTCAGGAATGCTGCTAAACGTCCTACAAGGCATAGCCAGCGCCTGCTCAACAAAGAATCATCTGAACCAACATGTCAGCTAACGTTGAGAAGCCCTGCTGAGCATATTGAGCCTCTGTTTCCTCATCTGTAAATTGGGGTGAAGAGCAGCAAGCTAGAAGGATTAAATGTAGTAGGGGTGATCCCTGGAACATCGTAGACCCTCCACACAGTTCCTTTTGGTCCCCTCTCAAGGCACTTCTTCTTTCTGGGTGTGGAGAAGTTGGGGAGAATTCAAAAGTATTGCCAAGCTAATTACAGGGCAGAGAGTCACGTTCTGAAGGAACATGAAAAGTACTGGGATTCTTTAGCCTGAAGAAGAAAGGTGGCTTAAAGGTGATTTAATAATAGTGTGAAAGCCTAGGAAGGGTTATTATTTAGGGGAAGATAATCCACTGCTCTCCATCTTCACTGAGGAATGAAAATGAGCCCTGAGCAGGGTGGAATTGGGCTGGATATGAGGCAGGACTTCCTGCCTGTGGAGGTCCTCTGAAGAAAGAGGCTTGATGGCTTTATGTGTGTGGGAGGAGCTGTGGGCATGGCAGAGGCTGGTGTGTGTAGGGAAGCACAATGCTGAGGACAGCTCTGTCTCTGCCCTTAAGGAATTCATAGATTAGTCTGGGGTATATGGGGAGTGATGCAAATGCCACAGGCAAAGGGCTCCAGGAGGCCAAAGGTTTAGGGGATAAGAGAAGGAAGAGGAGGAGAGGCAGGATTTGAAATGGATCCTGAAGATATGTCAGATGTGGGCAGATGAAGAGCAGAACCAAGAGGCAGGGGAGGTAGGCGGGAGATGGGAAGATGTGGCTGTGTTGGAGGATCAGTGGTGAACCCTCCAGGAGATCTGGGCCAGATCATGGGTGCCCGGGGATGCCAGGTGAGGGGTTGTCCTGTGTTCAAAGGGGCAGGGGTCTGGGCAGGAGAACGCTTTCTGGAAGCTGTGTAGTTTGGGCTGGAGGCAGCCTGTGGGGCAGGAAGGGCGCTGAGAACTGCGGCCTGAAGACTTAAGTCACAAGAGAGAGGTGATGAGTGTGGCAGCAGCTGGCAGGGTGCGGGTACATCCTCTCTGGGGCCTGATTTCCTGGGTGGGACTCTGGTCTTTGGTAGGCAGGTTGCTCCAGGTAGGCAGATTGGCTCCAAGCGGGGCCACCCGCTGCTCGCAGCACCCTGGAGCCCATCCCGAGTGTGGGGTCCCTTCCTCTCCACTCTGGAAACCTGGGGCACAGCTGGCCGCCCTGATGCCACCGACGGCTCTGCTGCTGCAGGGACTCTGCTTGTGGGGGTGTGCGAGGCCCACTCCGGCTGCCCTGGGTACCTGTTCTCCCTTGGTGTTTCCTCTGTGCTTCCTGCCGTTGCCTGTCTGGTGCCGAAGCCGGCTGGGCTGCCCCCCTCAGTGGTGATGCTGGTGGAAAGGGGGTGTAGGAGTAAAGGCAGGAGCCGGGGGGTGGGGCCTGGGGACGCAGAACTATCTAGGCTTAGTAGGGCTGCTGACAAAGTCCCCCATCTTTGCCTGCCACATCTGTCTCTGAGTCTACACAGACCCCTCCGCCACTGATAGTGCCAAGCCCCTCCAGGGCTGCTCCTGCACCCCCCAGCCTCCGGCAACAGGCAAAACAGACTGCTCTGAGCAGTGGCTGCTGCTCCCCGGGGTCCATCCGAGCACCGGCAGCAGCACAACTTGGCAGCCGGCACAGCCCCGGGCAGGAAGCTCCTGCAGGGGGACTCCGCGGAGGCCTGGGTGAGAGGGGAGGGGCTGCAGTGAAAGGCCTGTGAGTTAGGGTGGCCCTAAGGGAGGACTTTCTGGCCCTACATGGAAGTTGGTGCAGTGCAGCGTCCCCACCACCAGACGGTGCATGGGCGCCTCCTAGGGACCTTGGCAAACACAGATATTCCCAGGCCCAGCCACACCTGCCGAGTCAGGATTTGGGGGCATTGGGCAGAGCTCCACCTACCCTCATGTCCAGGAGGCCAAGCCCTTTGTCCCCTCAGAGGACACCCGTTCAGAGGCACTCTTCTCTGACATGGGACAGCAGCTGCGGACGGTTGCTGGAGGCAGTCTGATGCGCCTCCGCGTTAGGAAGATTGGGGTTTGTTCCGGGTCTGTGATATTAGTTCTGGGACTATTGTCAAGGTGCAAAACTGTACCGAGCTTCATTTTCTTTATGTGTAAATGAAGCTGTCAGTACCTATTCTACAGGATTACTTTGAGGATCAGTGAAATAGTGTAGTGTCTCTACATGGTTGGTTTTTAACAATTAATATTCTTTCCTTTTCCGTGCCCCAGGGCCAGGACTCCAGTGAGCCCAACCTGGTGTTTTCCAGTGTTTTCAGGAGGCATTCATTCTCAGGGGCCCACCTGGGCTTGTGGAAGCCCGAGAGTGTGTATCTCCTTGAATTTTGCACCCTGGATGCCTTCCTTGCTCACCCTGGACCCAGCCCTGCCCTGCTTTTGAGCAATTTGTATTCTTGGTTTAACAAAGTGTGGAGAGGACCCTCAAGGATCTCAGAACCTACTGGATGAGGCAGGAAAATAAAAAGACACAGAGTGTGCTGTGTGATCAGCAGAGATGAAGGTAAGTCTGGGAGGATGGGGACCTGGGGCAGCCTCTAGCCCCGACAGGGGAGGGGGCCAAGATGATCAAATTAAGGGAGACAGGGAGGGGGCTGAGAAGGTGACAGCAGAGCCAAGATGAGCAGATGAACCAGCATGAGTTAACTAGCATCACAGACTCTCCTGTAATGGGATCCCAGCCCGGTTAATCTCCACCATGGGGAGGACATTTGGCCTGTGCCCACTCTGAAAGCCTACGGTTATGCCTATAGGATGCCAACCACTTGCACAGAGAGCACAAAGCTCACCAGATGCTTCCAAGGCTCAGAGGGCTGGCCTCACACTGGTGCTGGCCCACATTAGCTAGCACGCGGCAGTCCCCGGGGGGTCTGGGAAGATCCCCACCGAGGGGCAAATTCCCCTAGTCACCCTACAGCAAGCCCATTAACTTCTTGTTCCTCGGGGAGTGAAGGCACTGTGATTGTGAGTCATGCCACTCCCCAATTATTTTGAAAGAAAGCTTCCTTAGTGAAGGAGGAGAATTACAGAGCAGCGCCAGCGTTGGGGAAACATGCTCAACTTCCAGCAGTCATTCCCGCTCGCCTCCTTTCTCTTTGCTCGAGGTGCGTATGACAAGAGCTTCCAAACAGCTTAAGCACAGGAAACTCTGGGAGTGTGTGTGTCTATATCTGAGCGACTTTCATCTCTCCATAGGTTCAGTCTGTCTGCAAAGCCTCCCTTGTCAGCAGCTGGCGAGGCAGCTCAACAATAGAATGATGCTTGTTTCACCGCTTCCAACTGAGCTCCCTCGCCAAGCTCTCTCCCTCCAGCACAGAGAGGTGCATCTGCAATAGACCTGAGGGCTGGTGGTGGGGTCTTCAGCAATGTTTTTTCCAGCTTGATGCTCAGCCCAGAAAGAGCCTTTCCTCTCCACCTGCTGCCACAGAGCCCACCACCACCTCTGGCTGCTGCCTTGTAGAAATTCCAGCTAGCTCCAGTGGAAATCTCTGGGCTGGTGATAAATGCACAGTGGGGCAAGGCTGCCTGGGGATGGGGAGATTGTAGAAAATGACTTCTGGAGTCCTCTCCAGACTTCCATCATTAGGACAATTGTTCTCAGGGGCTTTGAAGTCTCTTGCTGTTTTGCGCCATTTTCTTTCTATAGTAATGGTCAGATTCTTCAGGGCTAGAAAGAGTTTGAAGGCCATCTGGTCCACTCTCATTTCTCTCCCCTCCAATGCCTTCTTCTCTCCCCTTTCCATGTTTAAATCTCCTCTACAAGTTGGGCAACGTTTCACTTATACCCTTACAGCTACAGGATGCTCAGAGGGTCTCAAGGTCCCTGGCTTTTCTTCTGTTGAGCTGGAGTCTGTCCACATTGGGTTGATAACAACTGGCTCTGCTTTTACCCCATGGAGCAACAGGATGGAGTCTCAGCTCTCCCCTCCACGACAGCCTGGCTCCTGCTGAAAGGCGACTAGCATGAAACCCCGAGGCTTCTCCTCCAGGAGAACAAGGCTGACTTCCTTGAACTCCTCCTCACATGCACAGTTTTAAGTCCGTTTGACTGGAAACGAACATTTGAAATCCATCTCGATTCAGACTTCCTCCTTCTGAGGGATTTAGTAGACAATATGACAGCTCCGAGTCCAGCATGTGGGTTTATAAAGGTGACATCATAGCTGCTGCCCCCAAAGTATGTCATTTAGCGCTGAAAGCCTTGTCTGGCTGGTGGTGTTCAGACCCATGGGAGTCAGTCAGCTGCTGGAGCACTCACTGCCCAGAATCCCAGGCTTCGAGGGAGGTACGAAGGAAGAGGAGGCCTGAGCCGGCTCGTGTGGGGCCCTCAGATTAAGGCAGGCTGGAAGAAACACCAGAAAGAGACTTAATGACATTCATAAAGGAGCCCAGAGGGCTGCAGTGAAGCATGTGCAGATGCTGGGGCCTGCCCAGGTAGCCTGTGCAGAGGCTTCCAGAGAAAGCTGGGTCAACTTGCAAGAGAAAGTGGAGAGCAAGAGGAGGAAGAGCTTCCTAATGGCAGAGGTGGAAGCCAGAGATTCAGTAGTGTGAAGGACGCTGAAAAGGCAGAAGGGGTGAAAAGGCTGCGTATGTGTGGGCGGGGTGGGGTTAATAGAAAATTAGAGGGGTGAGGTGGAGAACTTATCGGGACTGAACGTGTAGGGCAGGCTTTTCCAGAGGAGGAGATGAGACTTGTGCCTAGAAAAACATATTATTAGGAAGAACACTCCCTTTTAGTTTGTCTTTTTTTTTTTTTTTTTTGCTTTTTGTGGATAAAAGAGTCTCACTATGTTGCCCAGGCAAGTTTCAAACTCCTGGGCTCAATCTATCCCCCCACCTCTGCCTTTCTAAATGCTGGGATTACAGGCATGAGCCACCGGACCTTTTGTCTTCCAAATGGGACACTGCTGAATCCCCAGGGACATTGTCCTCAAAAGACAGTAAGCCACTGAGGTGTGAGCTTGGTGGAGTCCACCCTGCATTCTGGGTTCTTTGTCCTCCAGTGTGTACAGATATGTCTGGCCACCAGCACTTTCACCGATGCCAAGATGAGAAATGTTTTCAAGGGTTCCCAGACAGCCTTACCAGGAAATCACTGTTGGCAGGAGAATCAACCAGTCTTTTCAGGTTACAGTGGCTGCTAGGGAAGAATTACAGGCCAGGAGAGGCCTCCGCTTGGGCCACCTTTTTGCTGATGAAGTGGCAGCAGACCAAGCTACCTTCACTCCATGGAAATACAACGCACACCTGTTGGCTCTCAGGTCCTTTCCAGAGAGATCAGCTCTTTGGGGAGCTGCATCCCAGCACGAGAGCATTCCAATTCCTTCCCTCCACCTCTGTGCCCGATTTCCAATTTGTTGGTTTTTTCCATTTCATTTCCCTCCTGTTCACCTTTCCTCCCTGCGGGATCATTTGGGGCTTTGATTTCCTTTTGTCAGAGTGAGCATTTCCTTCCTATTACACCGTCCCTCTCTGCCCCTACTCCCATGACTTTGTTTAATTCAGCTGCTTTCTGCACCTGGCTCTGCCTCACAGCCACGGGGAGGGAAGGATTACAGCCAGAAAGCGCGCTTCACCTCCCCGCACATGACACTCGTCTCTGCTAATAACAGGAAGAAATGAGCTTTAATGACTGACACCGCTGTGCCTGGACTGGGGACTTGGAGAAGGCAGTCCCTGGTGGTCTGCCCAGTATCTTGGCAGCAGGATGCTGGGAGAGCCCCAGAAGCCCTGGCTGCTGGAGGTCCCAGCCTCTCTCCCTTTGCCTCCAGGAAGGATAGCCCCACAGCCACTTGACATACTTGACATGGATGAAGGGTGTGGGGGTTGGGGGGGAGGAGGAGAGAAGTGGTAGCCTCTCTAAGAACTGCAGAAAAGGAAATCCTATGATCTGACTTCCATGCTACCAGTTCTGGGACCCTCCTGTGGGAATTAATTGCTCTAACCTAAACTTTGCCCACTGTAGTTTTAAATGAGTTTGCCCTCAGATGTGAGTAATCTGGCCGTCTTATCTTTCACTCCACTGACCTCCAGGGTTGGCCTGACAGGTCAGGTGGGGGGTCCTTATCTCCTTCCTCACTTTATCCATCTCACTCAGGTCTTCGGTTCAGGCTCCACAACTGATTGATGCTGTTTTCCTGTTAGTATCTCTTTTTCATCATGCACGATCCTCCATAGTGATGGAATGGAGACAGCTTCTCAGAGAAAGCACAGCTTTGGAAGGTAAGTGCCGTTTGGATGGTGAGACCATCAGATCAATTTAACTAGGCCAAGACTCTGATCAATGTTCTTAAACCTATGTAACCCACTGCCACAGAGATTTCAAAGTGAGGAAGGGTCCTGGACGCCCATTCATCCATTCTCAATGAATTATTCATTTGACCAGCACTTTCTGACTTTCTAGCTTCAGCCAGACACCGTACAAGGGACAGGGGAGACTGAGATGAAGAACACTCGGTGCTTCTTCCCAAGGCACTCGCAATCTCGGAGAAGACAGATGTGTACTCACACAGATGCATATGCTACAGCACTGTGTGATGATGCTATACATGCACAAAGTGACCGGGAACAGAGCGGCCGTCCCTGGCGACTCAGGGGAGGCATCACACGAGAGATGACTTTAGAACCGGGCCTTTAAAGGAAACACAGGATCTCTGCAGCAGTCAAGAAGGGGAAGAGAAGACTTGGTGTTAAAAAATCATGGGTTCAGGACATACTGCCCCACAATATGGCACTTTGGCATGTTGAATATTTTAAGCTAGAGGAATTTGAGAAAACAGCAGAAGCAGGAAGGTCCCCTGAGGCGGTCCCCTGAAGTGGTCATAAACTTTGGGAAGGACTCTGACCTTCTGAAGCAGGTCATAAGACCCTCGTGTGAGAGTTGCCCTTCCTGTAGCTGGAGGAAAGGGGCATCCTTATCTCTCAAGACAAAAGGAGACAGAGAGGAATCCAGAAAAACAAGCCTTGCTAAGCTTCCCCAGTTCACCACACTTACATTGTACTCTCTGCCCTGTGATATTTCTCCATGACTTTCCCCTCCTTATCAAACCTATTATTAAAAACACTCCCATTTAACTGTTTCTTCAGATCCTCATTTCCTTATGAAGGCTCTCTCGTCACATAAAACTTGTATTAAATAAATTTGTAAGCTTTTTCTCTTGTTAATCTGTCTTTTGTTACAGAGGCCCCAGTCATAAATGTAGGAGGTATATTAGTCTGATCTCACACTGCTAATAAAGACAGAGTAATTTATAAAGAAAAAGAAGTTTAATGGGCTCATAGTTTTACATGGCTGAGGAGGCCTTACAATCATGGCGGAAGGCAAAGAAGGAGCAAATATACATCTTACATGGCTGCAGACAAGAGAGAGTGAGAGCCAAGAGAAAGGGGAAACCACTTATAAAACCATCAGATCTCATAAGACTTATTCGCTACCACAGAACAGTGGAAACTGTCCCCATGATTCAATTATCTCCCACCAGGTCCCTCTCTCAACATGTAGGAATTATGGGAACTACAATTCAAGATGAGATTTGGGTGGGGACACAGCCAAACCATATCAGGAGGATAGAAGGAAAAGATGTTTTTTCCTCCCCTAAAATAGTTTAGGGCAGCAAGTCAATTTCAATCACTTTTCATCGTGTTTACCTCAATGCAAAGAGATCCATGTGTGAAAGGTTTATGAAATTACAAAATATGTCATTAATTCTTTCAATCAGGTGATAAATGTCTTCAACATACCCAGCTCTGTGCTCTGGGTGTCTTGCATGTGACATTAGCTGCTATTCGTAAAAACTGGGGGCGTCAGGCCACACAGAAAGCCCACGTCATTTATATCTGGAGTCAGGCAAGCCGTCCACCCCTCACTGAGGCTGATGCAGAAATCTTCCAGGAAAGGGCTCTGCTTATTTTCTGAGTCTCAAATTCCCAGGGGTACCAACTGTGTTCTAGCTCAAGTTTTAGAGACAAGGAGAACATAAATCCATCCAACTATGGGGCCAGGGGAGTTCTGATTTTGGTGTTTGCTCTTTAATCAATAGCATTATGCTTTTCTATGGAAAGGTCTTAATTTGATACTTTCCCAGAGGAGTCATTGGTTTGACGTGGACATATCACAAACTTCCTGACTACCATGGAGACAGGGCCGGCTTCCCAAAGGAATGGTGATTCTGCTTTCTTTACTTTTCCTTTGTATCAAAAGCCAGGAATGAGCTTGGTTTTCATCATAGCTTCAAAGGTAAGAGCTGGAACAGACCCTGGTTAGTTCACCCTTCTACCCCTGGAAAGACCACACAAGGCTCTTGATAGGCCACCATAGCCAGGCAGAAATAGTTTCTACTGCCAAAGAGAATCCGTGATTTTCTTGTCAGAAGAGTCTGAAATATCACCCTTGGTTAAATTTCAATAATTCAAGCTGCAATTTGGGTTGTTCCTTCACATTCAGACCTGGCAGACCCATCATTGAGGAGTTAGAAAGACAGCTCCCAAGGCTAGGGAGGGTGTTCTGGGCGGGGTGGTTGTTACCTGCTGGCATCGTTGCTGAAGAGCGGAGTCCGCATTCTCAAGCTGCAGCTCAAAGAGAAATGGCTGCGTGGTGTTCATTCAGCTATCTTTACCAACGACCTCTTCCCTGAGAGGCCTTCCCTGATTACATACCCACGGTGTCCTCAATCCTACTGACCTGTTTTATTTTCTTCATAGCACTGTGATATGGTTTGGATGTTTGTCCCACCCAAATCTCATGTTGAAATGTGATCCTCAGTGTAGGAGGTGGGGCCTGGTGGGAGGTGTTTGGGTCGTGGGGGGCAGATCTCTCATGGCTTGGTGCTGTCCTGTGAGATCTGGTTGTTTACAAGAGTGTGGTACCTCCCTGAATCCCCTTGCTCCCACTGTCCTCCATGTGATACATGGGGTCCCCCTTTGCCTTTCACCATGATTGAAAGCTCCCTGAGGCCTCCCCAGAAGCTAGACAGATGCTGGCACCATGATGTACAGCCTGCAGAACCATGAGCCAAATAAACCTCTTTTCCTTATAAATTATTCAGCCTCAGGTATTTCTTTATAGCAATGCAAGAATGGCCTAACGCATGCTGCTAGCTAAAATCATTTTATCAATATCCATTTTCCCCACTGGAATGTCAGCTCCGCTAGGGCAGCAACACTGCTTTGTTTGTTGTGAATGAACAGTTGATGACAGAATATGAAAAGCCTTTGCCTAGACTCTGAAGTATAAACTAGATACATATTTTCCTGAACTCATAGTTACAAGACCAAGTCCTAGTCATTTCTAACATGTTTTAGTTGAACCTTTGATCTCACCAAGCCTTGTTTTCTCATCTGTGAAATGCAACCCTACTTTACAGGGTTACTGTGAGGATTACACAAGATAATATATGTGGAAAACCCTTCCTACATTCTAAAAACTATGTAGACATAAAGTGTAGCAGGTATCTCATATTTATCTGTTCATCGTTTTTTCCACTGAGGATCCACCAGTCCCCAGCGTTCTATTTGGCCTGTCAATCACAACATCAGACCACAGAGACAGGCATGTGACCCAGGCCTGGACAGTCCTCCCCTCCCTTGGGACAGTGATTGGTCCAAGAACCGAGCACATGATCCAAATAAGGCCAACTAGAGTTTTCCCTGAAATATATATTAATGCTAAGAGAACACAAATCTATGAATTGAGTTGAAAGCCATGTTCCCTGTCACAAGGGAGGAGAAAAACAGCCCTTCTGCAGGTGAAGCAGAGAAACAAACAGAAATGAGATGAGAAATCAATTTCTGATGGTCTCAAGTCCTAGTTATAGCTCCTGGTTATTGAATACCTGAAGGTCTTTCTTGACTCTCCAAACACTTAGTTTTTTTCCGCACTGTGTAAGCCAACATTTTCTTAATTGGTTTGAGCTGGTTTTTAGTCCTATGCAACTGAAAAGTTATTCCAGGTCATTCACGTATGTGTTCATTTATTAATTTAGTCATTAATATATCTAGCCAAGATTTATTAAACGTGGGACGCCTTTGTTGTATAATAAAGAATTTAACTGACTCTTGGTCCCCGGGAATAAGCTTCGAAACCCTTGCGATTTCCTGAGTGATAGAAGTGTCTTTGTTATTCGTGTGGGCCCTTGGAACACACCTGAGTTTCTGCTAAGGAGATGACTCAAGATGAGGCTGGTCATGCCAGAAAGGCCAACTGTGTGTTTACAGGGTTGGAGCTTTCAGCCAGGTGATATCAGCTTGACCTCCTCCAGGCAGGGGAGCTGAGATTAATTTCAGTCACATGGTCAATGATTCAATCAATCATGCCTATGTAATGAAACCCCAGCAAAAACTCTGGGCGCCAAAACTCAGTGGAGCTTCCTGGTTGGTGAACACATCAGTGTGTTGGTGATGTGTCCTGATTCCATGAGGAAAGGACATGGAAGTTTGCATTTGCCCTGTGTGTCTCTTCCTTTGGCTGGTCCTGATTTGCATCTTTCATAAGGAAACTGTGATTTTAAGTATGCTGCTTTCCAGAGCTCTGTGACTCAACCTAGTGAATCCTAAAACCCGAGGAGGTTGGGGGAACTCCTGAATTTGTAGCCAGTTGGTGAGAAGTGCAGGTGGCCTGGGGATCCCTAAGCTTGCAGTTGGCATCTGAAGTGAAGGCAGTCTTGATGGGGACTGAACCCTTAGTCTATGGAGTCTGCGTCAAGTAGTTAGTGCTAGAATTGCATTACAGTATTGTAGCCATGATATATATGATTCAGTCATTCCACTCTAGGTATTTATTTACCAAAGAGAAAGGGAAACAGGGTTTTTCATCAGGTGAAAGACTTGTAGAAGGATGCTCACAGCAGCATAATTTTAATAGTCCAAATGTGAAAACAGCCCAAAATAGGTGAATAGATGAATAAATTATGGTATATGCAATCAATAGAACACCATACATTAATAAAAAGGAATTAATAAAACATGCAGTAACACTGATGAATCTCAAAATAACTATGCTGAGTGAAAGAAACCACACACAAAAGACACATATGTACTATAAAAGATACAAATGAACCATATGTTTTCATTTATATGAAACTCTAGGAAACACAAAGTGATCTATAGTGGCAGACAACAGATCAGTGGTTGCCAGCAGAGGAGGGGTTGGGAGGGGTGGGAGGGATGGCACCAGTGGAGAAGAGGGCAACTTTTTAGGGGTGGTGATGATGTTCACTATTTTGGTTGTGGTGATAGTTTCACAGGTGTATATAAATGTCAAATCTTATCAAACTATACATTTTAAATATGTGCAGTTTATTGTATGCCAATCATACCTCAATAAAACTGTTACACATAACACCATGGTAGGTCCTCTGAAAGGGCTGGAAGGTTTCCTCCAATATCTCACCAGTAACTCAGACACATTATATCCAAAATGGAGTTTCTTTTCTGCCCTACCTCCAATTTGCTTTTGCTCCTGAAATTTCCTCTCCAGTTTAGGGAACAACCATCTACCCAGAACCCAGAAAACTGAGAGGCATCCTGGACTTTTTACTCTTTTTCCACCAACAGCCAATTGGAAATTAAGTTCTGGTGATTCTCTTTCCTCAACATCTCTTAATCCAGCCTCTCCTCTCGAGCCTAGTTTAGGTCATTATTTCCCCAAATTTAAACTCTTGCAATAGCCTCCTGACTACTGATTTATCAGCTTCCAGATGAATTGCCCCCCACCAGCTCCCATCCTCCCTTTTAACCCCTGCCCATAGTATCCATCCTTTATGCTTTTATCAAAGGCAAACCTTTGTAGAACCCATGTATGATCTCAGAGTTGCCTTAATACACATTGTTTTCTTCCAGATATAAAATAAAAACTAAAATATTCTCTTTTCTCTTTGTCTAAATAATCCCTTCCCTGAACATTTATTCTTTTTTGAGGTAGGAGTCTTGCTATGTTGCCCAGGCTGGTCTTGAACTCCTGGGCTCAAGTGATCCTCCTGCCTTGGCCTCCCAAAGTGCTGGGATTACAAGCATGAGCCACTGCACCCAGCTAAACATTGCTTCTTCATGGAAACATTCCTAGCCCCAGTCTAGTTATGTCTCCCTGTCAGCACCCTGAACTCCTCCTTTGCAGTAGTTTGTGCTCTCATAAATGCTAAATTAATTTTTAATTCGTCTGTCTTCCCACCAGACTGTACACTTCATAAAAGAAGGCACCATGTCTATTTTGTCAACTACCATTCCCAGTGCTTTGCACACTGTCTGGTATACAACAAGAGTTCCAGAAATGTTGGAGCTTTCAAGTCTGTTAGGGCCAATAGGATGATATTAGGCAAATTATAGGTGCTGTAAAGCATGGCCCAAATAAAACACTACAGTTGATTGAAGGAGGAAGGAGAGTGATCTGGCTGTGGATGAGGAAGGGTTTTGAGAAGGAAAAGTGAAGGGAGCTGGGCCAGCCTTTTCCTGTGGTAAGAATAAACAACATTAAGGCTGGTGCAAGAAACTCTGTAGTGAATATGGAGGCGAGAGCAGTCCACTTTGCCCAGATTATACATTTACAGAATGAAAAGACTAGCTAGAAGGATGGCTTAAAATGCCTTGAGGCCAGAGCTTGGAGGGTATTAAATATCCAATTATTTGGTGGCCAGGGAAAGCCACTGAGGATTTTTGAACAGGTAAAAGACTTGATCAGCTATGCTGCTGCTGCTTCTTCTCTTCTCCTCCCCCTTCACCTCCCCCACACCATCTTTTTTGGTGGGAGGATTCATGGTAGCAATGGAGCATAACCTAGACTGGAAGGGAACAGAGGCTGGAGTTGGACGTCCATCACCTGGACTATTGTTCAAGTACTTGGGTGTTAGTCTTGAAAACAAAGGAGCTGAGTCAGGTGTGAGAGATGTGGTGGAAACAAACTTCGTAGGACCTGGCATCTAATTACTTAGGAGGATGAGGGAAAGGGAACACTCAAAGATGAACTGGTGCTTTCAATCCTGGTTTACCCAGAGGATGGTGGTATCTTTACTGTCATCAAAGAGCTGGTTTGGTGGGGAGTCCAGACTGAGTCGGAGAGGGGAGGGGGGAGGAATTAGGATGAATTTGCCTTTTATAGCTAGATGAATGTAATTCCTGGTATTCTTTGATGAAGAAAGTCTGGGGGCTTCTTCCCTGCTATGCTCAGTCCTCCAGGAGCCTCTGCCAGTCAAGTGGACGGGAGATCCGTCTTCACTAAGAGATCTTTTTCTCCCTAATAAATAACAATGCTAAATTACAAGTGTGTGGGGGCGGATCAGGACGTGGCTCCTCAATCCTGCTATTGTGTTCGCGCTCTGGGTAATTAGTGTCTGATAGTTTTAAACAGATGGGTCTCTCTGGCAGCAGGGATTACAGCTTGAAATCAATCCTGAACAAATATTATATTAATTTCTCAACTCCCTCTCTCTGTGGACAAAATCAGTTCTTTTCCTCCGAACACTGTAATGATGAGAACATTAATATTGGATCATTTAGAGATGAAACGGAAGTTGTAGAGGAGAAAGAATGAACGGGACTTCACAGGAGCTGAGGAGGAGGCAGATGCTAAAAGTTTCATGTGGCTCAATGCAGACAGGAAGCAGGAAAAGGAAATTCAGAGAGCACACAGGGCAGGTGGCGGGGGCTGGCGATGGGTAGTTGTTCAGGGTTCCAGCGCTCCTGAAATGTTCAGCCTTAGCTTGAGGTTGGCACCTGCTTTGACAACACCAAGGGCTGTGTCAGGCAGGCAGGGCAGTCTCTGACGCTTATTTCATCTCAGAGAGGAGACCAATTCCACATAAATAGGTCTGCAGGGGGCCTGGCTAGACTTCTGACTTTCCAATCAAACCAGGCAATCTACAATTCAAAACAAACCAGGCTGCCTGGAGTAAGCCTGCAGCCTTCCCACCACCACCCGGGAAGCACTGCCCCTTCTCCTGGACTGTTAAAAGGGACTCCCCCACCTACAACCATACCCCTATTTAAGGGCTGCAGAAAAAGCTCAAGCTCAGTTCCCAGCCTTGGGAAAGAGATGGGCCTGGAAATGTTTAAATGTGCAGGCAGCTCTTGATTATGAATGCTAATGTAATTCTGAACCAGCTCTCTTTAGCCTTGTAGGATTTTTATTTTACTTCTATCAGGCCTTACCTACCTAATCATGCATGGGTCAGGTTGACATTAAAACATGAAAATGAGCAGCAACTGTGGCATGGAGAAAAGAGCACGGGATGTGGAGTTAGTCCTGTTCTGCTAATGAGTCTCCATGTCTGAACATCTCAGTTTCCCTGGCCCTCAAATGGGGACTGTGTCACCCCTCCCTGACAGCACTGTCGAGAAGATCAATGACAATGATGGATGCAAAAGTACCTAATGATTGGTAAAAAAAAAAAAAACCCAAGCCCGGGTGGGATTATGAAAACGGTGTTGCCTTCTGTGCACGGGATTCCTGGGGATGGAAGGCTGAGAGAGAAAACCCACCTGCAGGTGAACATGGAATATGGATGCAGGTGATACTATTGCGAAGCCCTGTAGAGAGGCTGGGCTGATGGAGTTTTGTGTATAGGGGAGGGAAGGCCACTGAAGGAGGCAAGAAGTATAATAGGATGGAGGGTGTTAAGAACTGTGAAGGGTCTGGTATTTTACCCTACTCACACACTAATAGATTAGCATGCCATAGTTACATGGATGCTGACAGAATACATGAAACTCCTGGGTCAGAGACAAAGGACTTCATTACTTACAGCAATAGCAGCAGCCAGAGTCTCAACTTTGGTGCAGTTCCCCAAGCTCCACTTCCTACGGGGTGACTGGAAGATGGCCAGGTGATGCCCGTGCATCTAGTGGGGAATTCCGAGCTTAGGGAACCTGAATCTTTTATAATGGGAAGAAAGCCAGCCTGACCCTTGCCTTTTGCCTCAGAAGGAGACATTATCTTCATTACATTGGACACTTAACTAGTTTTCCTTTTGCTCTGGAGAGAGATTATCTCTGTATTCCAAAGCTGTTTGGATTTTTTTTCAAATCTTTTAAGTTCTGCTTCCTTTTTAATTAAAAATTCCATCTTTAATTTGTTTCTCTCTGCTTGCATTTTGCATTTTACTATATAAGCATTCAAGAGAAGCCAAGCCATGGCTTCAGTACTTTGTAGACATTTATTCAGCCAAATATGCTATGTCATTGCTCGTAAGTTCTACCTTCCACAAAACACTAGGACATGAACACAATTCAGCCAAGTTCTTTGCCACTTTATAACCAGAACTGCCTTTCCTTCAGTATCCAATAATACAGTCCTCATTTCTGTCTAAGGCCTCATCAGAACGGCCTTTGCAGTCCATATTTCCACCAACATTCTGTTCGTGGCCACTTAGATAATCTCTAAGAGGACTGAAACTTTCTCTACCAGTCTCCTTTTTTGAGCTCTCACCAGCATCCTCCTTTACAATCTATTCATGATACTGTAGGATTTTGCCAGCACGCACCTCAAAACTCTTCCATATCTACCCATTATCCAGTTCCAAAGTCACCTTCCCACTGAGGTACTGGTTATATAGAGCAGCACCCCCACTTCTAGCTACCAATTTTTACCTTAGTCCATTTGGGTCACTATACAAAAGTGTCACAGACTAGGTGACTTATAAACAACATAAATTTATTTCTCACAGGTCAGGAGACTGGGAAGTCCAAGATCAATATGCTGGCAGATTCCATGTCTGGTGAAGACCTATTTCCTGGTTCATAGATGGCACCTTCTCACGGTGACCTCACGTGGTAGGAAAGGGGAAGGCAGCTCCTTGGGGCCTCTTTTCTAAGGGCTCTAATCCCATTTAGGAGGGCTTTGCCCTCATGGCCTAATCACCTCCCCAAAGGTCACACCTCCTCAAAGGTCACACCTCCTAGTGCCATTGTCTTGGGGATTAGGATTTTAACATGAATTTGGAGGAGACAAAAAATTTGATGAAATCATCCACTGAGCTAAGATTTCTTGTCTAAAGTCTGCCTTTACCTAGAAGCTCCAAGAAAGCAGGGACCACGTCTGTCTTGCCATCCATTTATTCCTGGCACAAAGTAGGTACTCAATTGGTACTTGTTGAAGGATTAGTTAATTATTTCACTTAAATCCAGGCCAGGCCGCACGTGGTGGCTCATGCCTATAGTCCCACCATTTTGGGAGGCCGAAGCGGGTGGATTACTGGAGGTCAGGAGTTCAAGACCAACCTGGCCAACATGGTGAAACCCCGTCTCTACTGAAAATACAAAATTAGCTGGGAGTGGTGGCGTGTGCCTGTAATCCTAGTTACTCAGGAGGCTGAGGCAGGAGAATCACTTGAACCCAGGAGGTGGAGGGTGCAGTGAGCCGAGATCGCACCATTGCACTCCAGCCTGGGTAAAAAGAGTGAAACTCCATCTCAAAAAAAAAAAAGAAAGAAAAAAAAAAATCCAGGCCAGTTAGGCCAGGGGCCATGAGGGATGCCCCATCTGGAGCTGGAGAGGCCAGACAGGAACTCTGAATCTTCTGCTCAGACGTTTGGCCTCCTGAGAATGTTCCTATGAAACCCAAAAGACCCTAACCCACCCTTTCTACTATAACCCAAGGGATTCTCTTAGGGAAAGATTAAGGTCCCTGATATGGTTTGGGTCTGTGTCCCCGCCCAAATCTCATGTCAAAGATAACCCCCATTATTGGAGGTGGGCCCTTGTGGGAGGTGATTGCATCATGGGGGCAAAATTTCCCCTTTGGTGCTGTTCTTATGATAGTGAGTGCGTGATCGTGAGATCTGGTTGTTTAAAAGTTTGTAGCATCTTCCCCTCTCTCTCTTCTTCCAGCTTTGGTTAGACATGCCTGCTTCCTCTTCACCTTCCCCAGTGATTATATGTTTCCTGAGGCCTCCCCAGCCATGCCTGCTATACAGCCTGTGAAACCATGAGCCAATTCAACCTCTTTTCTTTATAAATTACCCAGTCTCAGGTATTTCTTTATAGCGGTGTGAGAACAAACTAATACGGTCCCTAAGCACCATCTTATCTATTTTGGGGACATACTTTCCATACTAGGCCCAGGTCAGCAGAGCTTCCAGGGGCTGAGGGCCATGATCCTGCCATAAGAAGTATCATCTTGATGCTAGGAAAGGAGGAGTGAAGGGAGGGATGGAAAGTAACTTTGGGTAAACACTTAGTATGGTCCAGTACTTTACACACTTCATTTTATTTAACCATTGCCTAATACCCTTGTGTGAAGTTAATAGTTTCCCTGTCTTATAAATGAATAGAATGGAAGCTCACAGAGAGGCTGATGGTCTTCAAGGCCATAGAGCTTCTTAATGGCAAAGCTGAGATTCCAGACCAGCCCCATTCAACATGGTGCTACGATGACGTCTCCCTTCCTCTCTGTTTTGGGAACGCATTCATGGAGGGGTTACTGGAAGTCAAAAGGTTCACTGTCCTGGGTCTCCATCATTCAGTAGATAAGCCAGAAGTCCCACAGAGCTGGAAGTCCCCAGATAGGCACTACTGCATAAAGTACAGAGCCCAGGACTCAGACACATGCTCAGTGACCCTAGTTAGGTCACACCCTCACTTTCCTTTGTGTCTTCACATGTAAAATGGGAGGTATGGTTGGCCTATATGCTTCCAACATCCCTCCCAGATCTGACCCCAGGCTCCAGTGGGCTGCTTTCATATCCTGCAAATGCTGAGGCAGACCACGCCAGGGTCAGGTTCACTATGCCTAGCAGGAAGGAAAGGATGTCATTCTTAACTTGACCTTCATTGCTGATCATCCCTCCAGGCCCTGACACTTCAGGTCCAAATTAAAGAGTAGGAATAAGAGACTTGAGAAGAATGAGAACCCTTAGCCCCCAGCCTCCATATTTTCTTTAATAGGTTTAGCCAACTAGAACAGTGGTTCCGCCTTGGTTGCACAGTGGAATCACTTGAAAAATGAGAGAAGCAATTTGAAAAATGCTGATGCCTGAGCCTCACCGCTGAGATTCTGTTTTAATTGGTCTGGGGTGTGGCCCAGACATTGGAATTTTAAAAAGGTTCCTGGGTAACACTAATGTGTAGGTTGAGAACAATTGAGTTAGTATAGATTGCATTACCCTTTGTACCCCATGGCAATATTTTGAGAAAGTGATGGCCTAGCCTTCTGATCGGAACGGCTGGACATTTATTATTTATCCCAAAGAGGGGCTACAGGATTGCCATGTGTCCTGTCCCTGGACACTCCAGATAGCCCTGCTTGCTGTGTGTTGGGTGAAAATGCTCCTATAATTTTCATTTTAGCCTCTCCATCTTCCCAAATACCAAGTTTTCTGGCTGCAGGGCACTGGCCAAGAAAGAGAAGTATGAAGGCAATGTCCAGGCAGCCGCAATGTCCAGGCAGCCACAATGTCCTGTTGGTTAACGTGCCACCCCACCAACTGAGTCGAGGGAAACCAGGGCCTTGGATTGCAGAAGCAGCAAGGAGGGCTTGACCTGCTCACCCTAAGGAAATGCCACTAACATGGGCCTGGGTAACCCTGGAGTTGCTGTTGGGCTGGGCAGGGCTGGGATTTATTCCTTCAGTCGTTCAAGTGCTGAGTCCTGCACTTGGCCATCAGGGCAGGGTTGCAGGATGGTGGTGGGGGAGAGGGAAGGAGAGCAGGGCCCCTTCGGGGCTGTCTTAGCTCTAGGCTCTCCCCGTTAGTGCTGGCTCATCAGCCACTCAGGTCCATGCATCAGGGACACCAAATATCTAAAATCTCAGGCCACAGCTGCCCAAAGTGTGTTGGTGGGAGAGGACAAACTAAATCCCTGTTTTCATTTCTTCCCCCAAATGGAGCTCACGTAAAGCCTTTAAACCATTGGCTTTTATCTGTTTTTAGTGTCCAATTTAGGGCTTTGCAGGGGCTCCCTCCAGGGCTTTCTCAATGGATTTATATCACAGCCAGATAGCATCTTCGAAAGCTCATCTGAGCTGGAAAATAGAGAAACATCCTTCTCTATTGTCAAGTGACAAGTGATGGCACCCAGGCAACTGGCTTGAGTGCACAGGGAACCCACTCTGGATGCCATGGCTGGGGTGGTCCCTGTCTTGAGAGGGGGCTAGCCAGAGAGGGGAAGAAGGGAGAGGCCACAGCAGGGTTCTGAATTGTCTTCCTACTTCTGAGAGCAGAGACTCCGACTCTGAAAGCTTTTCAACAAAGCACTAACTGTCCTCTCGGCCCGTCACCTGTGGGCATGAAGATGTCATCTCCCTGGCCAACCACCAGGTGCCATTTGCAGACACGTGTGCATGGGGGATGGAGTGGAGGGGGCAGAAGAAGCCTGCTCTGGCTTGCCTGGTAGCAAACAACAGCCCTCTTCTTTTAGCTGGGCTGACTTCTTCCAGCTTCCACCAGGAGCTGCATTAACCCCCTACTCTCTGCCTAGTTTTCCTCTCCTAAGTGGGGCATTTATCTGTTTTTTCTCCCCATGCACAGTTTTTTTCTTTTTTGAGACAAAGTCTTGCTCTGTCACCCAGGCTGCAGGGCAGTGGCATGATCTCGGCTCATATGCACATTTTTGAGCATCTACTATAAGCCAGGCAGTGTTAGGTATGGGGACCCCCATCCTCAGGTTGCTCGTGGTGAGTGTGAGAGACAGAGAAGCAAATAGGTGAAGTGGAGGCAGCAGTCCCTTGTAAAGAGGGAAGGAAGCATTAGGCGTTGGGTTGATCCAAGTTGGAGCAGGGAACCTGGCCTGGTGGCTCAGGAGTCTTCCCAGAGCAGAGGCCCAAGGACTGTAAACATCCCAGGTAGGAGTGTAGAGACAGAAGCCTTCTTTACCCTAAGAGATCGAGGTCCTAATGAGTATTCATAGGATTTCCAGGACATTCCTAGTTTATACTTGTTGTCCTGGCAACATTTTCATTCTAAAAATGTCACAGTTTGGATGTCAAATAGGCATAGATCAGAACTGTTTCTGAAAACCTATGAATACTATATTCATAGGGCACGTGTCACCCAGGGCTGGAATTCTGTTTTGTGATGCAGAGTCAGCATGCCTGGTGCATCTTTGCGAGTATACATGGTGAAGAAGTGTTGTGCAGAGTGTGCGTGTTGCTCCATCGTGTCACTAGACATATTGAAAGTGACTTGGTGATTGGACATAGTGGTCATAGACACAATAGAGAGCATTTCTGGACTGAAGTCCAGAAAGGGAAAGGAGAGGAGTAAAGAGGAAAAGAGAACAGTGGTGGGTGCCTATAAAGAGCCACACACCTTGCTGCATGCTCTATATGTGGGCTATTGTTTGTTCTCACAATGAATCTGAGTAGTAGATATAGCATGCCCATTTTCCAGGTAAGGAAACTGAGGGTTAGAGAGATTCTGTAACTTGTGCAAGGTTATAGGCTCTAAGTAGCAGATTAGTTCTGACTGGAGGCCAGCGTTTCCTCGGGCCTCTGTGACATCACAACGCAATGGGAGTATGACTTGGGCAGCTCCAGCTGGCTCCTCTGCTAGTCTTGCCGCAGTCACCAGTTTTGGAGGAATGGGAGAGGAGCTTTCCACTCCTCTGAGAGTCATGTCGAGAGTCTGTCTTAGCCCTCGACCCCTCAGTCTTTGTAGATCTCATCCCAGAACCCCGAGGGAGAGGTAGGAAGAGGGGCCTCCACTGGGGAGAAGGCCAGAGACATGCTGGGCTCTCTTTGGGGTCTGGCCCTGTCCCCGCCAGCCGTGGGCTCTTGGGCACATGGTGGGTGTGCATGAATGAGCCAAAAGATCCTGCCAGCATTGGTGTGGCTATGACTCCCACGTTTCTGTCCCCACTTTTGCCATGGGCCCATTCTGATTCTGGGGGTTAAGTGTGGGAAAACAGCATCTTCACAAACCCTGCTGCCTTCTCCTTGCAATATTGGAAAAGCAGATTCCTTGGCCATAGCTAGGGCTGAGGGTCCAGAGAGGTTAAATGGAAGCCATGGAGGCTGCCTTTGCCACCATGGGGACATCAGCTGTGAGGGTGCTGTATGACGCTCTGCTCCCTGGCCATTGCTTTGCCCTGGGCTCCAGGTCCCTAGAAGGGACAAAGGTTGGGGATTGGTTAGAAATCCCAAGGGAGCTCTTTCCTGGGTTTGAGTTGGGGAGGAGGCTGGGACTGCTTGTTCCAGGCTCTTGAGCAAATAGCCCTGCGAAGACTTGCCTCTGCAAAGTTCCATTGGCATGAACCCCCTTGGCTGGCATCCCTTCCCAACGTCAGAGCCCTGCCCTGGCCCTGGCTCCCAAGCTCAGAACACCTGCCTTGTCCCTGCCCCCACAGGGGGGCAGTGGTTCCTGCTGATTAGCCAGGGCTGAGCTATGGATTAGAATAGGACAAAACCATGAAGGAAGGAGATCATTTGCATATCCAGACTTGTTCAGGTGGTGGTGTCAGGGGTGTGCCAGAACACTGAGCTCTCACGTCGCCTTTCCCAGGTGTGAGAGCTGGCCTCACCTGCAAAGCACCAGGTGGGGCTCCACCTGGGTGTTCCTGGTTGGAACTGTGGCCCTGGCTTGAGGATACCTATAGACTATAAGGGTGCTAGCCCCAATCATCTGAGGGCATGAGGAGAGACAGAAGGACCCTGTTCTCCGACCTTATGCCCAATAGGGCCAAGGACACTGAGCACATTACCAGCCCCCGCTGGCTGTCTTTACATCTTACACCCCTGGCTGTGACACCAACCTCCAACCAGGGGCCTGGTGCCTGCAATCCTGGGGACTCACTGCAGAACTGGAGCATCTGTTTTTCCAAACTAGGGCCATCAAACTCCACCCTCAGAGCAATTTCACACATTTCTTTGTGTTTGTGATACAGTGCGACTTTGCTCTCCCCCACCCTGCCCCATAAATGCCCCCAGGTCAGAGGGTGCCTCTCACAAAGCATCCAGGGTCATTCTGGGCCTGGAAGGAACTCCTGTGTGGTGCCATTTGAATAAGAAGCCAGGCAAAGTGTGTCCATATGAAACAAATCATTGGGTATATCTGGTACCTGAGGGAGTATTTCACATCTGCGTTCTCATTCAAGTTTTCTACTGTGTCCTGTGAGGTGAGCAGGACAAGGATTATCACCCTGTACTTTCTAGATAAGGAAACCCAGGACCTGGGAGGCCAAGGCCAGGGCAAGAGTCAGGCAGAGAGAAGACCAGAGCGCAGGCTGTGTGGGCTCCTTCCACTATGCAGCAATCAAGGCTCCCTCCCCTGTGTGGGCTCTTTGGGTCTAACCTGGGAACCAGGAGACTTGTGAGTGCTGAGCAGCTGTGCCCCAGCCCGAGCCACAGGGAGGCCTTACGTTGAGAAGCCCACACTGTGTTGGCCTCCAAGGAGCCTGGAACCGACGGTGCCCCATAGAGAGGGCCCTGTGGGGAGGAGGCTAGCCACGCAGACAGCCTGCTGCTAGGTGTGCCGTGGAACCACGGAGCTAATTGCAGATCTGGTCACCACCATGCTGAGCGCCAGGGAGGAGGGAATGGGGAGACACTAAGCCCACGAGACAGGAACACAGTGCCTGGTGAAACAGAGCCAGCCAGTGCTGATGCAAGTATTGACTGAGTTCATAACCTGATCTGCCGTGGGAGGGGGAATATTTGACAGAACGCATCAGCCGAGGGTGGTGAGCCAGGCACTGGGAGAGTGAGCAAGACAGGCCAAGCGGGGATGCCCTCGGCCACGACCACCTTCTCTCAGGGTCTTTCCACCCTGATGATCCCGAGGAACCCAACGTGCCCCCTACGGCAATTCCGTCTGTTTCCAACTCCTCATTGGCTTCATGTGGGCTTCCCGGGTTCATTGCTCATCTGCGTGGAATCTGCTGAAGCCACAGCACTGAGCTGAAGCTCACTGGTTCTTGAATGTCACTAGCTGCTCCTGTCCCTGGGCCATTCAATGTCAGTGTCCGCCCTGTGGCTCTTCCTTGCTTTCTAGCTGCCAGTCAGCCACTTCCCGTCTTCCTCTCTTCAGTCCTCTCTCCCTTCCCCAGTGCACCTTAAACCCTTCTGGCTGCACTGATGGGCTCTCCTTTCTAGCATTTCTGTCTGATCTCTGACCCTAACCCTGTCCTGGCCTGGGAGTGCCCTGAGATCCTGACTGCCCTTCTTGGCTCCCAGGCAGGGCTCAGTCCCGGGAGATGGGCCTTAGGAGGTGCAGACTCCTGCTGGGCCAACTTAGCATTTTCCACAGCAGGTAGGCAGGCAGTCACATGGTCACATGGCCCATCCCAAATCTCTACATCACAACCCAGATTTTCTCCATTAAGGGTATCGATTTCCTCAGCTGAACTGCTGGGATCAAAGGCAGCCTTAGCAACTCGGCAGTTCATTAAGTCCCAGCTGTCCCAGGGGACTGGCCTGGTGGATAAACATGTGAGCAGGTGGCCATGCTGGGACCTTGAGGGCAGCCTGCTGCCAGGAGTGCTCAGGCTGGACCTGGGCAGGGCAGCAGGAAGGGCAGACCTCAGGCTGCCCTTTTGTCCCCTCCCTCCAAGAACTGGGCTTTGGGGCCCTCCCCAGGGCCCGCAGGAACCATATGGGGATACTGCACCTGCTCCCACCCTGCTCCTGCCATTTTCCTACCTGCCCTCCCACCAGATACCTGCCAGGCCTTGTGCTGGGCACTGAAGATGCAGAGCTTCCTAAGCCTCTAACCCCACCCTCAAGGAGCTCCCACTCCAGTGAGGAAGGCAGACCCCATACCATAGCGTTACCAGGCTGCGTACTAACATCTGATCGTCAGAACCATTCCCAACTCAGAGATTAAGTGTGATAGGCAGCCTGTTTCAACCAGAGCATTTCCTCTAGATTTTTGTTCTTGCTTTTCAAAGTGACTCATTGGAAAAATTTTGGGTGATACAGACCCTGAAGCACAAAGTAGAACATGAAATTTACACTAATCAAGGCTGTTGGTTTTTCCAACTTCCCTTCCCTCTGCCTGATCTGGAGACTGAGGTAAAGCAGAGCACACCTGGATGGGGTTGGCCCTGCGTCTCAGGCCAACAGTGTCTGTCCTCCACAGGTGAGGGTAACCTGAGACGGTGCCAGGAGGGAGGATGCAGCTTTCCTCTTGCCCCCAGCCCCGGAACCTGAACTTTCTCCTCCTGAGCTCCGATCTGCCTTCACTTCCCATTTGTTCTCTCTCATTGCCCCCCAACTCACATGAATGTGAGCACTTAGATGCAAGGACTTTTTAGGGAAATTAAAGGTGTACAGTACCCCCACTCCTTCCTTCTTTCACTCCCTTATCCTGAGGACTAAGAGGAAGAGCTGAAGGGGCAACGTTCCAGGGGACTATTAGAGGCCAGGAGACAAGCGGGCCTGGCAACAAGCCACGGTTGCAGGTGCTGACCGGCCCCCTCATCCCTCCCCACTGGGTGCCCAGGGTGTGTGAGGTGGAGGTGGCCCTAGAGGTGGAAGAGCTGCCCCCTGAACATGCAGGGCCTGTGGTTTCACTGAAGACAGCAGGTTAACATGGAGGAAACAGGATGAGACAGGGCAGGCTGGCTTGTGGTCTTTTCTGAGTGACCCCTAAACCAGGGACTCAGACAGGTCTGGGGCTGGGGAAGCTGCTGGGTGGGAGCATTTTCCCCAGTTCCTATAATGCAAAGTAACAGTCACTTCTCTTGCTCCAAAGCTTCATTGCTGGCTGCAGTCAGAGTCTGGGCTCTTGCCCACACTTCGTTCTTCTCCTCCAATCACAGGGAGGGGTTGGTGGAGTCACTCGCTTGCCCAGTCATTCCATCAGCAGATGTTTGCTGAGTGCTGATTGGGTGCCAGGCACTGTGCCTGACCCTGGGGACACAATGCTGAGCAAAACAGACATGGCCTCTTTCCCCTAGCAGACCTACATCTGAAGGCAAGCATCCCAGTTTTCAGCTTGAAACCACCCTGCAGCTCCAGGGATGGGACAGGCAGGTGGAGAGAGGAGTTTGGGTTGAGACTGTATAAAGACTCAGACTGAACCCTTACTCTTAAATTAGGCAGAGATCTACTACTGCCCCCAAAACACCCTTCCCCAAAGAAGGGCCGCTGGGAAGGGGTGTGGGGATAGGGAACCAACATTTGTTTAGTTCTGAAAGTGCTAGGAATAGGGTAGGCTGAGTGCCTCACATTTCTTGTCTTAATCCTCACCAAAACCCTGGGAGGTGAATATCATAATCCCAATTTGCAGACCAGGAAGCTGAGGCTCAATGGAACAAATTATCTCATCATTATCGTGGGTAATGCATAACCCGGTCTGGCTGCAGGGCCTATGCCTTTTCCACAACATCATTTATCTCTGGGAAACATACAAGACCTTCGTTCTGCCCTCTGAGCACTGCAGACATGTGAAGACCTTGACCCCCTGGGAAATTGTTCCCACTTTCTGCTTTGAAGAAAATGATAGAGGAAGTGCCAGAGTGCACTCTCTTCCCTTTCTAAACGTCGGCCTCTCTTTTCCCTCCTGCATCTTCCTAGTCCTGGAAATCCCTGTTGTCCCCGCCTTTGTCCCAGAAAATCCCAAAAACGCTTCACGTGAGTCTATTTAAATCCCCACTCTCAGCACTCAGGACCGGTTCTGGTTTCCTGGTGTGGCCTGGGCCTCCATCTGGTTTGGAGGCTATTTTGATCCACCGGATGCAGATTAGCTGCTGCGATCTGGGGCTGAGCTGCTGGAGAGATGCCTTTATCTACAGAAGGACAATTTGAAAACTAACTCAAAGCATCGAGAACAAATAAATAAATTCCTCTTTCCGTTCCCAGCACTCTCCATCCTATTTCTACAGGTAATTGCTGAAGGATTTTTGCTTCAAACAGGCTCTTGTTTGCATCAAGTGTGGGGTGCAGCAAAGTGGACTCGGGACTGGCCGATGTCTGGCCAGAAATGCCAGGCAAGGGAAACAGTGACTCTAGTGGGGTCAGGAGAGGGGCATCTGCTGGCCCAGGAGCGCAAGGCAGAGGGGTGAGTCTTTCTCAGGTCGGTATCAGGTCCATTCATTTGCTTTGATGTAAGCCTTCTTGGGCAGGAACCATCTTCCCCTTCTCTAATCATCGAGGAAAGGGGCCTTCAGACCTGCGCTGGCCTGGGCCCAGATGAGGCATGCTAATTTCATTGTCAGTGTCTTGATGTTTCAGGAGCTCATGGCACTTGAAAATATGGGCTTTGCATCATGCAGATGGGTAGCGATGAGGGCTACCCTTGCTTGCTTGGGAGGCAGAGGGGGCTCAGAGGTGGGAGGTAAAAAAGCTTGCAGCTTCTGAGAAGCTGTGGGTATAAGGGAAGAGGATGAGAAGGAGAGAAGCCTGAACATCTGTAAACTTCTCATTTATTCTTCACAAAGACTTCATTGTCCCCCTTATAGGTGAGGCGACTCTGAGGCAGGAGGTCCAAGTTTGCTGGACAATGGCAGAAACAGAATTCAAACACCTGTCTTCTAGGAGAAGTTCTGGTCTCTCCTCGGTGCTGCGGCTGCCCCGGGAAGAGTTTCCAGGAGCTGACAAGCATTCAGATGAGTAAAGATGGGATCGGATTGAGAAAAGGAGAAGGGAGAGCATATTCGTTCTCTTTCCACCTCCCTCCCACAGCCTTTCATGCTGATCTCATCTGACGAAGCTGCCTCCTCCTCCCTGGACTCTACAAGCCCCTGTCATGGTCAGTGGCAATGTTGTCCACAGTGGGTGGCCAGCCTTGATCTAGCAGTAAAGGATGGATTCTGTTATTTCAGTGATGTGGGGCTCAGGGTAATGAAAGTGATCATCAAAAAGCAAAAGTAAAGCTGTCCTCACAGGGTTAACAAGAATTCTGGGCAGAAATACGGCTATAATTAGGCATTAATCAGGCTGCACTTTAACCCACTTCCTTGTAACTGACAGACACTGTAGGACTAGATACTGGCCGTTTGCATCCCTAATGTTCCTATAGATGGGATTTCTGATGTTAGAGCTATAAGGCTTTTAAGACAGACAAGATCTTTGACATTAGAATCATAAGGCTCCTGTTTAAAAATTGCTTAAGATGTTTCTCAGATCCTGAATTCCAGCGAAACAGATGATACTAACAAGTTTGAAGACCCCCACAGAGGAATGGAATCAGTATGAGAACACAGTTTCTTCATCTCCCTGTCCCAGAACTTCACCCTGGACTCCTCGACCAATCAACAATCTCCACACTTCGGCCCACTCCAAAACTCCTAAAATCCCAAGCTCCAAACTCCTCTGGGAGATGGATTTGAGGCTTCCTCCCGTTTCCTTGTGTGGAAGCCCTGTCATTAAACCTCTTTCTCTGCTGCAACCTGATGTACTTGGTGTATTGACTTGCCATGCACATTGGGCAAGGGATCTATTACGCTTACAAGAGCACCTAGAAAGGGCTGCTCTGGGCTGGGTGTGGGGCAGAGTGAATGGGAATGGGAACACTGTGGACCTTGGAGCATGCTGGAGAACCCTGAGCCTTCAGTCTAGGCTCACCTTGTGCTGATGGGGCATGTGGCCTTCTCCCACAGACCTAGAGAGTGGATAGAGGTGACAGCATTAGGGACCTTGCATTTGTATGCTTGTCTGAGAGGCCACTACGATGACCCCTCTTTATAGATGAGAACAGAAGGCTCAAAGAAGTCAAGCCCAAGGTTGAATACATAGCAAGGTATGGATCCAGCATTTGTATCCAGGAGTGTCCCATTTCAAACCTAAAATTTCTACTAAAGAGGGAAACAAACAAAAACATCAACAACTACAAGTTGGAGGGCTAACTTCATAGTGTATTTTGCTGGGCACTTTGAAGATAGCATCTCACATAGTTCTCTTAGGGTCCCTATTTTGCACATAAGGAAACTGAAGCTGTGATAGGTTCATACTTTTCTGTGAGTAACACAAATCTTAAGCCAGGGCCAGCCCCAAAGCCTATGCTCTTAACCTGAAGACAACCTGCCACTCAAAATGTATACCTAAACAGACAAGACCAAGTGCTAACATTTTATGCTGGGCAAATATGGGTACTATTTGGATTGAAGGACAAGAGAAGGGAGCTTAGGGAGGGAGCATGTGTTGAATCCCTTCCTTCCTGCCTGTCTGCCTTGGTCTCAGCCCCTGTTGGAGTGAGCATTGAGCAAAGTGTAACATATACCTCTGGGGGTTTTGTTTTTTTGACATAGGGTCTGGTTCTGTTGCCCAGACTGGAGTGCAGTGGCATGATCATGGCTCACTGTAGCCTTGATCTCCTGTGCCCAAAGGATCCTTCCATCTCAGCTGGAACTATAGACACGTGCTGCCATGTCCCACTAATTTTTTTTGTTTTAATTTTTTGTAGAGATGGGGTCTCGCTATATTGTCCAGGCTGCTCTCAAATTCCTGGGCTCAAGTAATCCTCCTGCCTTGGCCTCCCAAAGTACTGGGATTCTAGGCATGAGCCACCATGCCCTGCCCAGTATATACCTTTGTTTATGTGTCTACCACGTGGCTGGAGTGGAGCTCTATGAGGACAGGTCTGGGACATGTTTCTTTAGTATCCAGCTGAGGTGTAACAAGAGTTCATAGCAACCAGTGCTTGCAGATGAGGAAGTAAGGCCCAAATAGGCTAAGAGGTCCTGAAACCCAGAACTCTTAAATTGTCAGTGGTGGCAGATCAGATATCTCCTGTGAGTTTGTAGAGGATGCTGTTTTCGAGTACAGTTGACCCTTGAACAACACAGATTTGAACTGTGCGAGTCCACTTGTATGTGAATTTTCTTTAGCCTCTGCCACCCATGAGGCAGCAGCCAACCCCTCCTCTTGCCCACCAGCCTACTCAACATGAAGAAGACAAGGATAAAGACCTTTATGAGGATCCACTTCCACATAATGAATAGTAAACATATTTTTTCCTCCTTATGATTTTCAAATAACATTCTCTTTTCTCTAGCTTGCTTTATTATAAGAATACAGTATATAATACATATAACATACAAAATATGTGTTAGTTGACTGTTTATGTTTTCAGTAAGGATGCAGGTCAACAGTAGGCTATTAGTAGTTAAGTTCTGGGGAAGGCAAAATTATACGCAGATTTTTGATCATGGCGGGGAGTCAGCACAGCCCCTTAACCCCTGCATTGTTCAAGGGTCAGCCATACAAACACCTTCCTAAAGTCCCTCCAATCACCCCACAAAATCACCTGATTTTTCTTCTTCCCTTAGGTCAGTTCTGCTACTGCCCCCTGCAATGTTAAGAGCTAAGAATGTAGAAATCAAACTCGTAGCACAGGGAAGTCCAGGTTGTGCCTAAGTTTCATGACGCTCATTTTGTAGGTACCAAAACTGAGGTTCTGCAGAGGGCAATGCTACAAACGTAGACCTTTAGTCCTACTAAAAGGCCAACATCCCCCAGCAATAAGGTGGAAACAACAGCTCCACTCTCAAGGCTTAGACCTTCCCAGGGACCTCTCCTGCCGAGTGAGTGGTGTGGGCCTACGCGCTACCAGATATGATTCGCCGTCAGGCTCGCGCTCGAGGAATGCAGGAGCTGACTGGGTGAGATGCTCGGAGCCAGCGTGCTCTGCACGTCCCTGGTGGCGGAGGAGATGGATTTAGATGGTCCAATTTTTGTGGCTACTTTCCATTTGTGACAGGGGATAGGCTTTCTATATATGGTAATGATGTAAAATTCCGTTTTAAAAAGCATTTAAGTAAAGAAAATGAGTCAATTTAGAGGCAAGAATGAAATAATGTGATTTAACTTTAGAGAAACAGAGATTGAAGGGGATCTGAAAAGGTACTCCTGCCCCAGAATTATCTCCCCCAGCAGTTCATGGAACTGGGACAAGGTGCTGCCCATTCTGGGAAGCTGCTGTTCAAGCTGCAGGCTTCCAGAGCCAAAGGCTGCCCAGTCTGATCCTCACTGCAGGAATGAAGAGATGGAAGCCCGACCACAGGTCACCGAGGGGGGAGTCACCAATGACAGCTTCTGAAAGAGCCTGGCTTTGATTCAGTTTCCCACTCAGAGCCAGGAGCTCAGGGCTTGGCTGATCCCCGCTATCCATGTCCCCTCAGTAAAGTAGAGAAGCTCTGGGCAAGGTTTTATGCACAGTGTGCTTTAAAACAACCTAGGGAGCCTTGAAACAATACATTTGACTGGGCCCCATCCCCAGAGATTCTGATTAGGTGGTCTGATTTGGGGGCAAGATTCAGAGATGCTGTTCTTTAAAAATCTCCCCACCAGCCCACCCTAGGCTGGAGACCAAGGTCCTGACATGAGATGCCTGGGCTGTACAGGACTCGGTTTACTCTATCCCCCTTCAGCATTCTCAAGGCTCATCCAGTCCCTAATCAGAAAGAGAAAAGAAACAGACAAGGGTGGGGGGTGAGGGGAGAGAGTGAAAGAGAGAGTGAGAGAGAGACAGACAGGAGGAGCACAGGAGAGAAGAGAGAGAGTGAGAGGAAGGCAGCAGTCATGGCCTTCACACTTGGGCAGGTCTGGTTTAATTCTGGCTGCACCAATGATATTTGCAGGAGGTGTTGCCCAGAAGATGTTTCTCAACTTCTTTGAGACTTGGTGACCTTGCTGGTTCAATAATGATAATATTAATCACTGTCTCATTAAGTGGTAGTGAGGTTTAAATGAGATAACCCACGTAAAGAGCCCAGCACAGTGAACAGCACACACTGAGCCCTCTGTACAGGCTAATTCTCAGCATCTTCATCTCTAACACAGGGCCAGAAGCCAGGATGATCCTGTTGTTAAGTGAAGCCAGAGACTCAGTTGGAACATTCTTCAGGGCAGAAAAGGAGTTCATTAAATGGCTCAGAATTAAGATGGGCAGGAGCTAAAGAAGAGTGAGACTTAATTCCCTTGCATACCCAGGGGAAGGGGTCTCTTTTGGAAGAGATTTGCATTGGCTTTAGTTGATTGCAATTACGCTATCCATTGCCATGCTGAAAATAAAATGAAACCCTAACAAAGTTCCAGGTTTAATTGAAATTTCCTGGGATCTGTTATTATATCGCTGTGATTGTTCTGTGCCACTAATGAGGCTGTGCTAGCTGATTATCCAAGTGTCTCTCCAGTCACTATTCCGTTATTGCATTATTAATGATCAGATATGATTGTCACAGTCGATAGCTTGAACATCAAACAGGCAAGAGACAAGTCAGACAGCCAGGCAGACAGACAGATGGCAAGGGTGGGTGGGGCGGGGCAAGTGGGTAGGCTGGGCTAGCCGACAACCTGGTACCCAGGGTAGGCGGGGGAAGGGGCATGGCCATGTTAGTGCGATGAGGGGCTGAACTGAGGCGGGAGGCAGGGATGGAGGAGGCGGTGGTTGGGGCATGATGATGGCAGGAACCAGTCCTTGCAAGTTGGTGAGTTCTAAGGGTCTATAGCTCTCAACTCTCCACTTATCTGGAGAAATAGCCAATGACTCTTGGTCAACAGACAAAACAAGAACTAGCATTTCTAGATCAATGAGATCGCACAGCTTGGGAAATGGGAAAAGGTCAGTGTAAGGGGCAGGTCACTCTTCCTTGGCCAGCCTCAGGGAGCATTTTGAAGAGCTGCTGAGCTCCTCTCCCCTTCTCTGACAAGCCTGGATGTCCACAGTGGGGACTTGGGGTGCAGTGAGAAGGGCTGGTGGGCCCTGGAAAAGGCTTTGGAACAGGAAAACGGGGAGGCCTGTCCTTCCTAAGACAGCCATGTGTCCCGGGCACTGTGGGGAAGACCTGCCCCCACCGGTGAGGTGGGCTCAACAGCGCCCTCTCAGCCTGCTTTTAACCAGTGACCTCCCAGCACCCCAGAATGACTGGAAGGGAGCCCACGTGTTGGTACTGAGGGAACTTTGAAGAGTTTTCTGGAAAGTACCAGCATTGGCCTGTGCTAGTGGTCTTCCCTAGAGATGGTGGGGAGCTGGGCTTGGGGGCAGACTGAGGAGAGGAGCCCCTGCCCCTGCACATAAGCAGGAGGACTCTTTTAACTCTGGAGCACCCACAGGCATCACAGCTGGGTTTCCCTGCCACTTGCCCTGTGGGCCTTTCCCCACCCCCTTTGGGGAGGCACCCTTTCCTGAAAACACCAGATAGGATGAGGTCATATTAGGCACTCGATGGCTGCCAAATTTCATTCTTCAAAGACCAGCGTTGCGCTAACGTGAAATGCAAGCCAGGAACAGGAGGGAGGAGGGGGCTGGACTGATGAAATGGAGGGGGAGAAACCCACATGCAGGAGAGAAGGAATTGACATTTGAACATGGTTTTGTAATAGGAAAACTGATCCCAAGGCTGCTCCCGCCCCCCAGTGATGGGCCGCTGTGGACGCTGTGGTTTCCCTGAAGCCCGTGGTGGGGGTTGCCTGTTCCGTCAGACTTGCTGCCTCCAACTCACTGTCTCCATGGCGAAGAGGCAAAGGGCTGGGGGCTCCTGCAGCCATGGTTTCCCTGGCAACACTCACCAGCAGCCCAGCCCGGGCTGCACGTACCTGTTTGTCCCCACCACCACTGCGAGCTATTTTGGAGCAATGGAAGCCTCTGCCTGCACAGCCACCCACGGTCCCATGAACCCACACACAGGAGCCCCCTCTGTGGGCTCCTGGCACCCATCCACCCACGGCTCCCACCCAGAGCCTGTCCAGCCTGCAGGGAGCTGTGCTGAGCAGCCAATCACAGAGAGGCACTTGGGGATTGTGGGATGCAGAGACCCCGGGGTAGGCACAGCCTGGACACCTCCTCCTCCAGCCCTCAAGCCAGAGACTGAAGAAATCCAAGGCGAGAGCTTGAATGAGGAAGATGCACTCACCACCACCTTGCAGTCCCCCTGCCATGACCCAGGGCCTGTCAGTAGTAAGGATTATGACGGACACCATCATCATAATGCCACCATACCAAACTTCTGTCCTCCTAAAGTAAGCAGAACTGTTATTATTATCATCCCAAGTTATAGAAGATGAAGCTGAGCCCCAGAGAAGTTAAGTGACCTACTCAAGAGTAGGACCACACAGCGAGAAATGGCAGGCTCAAACCCAGTATGCAGTGAAGTGTCCGGCCCTGGGTATCTGGGAAGATCTTTACCCGCAGTGTGCTGGTCATGCTGTGTGCATAGCAGGGTGGGGATTAAGGGCAGGGAATAGAGAGAAATGGTGGCCCTGACCTTGGGAAGCTCCCGGAGCATAGGGAACTTGCAAAGGTGTGTGTATACTTGTGCCCTCAAACAGGACCACACACTGTTCTGTGGGTTCACAGGCAGCCGGGAGTGGGGAGGCTTCCCTTGCAAGGGATTGGTGGTCTGTGGCAGAGGCCTGGAGATGTGAAAGCAGCTGTTCCCTGGCAATGGGTTTCACCTGCTTCCAAGAACCCTCAAGAAGGGCTGAGGCTGCTCATAGGATCTACAGTTCCCACCACGGGGCAGCAGCCCCAGAGCTCCTTCCACGAGGAGCTCCTTGGGGCCAGGAGGGAGTGAGGAGTTTGCTGGTTGAGATCTCGGAGTGCACTGAGCTGAGACTGGGGAGAAAGCTCAAGTCTAAGAAGCCAGAAGTGGCAGCCTGGGCTGTGCTGAAAGCTACCACCAAAGGAGGCCTGGTGGGGCACAGAAAGTGGAATGGGTAAGGGGAAGAGTTTGAGACTCCTGTCTCAACAGGCTTGTAGCTGAGGACCAGGACAAGGAAGCTGACAGCCTTTCCACTTTCCCAGATGGGTTTCATGGGGGCCTCCCAGGAATGTGGAGGAGAGGGGCCCGTGGCTTTCCTGGTACCTGCTGGAGGTTATGGGAGAGGTGATGAAAGATGGTAAGAAGCCCCAAGATGCTGGCCCCATGACACACCCAGAGCCCAGCACTGGCTCCATGCCGTGTGCGCCTAGCACAGGTGGTTCTCTGTGGCAAAATCAAGCCTCTCTCCCTTCTCTCGAAGAAGGATGCCCCAAGTCCCCCTACGCCTTTCCTGGGAGATCAGGGTCCATTTGTTCTTAATGTTCCCCTGAGGAGGGGGATTCCACCGCTCTCTCCTAGAAGCTGCTTTCCACATCTCACAATCTTTGTCAGAAAATTTAAATCAGCGGGTTTTCCACTGTCTCCTCTGTGCCAGGTAAAGGAATTCACACACACACGTTGTCTTGGGTGAGCTGCACCACAGCCCTGCAGGGCTGGGAGGGCAGAACCATGCCCCTTTCAGCCACCTGGAAACCCAGGCTTGGGCACTTTGAGTGAATCATTTCCTCAAAGGATGCAGTTTGCAAAGATTGGAGCTGAGATTTGAACCCAGGTCCTTTGCCTTAAGTCTCACATCCTGTCTCCCCAGCAACTAGCCACAGCTCTTCCGGTAATCATGCAGTCTCTTTCCACTGTGGATGAAACAGGCAGCTCCAAAGCCCCTGGCAAACTCTGCAGCCACCTCTGGGGTGGGGACCAGCCGGAAATCTGACGGGGGAGCCTGCTGCCACTGGCCTGTGGCCCTCTGACCCACCCCTCGGCCAGTTGTTCAGCTCAGAAGAGAAGATGGTCTGGAAGATTCCTCAATCCTTGTCACCGCCAATCCCTGCCCCTCTGCTCCAGCCTAGAAATGTTGAGTTGATTATATTCTGTGCTCAATCACCAGAAATAATCAATCTGTAATTAAGAGCATCCCCCGGCCCCCTCCAAGCCTTCCCTAGGCCTCCGCTCCTCCAGCCACACCCCACGCCTACCACCGCCACCACCACCGCCGCCCCCTCCCACCCACCTTTCCAGCATGGAATCGTTTTAATGAGATTTCTGTGTTACAAATGACCGGTTTGTAATAATTATATTTTGTGCAGCAATCGTGGTTTAAAAATGATTTAAAGCAGGAAAGGCTCCAATTTATTAGGCATCAAACTTTCTGTGGTGAACTTTTAACTGGAAGCCGCCGCTCAGACACAGAGGGGGCCATCTCTGCCACCCTGGGCTGAGCAATACTACTGAAATATTGATGGTTTGTGGATGGAAATGTAGCCGAGGAGACTTAACTTTTACTAAAATAAATGAATCTTGCAACAATAGCTTGGTGGTCCTGGGTGCACCACTCCCTGCAGTAGAGGAAATGGGTTGTGGGGGAGGAGAAGGAGAGGGGCCCCCACCCGGAACAAGGCAAGGGAAGGAGAATGAGGCTTTTTGGGACTCAGGGCCTGAGGTGTTTTCCACGCAAGGCTTTGCATTTTGAGGAGAATTATCGTTGTATACCCCTTCTAAATTCTGTGAAGAGCTTTGGTGAGAGCCGTTGTGGGCAGCGTTTGGGACTTGTGACTCTGGAATTACCCTGGGTTCGTACCTGGACCTTGCTATTTTCTACCTGTGTAACCTTGGGCAATGAACCCACCTTTCCAATCCCAGTGGAGAATTCCCTGAGATAACACTTGTAAAGCCCTTTGTCCAGGGTTGGGCGTGCAACAAGCACTCAATAACTGACAAGTATCACTATCATTTCAATGACTTTGCATCTATTAACCCATGAGGGTGTCACTACCCTGTGTGGCACATACAGTGAGTGTCCTTGTCCTCACGGAGAGACAAAGTCCTGGGTAGGTGAAGTGCCATCCCATGGTCATAATCTAAGTGGTGGAGCTGGGTCAGAGCCCCAGGCCTCTTCCGGCTCCCAGTTCCATTCGTATTAAACCGAGGGGAAATTTCTGGAGAAAGCAGGACTGCCATTGCAATTGAAAATAACAGCATGTTATTTTAAAATGCAGCTGGGGAGGTCCAGGTCTGAGATCAGGAAGGTCATCTTGGTATAGAAGGTGTCAGAGGAGAAGAGGTGATTGAGGGAGGCTGAGTGAGCCCCTCCCTTTCGGAACGTAGAGGCTTCCGTGCACCAGGGGAACAGCCTCTGGAGTCCACTGGCACCCAAGCCACACCCTTGCCAGGGACAGCCTGGAATGGGGCTGCTTGTTTGCCACATCTCCTGAGGGCAGAATTTCTAGCTCATTCATCCTGGAGCTTCCTCTACTACCTGACTCCAAGAAGGGCACACAGTAGGTGTGCAACAACCTGAACTGCAGGCTTCACGAGGGCAGGAACTGGGCCTGCTTTGCTTATTCCTATAGGCTAACCCAATGCCTGGCACATAGTGGGTGCTAAATAATAATACTGATAATGATAATGAGTGAGTGAGTGAGCAAGTGAATGAACAAGTGTTTGTTGCATCAGGTGGAATGGTCTCTCCTCTTCTGACCTCACCCTCCGGAGCCAGCAGTGGTGCCCACCCTTTCTGACAGAGGGGCAGTGACCCATGGGATGTGGACAAGGAAAAAAGCTTATTGCTCTGGCCTGCTGGGGCTGCATCTTGGGACTCTGGGACCCCAGCTCTTAGACCAGAAATGGAGCTCCTCACCCCTGAAGCTCTGTTGTCTCAGGAGTCACTGGTGCAGGAGAGGGGTCAGTGGCCTCAGATGTTGGGAGGAGGAGGGAGGAGAAGAGGGCGAGGGAGGGTGCCCCTTCTCTGTCTGCCGGCTCAGCCCTCCAGGCTCTGGTCGTGTGGTGTCTTATCTTCCTGCTCATTCTTCTCATTTTCTGACCAGCTGCTGGGGCAAGAGGGACCTGGGCCTTGCCTCTGCTTGTGGGCACCTATCTGGGCTTGGGGAGGGTGGAGAGGGCACACGCCAGTCCCTGGTTGTGGAAAAGGACACTCCTACAGGCGGAAGCACGGAAACCCATCTTGTGAGATTCCCCCATTGTGGCAAACACAGAGGGGGCTGGTGGTCGCCGGGGCGTCCCTCACTCCCTGTGTTTGAAATGGGTTTCAAACTGTTCTGAGAATCATTATGGAGAAAATCAAGGACCTCCTGAAGGGCAGGGGGCTCCAGGGAGCTGTTGGGAGGCAGAAGTCCTCTACCGGAAGACTTGAAGATGAAATGAACATGGTGCATCAGATGCGTTTTGAATGTGAATTCACGCGAGCCGCTTCTCCCTGCCGGGGAGCTGTGTGCCTCAGCAGTGGAGCTGGACCCTCCTTCACCACCTTCTCCATCCTCACCTTGGCACCCTTTACTGGTGCCTAACCGACTCATGACCTCAGGGAGGGTTTTGCCAGCACAAAGATGCTTTCCAGGGGCTCTCCTCCCGGGACTTGGAATAATGCAGTGTAAACCTCGCCACGTTTAACAGCAGACACCGCGTTTCTCACTACAGCTTTGTCCCTAACTGGCTGCATGACTCCGGACTAGTCACAGGCTCAGACACTCAGTCCTGTCTTCTGCAAGGTGGGGACAATAACGACGGCACCCCCTTCCTGGACATTCCTGCCCTGGGAGGCCTCATGAGCAGAGGCCAAGGCGTTTCCTCTTTGCTCCCTCAGCCCAGCACAGAGCCTGGCCCAGGGGAAGTGCTGAAGGATGAAGGGTAATCAGGAGGGGCAGATCAGCGGCCCCATGGGATAGTGTGTAAGCGCTCCCACACAGGCAGCCTCAAGGGGACCCTTCTGCCCCAGTCTGCGTCTGCCTCCATGGCCTTTCTTCTCTAGGCATTTCTGAGTCAGGCAAATCTGCCCTGCCCCCTTACCTCCTTCCCACATAGCCCTCTCCTCTTCCCCATCCAACAGACCTGCTGCAGTCCCTCCCTTTCCTGTCCAGTTATTTTTCCATCTCCACAACCAGATGCCAGCCTGTCTGTCCGGTCCCCCCAGGCCCCTACTCCATTCCTCTGTGTTGGCTCCTCCCGCCTCACCAACATATCTCCTGGGAGTGGGGGCAGCCTGCTGGCCACACCTCTGGACCCAGCCTGTCCACTATCTCCTGGACTCTGCATGGGCCTCCAGTGCAGGCCCCTTCTGGACGTCCTCTCCCTGTCAGCCAGAGTGAGCCTTCTGAACTGAAAGCCTGACTGTGCAACTCCCTTGCTTAAAGTCCTTCAGAGACTTAGCCGTTATCTTTTTGTTTAGTGAGTTAGTCACCAGGTGCTCGGGATAAAGAAGTCCTAACCCCTGGACATATACACAAGGTCCTCTGTGACCTGCCCTGGCCCAGAGCTCCTGCACCTCCCTAGGCTCCAGGCATGCGGGGCTGCTTGCAGGTCCCAGAGTGCTCTGAGCGCACTCAACGGCTTCCTGCTGCACTCTATCTTCTCCCTCTTGCTCCACCTGCCCCTTGTGGCTTCATTAACTCATCTTTTAAGACTCAGTTGTGATATCACCTCCCGCAAGAAACCTTCCCTGAGTCACAAGGCTCCTTCATATTCAGCCATGGGCTTCTACGGCATCTCTGCGTGTCCCAGCATACTTGCCATTCTGTAAGCTCTGAGCATGACCCACCAGGCTCCCTCTCCTCTGTGAGCACCACGAGGGCGGGTCCACAGCTTATTCCTCATCACACCACCAGCACCCTGTGCTGGGTCTAGGTGTTTGTGTGTCCCTAACAGTCATACGTTGGCATCCTAGCCTCTAGAGTGATGGAATTAGGAGGTGGGGCCTTTGGGAGGGTGGGGCCTTCATACACGAGAATAGTGCTTTTATAAAAGAGCCCACAGAGATCCCTTGCCTCTTCCACCAGATGAGAACACAGAGAGAATGCCCTCACCAGACACCAAATTTGCTGGTGCCTTGCTCTTGCACTTTCCAGCCTCTAGAACTGTGAGGAATAAATGTCTATAGTTTATAAGCTACCTAGTTTGTGGTATTTATTTTATAGCAGCCCAAATGGACTAAGACACCCTGCATACAGTAGGTTCTCACAATAGGGATTTTGAATGAACAACCACATCCATTGACCCTTGCTTTTCTTTATTCTTAAGTATATTTTTAAGTTGTATGCCCTGCAGCAGGGGCAGGCCTACTGAATAATGACAGGTATGATTAATTAAGTACTTAGTATTTGTCGAGCATCTGCTAAACTCTTAACATTCATTAACATTCTCATTAAATCCTCATTACCTGAGGTAGGTACTACTGTGGGTAATTATCTCCATTTTCCAGATAAGGAAACGGAGGCTGAGAGGGGTTGGCTACCTTGCCCCAGACCACACAGTGAATGACTGTTGAAGCCTGCACTTGAACCCAAATGTGTCCAACTCCAAGGCTCGGGCACTTAACCACTGGGCACACTGTCACCACCCACCCCTGGAGGAGCCCCCCGGCCTAGCCCCTGAGAAGCCAGTGTCAGATGGGAGGCAGCTCGGCTGTCCTGGCCCCTTACCATGTCTTGGCGTCTGCAGTGCTCTGTGGTTGCTGTCCCTCTGTACCAGGCACCCCCTGCACACACATCAGAGGGAAGGCTTGTCACTCCAAGTCCCAGCTGGCTTCTTCCTGGGACCGGCCCAGCTGTGGCACAAGAGGTGGTGGTGCTGTTTCCTCTTGCGGGTGGTGGGCAGGGAGGGTGAGTCTGGGCCCCGCTCCCCACTGGCTATCTGTTGAATGACAGCAAGCCAGAGTGTTTGGGTGGGTGGTGAGCTTTGAGGGCCCACCGGAGACTGTTAATTTTGGCTCTGAGTCCGCAGTGGAGCTAAATGACTGGAAAGCTCCCTCGAGAGGGATGTGTGCAGCCAAGGCAGCTGCAGCTCTGATAGCTCCACCATCTGCCAGCGCCGAGATCAAGTCACTTACTGGGCGTCCTGGCGGGAGCGGCTTCTGTATCCAAGCTGGGAGGGGCTCCGAAGCCAATCACTGCCCGGTGGGGGGCCAGCAGTGTTAGATGCAGAGGGAAAATGCTTCAAAGCCTTCCAGGGCCCCAGGAACTCGCACAATCTTTCCAACTAGGGAACTCATCTGGGAAGCAAATTCCAGGAGTAAAGAGGTGGATTTCTTCTGCCTCATTTCCAGGGAGGAACTGGCCCCAGGCTGGGGGTGGGGTCTCGTGGGGTGGGTGAGTGTCTTTCCAGACTCTCCCCATGTGTCCGACAGGGCAGCCCAGCAGGGCCTGTGCTTCTAACTTTCTGAGTAGGATTGGATTCCAAGAAACAGGAACCAGAATTTGTCAGAAACGCCTCCTGGAGGGAGAGTTTGCCCCCAGAGTGGGTATGCTATTATTGTACTATTGTTGCACCTTATACTTGGGCTTATATTTGAATACTTAGAAAGAAATCAACACCATGCAGAGGAGATCGCTGGGAACTCAGATTCACAGGTCTGCAGTGGGGTCTGAGAACTTGCTTTTCTCACAGCTCCCAAGTGATGCCGATGTTGCCTGTCCTGGATAATGTGGCTTCACCCTTTACTGGCTAGAACACATCGTTGAGTCTCTCCAAGGCTCATTCCCTCACATGTAAAATGGTCATGACAATAGCCACCTATAGGCTGCCGAGAGGATTAATGAGCTACCATATGTAAAGTCTCAGTGAGTTGGGGAAGACCCTGTGGTAAAGCACCTGACATGTAGCAGGTGTTCAATACAGGTGCCTTCTCTTCCCTCAGTCGAGATGATTTTGCACTCTTAATTTCATGTGAGCCAGTGAGGCGAGCAGAACAGGAATTGCTCACCCCTATTCTACAGATGAGGAGCCACTAGTGCACTGACTTAGTGGCTAAGGTAGACCCCAAGATTCTTGCTGAAAGCTCAGTGTTCTTCCCACCACAACACTTTTTTTCTGGTCAGATGAGAGATTTATGTGTCTACCAGATGAGGAGCAAGTCGATACTAATGATGAAAACCCTAACAATACTGCAGAAATCTGTGTGGGACTCTCACTGGGCACATAGCCACAGCCGGCCTTCTGGAGTCCTGGGAGACAGCTCGGAACTTGGAAGACAATGTTCCATTACATGGCTCCCCTCTGGGCCTGCCTGTATATTGATCTCAACAAGCATTTCAGGGAAGAACAAATGCTGGGGCCATCTTCCCCCATGGGGAAGGAGGCAAGCGGATCAGAGATGAAAGGTAGAGCTGCTGTTGTCCCGTTTGTGGCCCAGGGGCCTGTCTTCCTCCCTGACCCCAGCCATCAGAGGTATCTAGATAGACAGGGCTCAGAGAAGACAGCAGGAGGGACCTCTGGCCAGACTCCACATCTGTCTGCCACAGCTCTGAGGGGCTTGGAACGATTCAGCACATTCTTCCCTTCTTCCCCAGCCTGCCCAGCCACATGTTGGCCATGGCCTCTCCAGCTGCCCTCTCCCCTGCTCTGGACGAAACCTGGGAAAAACTGTCTGGGGCCCCTGGAGTTTCTGATGCATTATGTCATTTACCTCGTCAGGCATTCTCACTCACAGATGTCAGTCCCGGTAGTCAGAAAAGCAAATGGAGCCCCAGAAGACAGCAGAGGGCACACTGGATCCCAGGCTGGGGATGTGATCTTGCAGCCTGTGTGATGTCTTGGGGTTGAACCCTGCTCAAGCCAAGGCCTCCAGTTCCCATTTGGACTCTGTCACAAGGGAATTCCACATGGCATTCCTGGATTTCACATTTCCATTTCAGCTATTTGTGAGTGTCCTCAAAGTCCTCCATCTGCAGCCATTTGTCATTTTGCTGAGACAGGAAACTGAGCCCCATGTGCCATGAGGCTGGTGAACAGCAGCAAGCTTCAGTCAGCAGGGAGTCAGGCCCAGGCCCCCTCTGCCTCTCAGACCAGCTAGGTTTTTTTGTTTTGTTTTGTTTTTTGTTTTTGAGATAGGATCTCATTCTTTTTGCCCAGGCTGGAGTCTGGAGTGCAGTAGCACAATCACAGCTCACTGCAGCCTCAACTTCCCAGGCTCAGGTGATTCTCTCACCTCAGGCTCCTGAGAAGCTGGGACTACAGATATGTGCCACCAGGCCCGACTAATTTTTTTGTATTTTTTTTTAGTAGGGATGGGGTTGCGCCATGTGGCCCAGGCTGGTGTTGAACTCCTGGGCTCAAGTGATCCACCTGCCTTGGCTTCCCAAAGTGCTGAGATTACAGACATGAGCCACCGTGCCCAGTCCTGTCTTTGTTTTATAGAGGAGGAAATGAAACCACTGTACGGCATTGTGTGGTTGAAAATATGGAGATGCATTCACAATAGCAAAGTCAGAGAACCAACCTCTGTTACCATTCACTGATAACTGGATAAAGGAAATGTAGTGTGTGTATGTGTGTGTGTGTGTGTGTGTGTGTGTGTGTGTGTGTGTGTAAAATGGAATACTATGCAGCCATGTAAAAGAATTTAAAAGAATGAAATCATGTCTTTTGCAGTAACATGGATGGAGCTGGAGACCATTATCCTAAGTGAAATAACTCAGAAACAGAGAGTTACATACTGCATGTTCTTACTTATAAGTGGGAGCTAAACAATGGGTACACATGGACATAAAAAGATGGAAACAATAGACATTTGTGACTCCAAAAGGGGAGTGGGGTGGAAGGAAGTGAGGGTTGAAAAATTACCTGGGTGCATGGGTGCACCAGAAGCCCAAACGTCACCATTATGCAGTAGATCCATGTAACAAACCTGCACATCTGTTCCCTGAAGCTGTAACTATAAAAAAGAAAGAAAACGTGAAGATAGAAGACACCCTTAGGTTTCCTGTTTCTCAAAAAGGCTCAGGGTCTCCTGTACCTTATTTTTAGAGACTCCCCAAGACTTGTGGAAAAGGAAGAAACGACGAAGACTAGACTCTTGTTGTAAAGTTCACAACATCGGCGGCGTTTCTAGAAGAAACATCCAGCCTGTCTCCTTTCCAGTTATGAGGTCCAGGAAAGAGACATCACAGCCCCAGGGAGCCCCTTCCACCAGGTCAGGGGCTAGTTTGCCACTAGATTCCTCAAATATTCCACTAGAAGGGCATGGCTTTGGCGGGGCACCAGGCCCCCTAAGATCTTAGACTACCTGCACCCCAACTGTCAGACTGTCCCCTAGTTAGCTCCAGCACCACCCCAGGCAGGGGCACATACTCCAGGTCCTGCCATCAGCATAACGACCCAGTCTGACATGCACTTTACAGTCATGAAACACTTTTACCTGTGTTGTCTCACTGGACCCACACAACAAAGTAGAGTAGGATGGGTGTCTGTCTTAGTCCTTTCAGGCTGCTATAATGAAGCATCACAGATTGGGTGGCTTCCCAGCAACAGACATTTATATTTCTCACCACTCTGGAGGCCTGGACATTCAAGTTCAAGGCCCCAGCAAGTTTGGTGTCTGGTGAGGAACTGCTTTCTGGCTCATAAATGGTGGTTTGTCTCAGTGCCCTCACATGGCAGAAGGGCAGAAGGATAAACAGGCTCCCTTCAGCCCTTTTACAAGGGCACTAATCCCATTCAGGAGGGCTGCACCCTCACGACCTAATCACCCCCAAAGGCCTTACCTCCTAACACCATCACTTTGTGGGGGTAGGATTTCAACATAGGAATTTTTGAGCGACACAAACATTAAGACCATAGCAGTGTTGTTATTGCCAATGTACAGATCAGAAAACCAAGGAGCAGACACTGGGCATCCTGCCTAAGTCATAGGAAGAAAGTGGGGACTCCAACTGAGGTCTTCCAAATTGTGTAACAAACACCACCTTCTCTTAATAATCTACCAGTGCTCCCCATGATACCTGACGAAATGCAGAAAGCCTTCATGGACGTAATCTCATTTTAATCTCATAACAACCCTGTGAGGCAAGCAGCAGTAGGTGCTATTATCCCCATTTTACAGGCAGAGGATCTCATGTGCTCAAACTGTGTACAGGTAGTTCTTTTTAGGGTAGGAGCGGGGGCAAGTTAGATGTCAGAAAGTTAAAGAGAGGGCAGAAGCTGTGTGTCCAGCCAGACCTAGGTACCCTACTTAGAAACATTCTTGCTACAGCAATTTTACCACTTTCACAGAAGGCTGTTAACTAAATGAATTATCCTTGCTGAATAGGCTTTGGGGGTTCCCTAGGGCAGCACAAAGATCCACATCTTTGTTTGATCTTTGTGCCACATCTAAACTTCTGGAAAATTGCAATGCCCCCATCTTCCCTCCCCAACAGTTCAGGTGCCTGCTCCCAGCTTGGGCATCTTCTCTTGCCTACCTGGAGACAGCACTCTGGCCAATGAATGTGTCTTGGCATTTTACAGGACCAGGCAGGGGCAGGGCCTCACGTGAAGTGAGTGGGAGCGCGGGGTTGGGCCTGCCTGTGTGCCATGTGTGTGCCTATATGCATAACAATGAACACAACAACCTCAGTCCCTGTGAGCACAGATGTTTCCATGTGTGTGCAGCGCTGCATGCGTCCACCTGTGAACCTGTGACCAATGGACATGGACCCCCACCCGGGGTCCCTAGTGTAGGAGTGCCCAGCCACCTCCTTCAGCCCCGGCTTGTCTCATCCCCGCAGCCTGCTGTGGTGGTGAGTTGTCAAATGCGAACATCAGCTGCACAGCATCTTTATGAGGAGGCCAGGACAGGCAGGTAATTTATCAAACATTACTTAAAATAGTCCCCCAGCCTCTCGCTCCCTCTCTCTTGTTGCTGTCTGATTCTTGATTGTTTCTTCTTTCTGTCTCTTGTTTTTCTGCCTGGAGATTGACAGCCCCCTGCTAATACAGCCTTGGAGATACCACATACTGGTGGAACCGACACCTCACTCTGCCTCAGCCTCCATCCCAGAACTAACTGCTCCGCGCTGATTCCAGCGGCACTGCAGTGCTCCTGTCTGCATGCCCGTGGGGCCGGCTGATGGATGAGGCCACATCCCTCGCACTGCAGAAAGCTCAGGAATCAGGGGCACATGCACTGTGATCTGCTGAGTTATGGACTAGCTAATAAGACTCCTCCTGACATCAGCGAGCCCTTGACTGTCCTATTTTTGCCCTGTTTCCAATTCTCTGGCCTTTCAAGCAGGCCCATGTCTTGTGACTGGATGAGCCAGTCTGCTGTCCTCTGAAGAGATGTAAAGAGAATGAGATGAATTAGCATTCTCTGTCATTTCTACTTCCAAGACGAAGCAACTAAGGCCAGCCAAGGGAAACAGAGTTTATTATTGGGAAATGTTTAAGGACCTACTCTTTGCCAATTACTGTACTAGGTTCATGAAACTATTGTCTCATTTAATTCTGTGCAATCGATGTGATCTCCGTTTTATAGAAGAAAAAGCAAGCCTCCAAAGAGGTCAGTGGCCTGCCTTAGGTCAGTGTGTCAGTCAGCATTCAAAAATGGACTCTAGGCTGGGCACGGTGGCTCATGCCTGGTAATCCCAGCACTTTGGGAGGCTGAGGAGGGTGGATCACCTGAGGTCAGGAGTTTAAGACCAGCCTGGCCAACGTGGTGAAAACCCGTCTCTAGTAAAAATTCAGAAATTAGCTGGGCGTGGTGGCGGTTGCCTGTAATCCCAGCTACTTGGGAGGCTGAGGCAGGAGAATCGCTTGAACCCAGGAGGCAGAGGTTGCGGTGAGCCGAGATCGCACCAATGCACTGCAGCCTGGGCAACAAGAGTGAAACTCCATCACAAACAAACAAACAATAAAAAAAGACTCTAGCTAACTTAAACAGAAAAGAAATTTGGGAGCAAGATATTGATAGCTCATGGAATATACAGGGAACTTAGGAAACATGTATGATCCAAGATGGTTAGAGTCAGGGCCAGGACACACAAGGAAGAGCCCGTTAGGAGACCACTGCACCAGACACTGGATGGCCACCACCAAGGTGAATTTCAAACTCTCCTTGCACCTTTATGTCCCTATCTTAAAATCTAAATTCCCAAGTGGTGTCATCTGAGGGTGAGTACGCCATGCATTCACTCCTCAATGCCAGGGGCCAGGGCACCCTTCATGGACACTGGCTCCAATCAAGAATTGCCTGATGGGCTCCCAAAGAAAGAAAGGGGGCTCCCAAGCTGAGCAGCCAACACCCAATGAACTAGCAAACCAGACCCATGTTCCCAGCTGCATATAGCTGGTAAGGGGCTGAGCTAGTGCAAAGCTACCACTCCCTGACTCCAAAACATGTTCACCATAATCAAGGGTGAAGTTCAAGATGTTGAACAATTGGTAGAACACTGGCTCTGGCCAATCAGAATAGATGCCACCAGAAATAGCTGGTTCAGCCATGGCAGTGCCACCAACTGATCATCAGTTCTACACATAAACAAGGCAGAATTGGAGCTCAGGACTCTTGACTGCCCAGGCCAGAGGCCCTTGCTACTAGGACAGTGCTTTCCACACTTTTTCATAGAGGAAGATAATACTTGATGACACACTGGGGTAAACTTGAGGGCATTAAAATGGATAAATAGATGGATGGATGGATGGATGGATGGATGGATGGATGGATAGATAGATAGATGATAGATAGATAGATAGATAGATGATAGATAGATGATAGGTAGATGATAGATGATAGATAGATTGATGATAGATAGATGATAGGTAGATGATAGATAGATAGATAGACAGACAGATAATAGATAGAAAAATATATATGGCTGGGGGTAAAGCCCCCTATAACTTTATATTATATTATTATGATAAAAATAAAATAAAATCCCTCTATACTGCAGGCTTTTATATCCAACTGCCTAGTTGACATTTCCTCTTAGATGCATCATAGGTATCTCAAAAACAGCATATTAGTTTCTGAACACCTGACCTGCCACCATCTTCACCAGCTCACTCCACCTGCAGTCTCCCCCAGCTCAGTTAAGCTCTTGTTAATCCTTCCAGTTGCTGACGCCAAAACCTTTGGAGCCATCTTCAACTCTTTCTTTCATATTCTCTATCCTCTAGAGCCTGTATATATTTTATGTGATATGTATGCCCATGTTCTACATCAGAAATCCTCTAGCCTCTACCATTGGAATACAGTCATAAACTGACCACCTTCACTGCTACTGTTTCATTCCAAACATCATCACCTCTCCCTTGGATTCTCATGACAGCCACCTAAGTAGTCCCCCTACTTCTGACCTCCATCCCCTTCAGTCAAAACAATGATGGCAGCTGGGCCATCTGGTTTACCAGCTGTGAATGGTCCACCTGGGGCTTGAAGGTCCTATCACAACCCCATGGATCGCAAGAGTTCCATATCTTGATTTTCTTCCGTGGGTCAGATATCATTTTAGTGTCCATCTCCTAACAGAAGCTCAAAACAATGGCCAGAGGGCTCCTTACTAAGCATAAATAAGACATCATTCTTCCACTTAAATCCCACAGGGGTTTCCAGTTTACTCAGAGTCAAAAGCAACGTTCTTAAAATGTTGACAAGCCCCCTCACAGTCTGGTATCTGTCACCTCCCTGACCTCGTCTTCTACTACTATCTTCTATGTTCACTTCTTTCCAGCCACAGAGGCCTCCTTCCTGTTCTCTGAACATGCCAAGCTTGCTGTGCCTCAGGGCCTTTGCACATGCTCTCTATCCCCTGTCTGAGTTTTCTTCCCCAGATGTCTGCATGGCTTACTTCCTCACCATCACCAAATCCTCGCTCAGTGTTGCCATCTCAGCAAGGCCTGCCCTGACCACTTTATTTTATCAATATATGTATTAGTTCTTCTCATGCTACTATAAAGAAATACCTGAGACCAGGTGATTTATAAGGAAAAGAAGTTTAGTTGGCTCATGGTTCCATAGGCTGTGCAGGTAGCATGGCTGGGGAGGCCTCAGGAAACTTTTAATCATGGCAGAAGGTGAAGGGGAAGCTGGAATGTCTTCACAGGGCCAGATCAGGAGGAAGAGAGAGAGGGGGAAGGTGCTATACACTTTTAAACAACCAGATCTTGGGAGTACTCACTCACTATCATGAGAACAAGCAAGAGGAAAATCTGCCCCCGTGATCCAATCACCTCCCACCACGTCCCTCTTCTAACACTGAGGATTACAATTTGACATAAGATTTGGGCGGGGACACAAATCCAAACCATATCAATCTATTTTACTCTTCTCAATTTTTTTCCATAGTACTCATCTCCTGACATGCTATATTTATGATATTATTTATTCTTGGCTTTTCTCTACTAGAATGTCAACTTTTTAGTAGTTTTTGTCTGTTTGCTCAGTGATATACTTCCTGGAGCTAAATATTGCCTACCTACTCTCAACTCATATTTGTGGAGGGAAGGAATCAAAACAGAAAGTATTAGGGATAATATTAAAGTTTAAATTTGCATAGATTTTAGATATTAGACATTAGAAAATAGTTTTCAGTTTTTAATGCTAACAATATTGTTTCCACGAACATAGCTTGTTATATCTGGTTGTATATTTAAATGCTTCCATATGTTAAGTTGGTGCAAAAGCTATCTCGGTTTTTACTGTTACTGTCAATGGCAAAAACCGCAATCACTTTAGCACCAACCTAATAATTCTTGTTCCAGGTTTTCAGGACTGATCTCTTTAAATTCTTAAAAATCTCATTGACAAGTAACTTTATGAGCAAAAGTCAGCAGCACATTAAAAAATTGCAGCAGTTGAAATTATATTTAAAGATTCCCAGAGGTCTTCCTTTTCTTTCATTGACAAATGTAATTTTTAAATATCTTGTGTTAATGCTAATGGATTTGAATGCTACCAAACTTTTTCATATTAAGTATTTCAAAATAATGCAGAATCTCTAATTTGTAGCAGGTATGTGCACTGTTACAGCAGTCAACCTGCAGCTAGCTTAGATGCTACTAAAAGAGCTGTAAATGTCTAGAAGCATTTGATATTTGCAAAGATAGATAGTTGGACCCTATCTGGAGCTGCATCTACCAGAAACCCCACCAAGCCTCCCTATCCTACCCCTGTCTGGCAGTACCTTGGGGTCTGTGTCATACTACCTGGGCACTTAGAACCAAAAGTCCTCCAGCAGCACAAGGGGTCCCTTGCCCTAAAGGACAGTGGCCTGTTCTGAGCTGAGAATTCAAGCAAACATCCAGTTGGTGGAGCATCTCCTAGGCCATGTTTGGTACCTCACCATGCAGCAGAGTGTGATGGAGTTGTGCAGGGCCATTACCAGTGAGGACCATAGGACACACCATCATATCCCACTCCACTCCAGCTATCCTCCAAGAAACACTGGCAAGGGAATTCCCAAGAGTCCCAGTCCCCGCCTGTGTGTCTGTAGAGCTTTGAGACTAACGGCAGCACATCAGTGTGGCACGGCACAGCAATTGGGAAGTTCTACTTTGGATCCCTTGGTCTGGAGTCCCTCTTCTTCCACTAACCAGTTGTGTATCTGGGGTGGGACACCTCACTTCGTTGAACTTAGGCTTTCTCATTTATAAATGGAGAATTCAAATAAAAGCCATGCTTGTCAAGTACCTGTCAGGGATCCTTAAGATGACTGCGGAAGTGCTGCAGGGGATAGTTTGGGATGAAGTAGGAATAAAAAGCATCCAACTGGAAAAGACTTTTCCTCATCTTCCTCTTCAAACAGAGCTCCTCCACTTTTATCAGTTTTATATATTGATACTCCATAGAAGATAACATAAAATTTTAAAAACCAGTATATTTCAACGACCTCTCACCCCTGGGCTCTCTACCACCCACCCTTCCTTTGTTCAAGGAGCAAATCATTCTAAATGAACTTTTTATAACATTTTATTACTATAAAGAAATGCCACCTTTCTTTAATAAAAATAAGGCAAGAACCCCCACGGTAGCTATTTAAAAGGATTTTCTTGATATGAGGGGGTGGATGGCCTGCGTGTCTTGTCTCTGTGTCTAACAGTCCTCTTTCCTTTGAGATTTTTCCATATGACTGTTTTTCTCCATGGCACAGAGAAGGCAAAGTTGGAACTTGATTCAAATAATACTTTACGAGAAACTAGGAGATGGCAAAGAGGGAAAAATGCAGAATGTGATGCAGCTGGGCCATCTGGTTTACCCACTGTGAATGGCCTACCACGGCTGGAAGTTTCCATCCCAACCCTATTGGTCCCCAGAGTTCCATATCTCTGGATTTTCTTCCATGGGTCAGATATCATTTTAGTGTCCATCTAGTAGACGCCAGATAAAGACACTTACAATCCTCAATGTCCATGGCCATCTCTTGCACCTAGGTCTTGCTCAGGATTGCAGGTTTCTTGTGGGAAGACCCTCCTTTTCTCTGCTAGTAGCACTACTCATCCCCTTCTGGTGAGATTCCACCCTCTTAAAGGCATCCCTCACAGGTTAACTCTACGACAAGAGCCCAGGTAATCCCCCAAAAGATGGATCTGGTCATTACAAAGAGACAGTTTTCTTTACAGAAGCAGAAGCACAGAGGGGTACAGCAATTTTTCTAATACTCCACAGCTTCACAGGAGCAAAGAGAGGATTTGAATGTAGGGCCTTGGACAGGACACCAGAGCTTTTGGTGTATGTAGGTGCCCTTCCCAAGGCACCTGTGGGGAGGGGAGAGAACCCATGGACCCAGAGCTCTCAGCTAATCCTGGAGACAATCGGAGTGCAGGAGGTGCAGGCAAGAGTGAGCAGGAGCACCTCCCTAACACCCTAATACCAATGTCCAAAATTCAGACCCCACAAGAATGGCTCTGCTCTGGACAAGACAATCTAGTCTTTCTGGCATCTGCAGCCCAAGTCTCCTCAATGGGCAATTGCAGCTTCCCAAAGCTTTGAAACAAAAATGCTGAGAATGTCAGAGCCTAAGGCTTCCCCTTCCCTAAGATTCTGAGAGATCTGCATGAGCACTTTTGTTTGCTTATTTATCCTGTTGCCTCAAATTAGAAGTGAAAAGCAGAACAAAGGAACAAAAGACATTCCTCAGGATGGAATTACCTTCCTAGCCTTGGGGTTTGGTCTTGCCAAGACAATTTGGAGTCTGTTACAGTGTTGCAACACATCAGATATCCTAAGGTTTCCCTTTCATCGGCTAGCGTCCAGGGCTGTTTAAGGCCAATTCGGGAGGAAGGGGAAACTGGGGTTTCTAGTGTTGCAGCAAGTCTTCTCAGGCGCCCACAGGCAGTTTCATACTGGGAAATCTTTCCTGAGTCCTCATGCAGTGGGGAAGGTGGCCGGTAAACTGGAAGAGGATCCTGGGGGAAAGGTGCTGCCCTGGGGCTGTGGTTCAGCTCTCGAGGTCCTTTTATCCCAAGTTGAGGCCGCCTGCTTTTAAGTCCTGCCTGCCCAGAAAAAAACCTGGGGCATCTGGTCAGAGACTGGCTTCTCCTTCTTAACAGCTCTTGAGCAGGGTATATTAACACTCCGAGCCTCTGTTTTCTTGTCTGTGAAATGGGAATACCAATAATATCCCATTTATTCTTCTCTCACAGTGGTGGTGAGGATCAAATGACATAATGCCTGTAAAAAGCCCTGTGGGGTAACAAGTGCTTTTCAAACAAGTTTCCAAGGTGTGTGTGTGTTTGTGTGAGTGTGTGTGTGTGTGTGTATGAGTATATGTGTTACATAGGATTGATCCATTGGGGCAGAGAGACAACTGGCTCTCACATAAGGAGGTCCTCCATCTTCTTGCCTTGCTTTTCCAAAACTTCTCATTGTTCTGGAGCTTCCCAGGAGAGACAGGCACACCCCACTTCCACCCTGTCCTCACTACTGCCTCTCCCCGACTCCCAGCTAGGTTGCTGAGAAAGAGACGACAGAGGAATTGAATTTGGTTCAGTTCCATGAGGATGTATCTGGCCTCTGCTCCCGTGCTTCACATTTTTCATGGTGCTCTCCAGTTGAGAAAACTCAGATCGACTACCTCCCTTTGATTCTCATGGCAACCCTGAAAGGCAGGTAGCAGATCAATTAGCATCTTTCATTTCCAGAAAAAAGAAAATGAGACCCAGGGATTAAGTGATTTTCCTAAGGTCACCTACCCTGTAAGAGCAGAGCTAGAACTCACACACAGGGTTTCTGGCCACTGCTTAAAGTTCTTCAGCAGCTCCTCATCATGGCATCCAAAGCTCTTAATGATCTGCGCCCACCTCTCTCCACTCTGAAGGCCTCCCTGCCTTGCCCACAGGGTTGTCTGCTTCACCTGCTCTGTCCTTATTTGTTTATTCCCTGGGGACTCTGCTCATCTCTGCATCTCAGCTCCTAGCACAGTGCCTGGTACGTAATCCATATGTATTAAATAATAAATATATTCAAGAATAGGCATTTGAAGTAGGGCAATGATGGAAATGTCCTAAGTGGCCAACAGTAGCAGAATGGTTAAGTAAACTATGACATATCACGTAGATGGGATATTATGCTATTAAAAATTAGGTCAATGAAATTTAATACTGACCTGAAAAATTCATAGAATATAATCTTATGTGAAAACCCAGAATGTAAAATCACACATACATTATGGTCACAGCTATATAAAACAACACAGATGCAAACTCTCAAAAATAGTGCAAAGAAAAAGAAGTCGAGACGGTGGGCGATTTTCCTTCCTTTCATCTTTCCGTAGTCTCCAGGTTTTCTGTAATAGGCATGCATTATTTTTACAATGACTACAACAGCAACAAAAATGGTAATCAATAGGTAAGGAGATACTAAGAGATACTAATTTATCTCCCAGCTTCCATCTCCAGGTCAAAATGACTTACCTCTCAGGTGCTGAAAACTTACCGGTAGGACAACTCCTAGAGGCTAGGAAAACATCCAGGAGACAGACAATCTAAAGATGTTGTACCCCATTTTAGAAAATAAAGTAGTAGTCATTAGGAGCTCTGCCTTAGGTTCTCCAAGAATGAAGCATTCCAAACTCACCTTATTTTCCTCTTTGATGGGGTTACTAGACTGGTAGATAAGGAGAATGTTACGGACATAATGTGTATTGATTCTGCAGTATAATTGACAAAGCCTGTCCCGTCCCTATGAACAAGGTGGAGAAATGTGGACTGGGAAACAGCCCTTTGATGGATTGAAAGATTGAGACACAAATGCAAATAATGTAGTTGAGTGGTTTGGGGGCTATTCTGAAGCAGAGATGGCAATTTGTGACATCCTCACCCCCATCCCTAGACAGACATTCATTGCTAATCCATCACATCTCTCTTTTCCTCTGAATTCAGATGGAGCTCAGAATCCTTCTCAGCACAGGGCTCCAAGCAGCCACTAGGCAGCCACCAGCCATTAGGTTTCTGTGGTTGAAACTTATTAGATGTCCTTGACTTTTAGGGAAGTCTCAGGCCTATGCCACAAGACTACATTTTACCCAATCCTGTTCAGCAAGTCTATCAGTGATTTGGAATGAAAATCTAGAAAACGAGTATATTTAATTTATAGATGACCTAAAGTTGGGATGGAAATGTGGTAGGGTCAACATCTACAAAATATCTGACCAGATTATAATATAGGACTGAAACGAGGAGTGATTTCCTGGTAATGCTTATCATCCCATACTTGAGTTTAAAAATAAATTTTAAAAGAACAGGACAGTGATGATAATGATTTGATAGCAGTTCAAGAATGGGGTGGGGACAAATCTGAGGTTTAGCAGACCACAATCTCAACTTGTGCCGTATGTGTAGCTGTTGGTAAGGTCGATACAATCTTGGGCTTTGTTATTAGAACTCCGGGGTCCAGAATACGAAAGGTAAAGATGGCTCAAGTTCACCTAGAGCCACAGTTGAACTACGAACTTTAAAGACCTTAAGCACCAACAAAAATAAATAAATAAATAAATAATAATAATAATAATGGTGCGCCCACCCCCAGCTCTTCTATGTAGCTCAAAACAAATTAATAGTAAACTGTAAAATACAGGTAAGTAAATTCCATCTTTTCCCATGAAAACGGGTTTATGTTTGACGTGTAGAAGACGAGATTTAAAAAAAATTAATGCCTTTGCTTTGCTGCAGCCCTAAGCATTTGTTTAGTTTATACATTGGATACACCAACAACGTGTGCAGCATATTCAGCCCTGGAAGTCCCATTTGGAGAGCGGATTTGCTGTACCAGGATCTATATCTGATTATGTCCCTCCTAGCTTCCAAAACCTCCCATGGCTTCCCTGTGCATGCAGAATAGAGTGCAATCTCTTTGGAAGCATTCAAAGCTTGCCAGGACCTGACAGAGGCTGCTTTTAAAAATCAAAATAAGCCAAATGATTTAAAAGCCAAATGTCCCAAAAGGCTTATTATGACATACAGGAGTCCTCGGCTCTACCCTTCCCAACAATTTCAGTCCTGCTCCTCAAGGGCGATCATTTTAATCTTTTGGATTTATTTATTCTGCCAATTACTCTCATATCTCTAAGTAATATGTTTTACTGATATATCTTAATTTATGTACTTTATGCATTATCTATTGATTCCCTGTTATGAAGGTTGAGTGTTTAATTTTCTTATGCCACCCCCAAGCTCCCTTTCCCTCATTCTTCCAGTATCACCATTTATGGTAAAAATCAATAAATGATGTCTATTGCTTTGCTTATGAAAATATTGTTTACTGACTCATCAAACTACTTACACATCCTTTTTGTATAATTTTTTATTTTCCCCAGAGTTTCTCATTCCTTTCTCTGTGTCTTGCATTATTTGCCTTTATAGAATTCCTCATTTTTTTTCTTTCAATTTTCGATTGCCTCAGGTATTCTATAAGCCTCTTTATTGTTTTTCTTGGAAAACTCTTCCCGGAGACCTGAGTCCACTTGTTCCAAGCTGGACTCTTTGCTCTATAAATGATCCGGACAGCGGAAGGTCTAGGGATTGCCCCTTACCGCTTTCCTGGGTGGGATCCAATGTTTCCCTCAGCCCATTTCTTCTCTCTTGAGTTATTCCATTTTTCAGGAGCACTCCTCAAATAAATTCTTAAGAAATTGTACATGAAAGATAAATTATCTGAGTGCTTGTGTACCTGAAAGTATATTTGTTCTGTTTGGTACACATTTAGGAACAGGATTCTAGGTTTCTGGGTTGAAAATTATTTTTATTCAAATCTTTGAAGGTTTGCTCCAATATTTTCTTGCATCCAGCATTAGAGATGGCAAGTGTGATGGCAATCAGACTCTAGTTCTTTACAGATGACCTGTCACCTTCTCCTGCTGCCTGTATACCATTTGCCACACTTTTTCTTCAGCCCTGATGTTCTGACTTTTCATTCTACTTTTTTTTTTTTTGAAAATTTCCTTTCCCCTATTTTCTTTGTTTTATTTTTGGAATTCTCTGAATCATGTCTTTTATTTTTTTCTTTCATATTTTCTCTTTCAGGAAGATTTATTGGACCTTATCTTCTTAGCTTTCTATTAAGTTTTTAAATTTTATAAAAATCTTTAATATATATATTTTCAAGAGCTCTTTTAGTTTTTTATTTCTTTATAGCACCTTGTTCTTGTTATAGGTATACAAAATCCTCTTAATTTATCTGAGGATCTAATTAGAGTATTTTAAATGTTTACTTTTAAATTATCTTCTGTTACTAGTATAATCTTTCAGGATTACTTTTCCTGTTTTTTTTTTCTTGCAATCTTAAATATTTGGAATTATTGGATATCCTTTTAAATATAAGAATAAGGGAATAAAAAGGCACGTGGGAGCTTTGTGTTCATGTGAAGGACTGGCTGACTAACGGACTTCATCTTAGGGTGATTGGGCTGTGAGCCAGCCATTTTACTGGGAGACCCCTAAGTGTCAGAATAAAGCAGCATTCTTACTTGAGACTTATTCAATTTCTTTTTAGGAGAAACTTTCAAAAATTGTTTTTGTCTAAATGGTAGAAATGTGGCTACTTGGAATTCTATTAATACATAGTGTGGGAATGGGCAGCTACTGTTTGGTCCTGAAAATGGATTTTTCAGTCAGCACCCCCACCAGATTCTAGCTCCAAATATCCCACTCTCTGACATCCCTAACATCTGAAATCAAAATTTGCTTCCCCGGGCAGGTTGGCTGCATTCTCTGTAGCATCCTCACTTTTCCTAGCTTCATCAGTGACTGTATAACCATCTCAAGACAGTCCAAGATATCTCTCATTTGCTGATATATCCTCTCTTATTCTCTTAGTCATAAGCCTTTTATATTATTATGATTATTAAATTATTATAAATATATAGGAAAGTATGGGAGATAGTGTCAAAATATTGATATACCTATCTCCCCAGTTCTGTTAAATCATTCATTCTTAATATTTTGCTATATTTACTTCCTCACCTTTTTTTTCAGGTTTTTAATGCCTTAACTTTTATTTTTTTAACTTTTAGCTCAGGGGTACATGTGCAGATTTGTTACACAGGTAAAATTGTGTTATGGGGGTTTGTGGTACAGATTATTTCATCACCCAGGTATTCAGCCTAGTACCCATTAGTAATTTTTCCTGATCTTCTCCCTCTTCCAACCCTCCACCCTTCAATAGGCCCCATTGTGTGTGGTTCCCTCTTTGTGTTCTTATCACACAAAGTGTGAGAAACATACGGTATTGGTCCCACCTTTTAAAAAAAAAAAAAGAAATAAACTAATAGACTCAGTTGACATATACCCCTATTCTATCTTATTTTCCACCCTCCCCAGTTGTAACCACTGTTCTGAATTTGTCATTTTTCACTTCCATGAATATTTTTATACTTTTGTTACATATATAAATGATATACAATATATGTGATTGCCTTACATGTTTTGTGTTTTCATGTAAAGGTATCAAAGTGTACCTATTGATTTTCAAATTGCTTTTTAAAAAACATTTGTTAGGGATCTATCCATGTTGTATATGCAGTTTCACTGCTGTATAGTATTTCAATCATTCTTCTGCTGATGGAGATTTAGATTATTTCCAATTTCTCACTGTAACATACAGAGCAGCCTGAACATCCTTGCACTTTTCTCCCTGAGCACATGTGCAACAATTTCTTTAGGCATGTACACTGTATCTATGTCATGGTGTATCCACTCTTCAACTTCACTAGAGGTTGGAAAACTGATCTCCAGAATAGATGTATCAATTTACCATTCCAGCTACCCTTAAAGGGTTTTCTTGTTTCACATGTTTGCCAGTAGTTCATCTTGTCAGCAAACCAGATTTGCTAATTTGGTTAGGGGGAAACAGTACCTCACTCTTAGTTTGGATTTGTTAATAGCAAGCTAGTAGGGCTTCTTTCTATTGGCATTTAGGTTTCTTCTGCAGACTGAATATACACAACTTTTTTCCAGCTTCCTATTGGGTTGTTTAGCTTTAGCTTATTGACTTACAGAAGACTTTATATCTGGCATAACCTGGGAGCTTGTTAGAAATGCAGAATCTCAAGCTCCCCCCTAGATCCACTGAATCATCATTTGAATAAGATTTAGGTGATTTGATTGCATATTTAAGTTTGAGAAACACTGGTTTAGAACATTTTGCTAAGACTGGGATTCTCTGCAGCTTGGATAGTTGGCACAACTTCCCTGTAAAACCACCTGGGATTGATGTTTTGTTAGTCGTAGCTATTTTTGCCGATGTAGGCAAATGTTTAATTACTTATTCACTTTCTTTAATAATTATAGGCCCATTCTGATTTTTAAATTTCTTCTGAGTTTTACTGGGCTTTTTTCTCCTAGAAAACTGTGCATTTTATTTATGGTTCTTAGTGTATTTATAAAAAGATATTCATATTAATCTCATGATTTTTAAAATTATCTCCTGTAGCTGGAATTATATCGCCTTTTTGCATCTTAATACTGTTTATTTGTATTCTCTCTCTCACCAATCCTGCCAGAGGTTTGTCTATTTTATTAGTCTTTCAAAAGGACCAGCTTCTGGTTTTACTGAACTTCTCTCTTAGAACACTTTCTATTTCACGAAATTAAAAAAAAATAAATTTCTGCCTTTATTTATTATTTTGTAAATTAGAATCTTGCTCTGTCACCCAGGCTGGAGTGCAGTGGCATGATCATAGCTCACTGCAGACTCAAATTCCTGAAAGCAACCCTCCTGGCTCAGCCTCCCATGTAGCTGAGACTGCAGGTGTGTGCCACCACACCTGGATAATTTTAAGATTTTTGTAGACACAGAGTCTCACTATGTTTCCCCAGCTGGTCTCAAACTCCTGGTCTCAGATGATCCTCCCTCTTTGGCTTCTCGAAGTGCTGGGATTGCAAGCATGAGCCACCGCACCTGGCCAGGTCTTTATTATCTTCTCCTTTCTACCTTCTTTGGGTTTATCCTGTCTTACTTTTCCAACTTTTGAGTTGAACTCTTACCTCATTACCTGTTCAATCTTTCTTTTTTATGGTTTAAGCATTTGAGATGCTATATTTCCCACTGTAATTATATTTTACATGTTTTGATATACCACATTTTTGTTATCTTTTAGGTCTAAATGTTTTCTAATTTCCATTTTATTTCTTCTTTGATCTATGAATTATTTAGAAGTGTGTTTTTAAGTTTAGGACTATGTAGGATATTCTAAAAAAGATTTTAAAATGTTATTTCTAACTTAATTACACTGTGGATCAAGTATGTGATCTGTGTGATATTAGTTCCTTGTTAGGGCTTGTTTTAGGATGCTGCACATAGTCTATTTTGTAGATGTGCCATTTGTATTTGAAAAGAATGTGCATCCTTCAATTGTTAGGTGCAGCTCAAGCTTGCTGGTTGCATTTCTCAAACCGTTAGTCCTTACTCATTTTTATCTACTTAATCTATCAATTACTGAGAGCTATGTTACAGCTGCCATTATGATTTTAGATATGTAAATTTCTTATAGAAATTCTGTCAATTTGATTTTATATATTTTAAGGCAATATTGTTAGCTTCATGCAAATTTAGGATGGCATTAAATAACACAGGTTTGAACTGCGTGGGCTCACTTAGACTTGTATTTTCTTCCACTTCTGCCAACCTTGAGACAGCAAGACCCACCCCTCCTCGTCCTCCTCCTCCGTAGCCTATTTAACGCAAAAATGCTGAGAATGAAGACCTTTATGATGATCCACTTCCACTTAAGGAATAGTAAATATATTTTCTCTTCCTTGTGATTTTCTTAGTAACATTTTCTTTTCCCTAGCTTACTTTAAAGTAAAAATATAATATTTAATACATATAACATACAAAATATGTGTTAATCAACTATTTGTGTTACCAGCAAGGCTTCTGGTCAATAGTAGGGCTATTCGTAGTTAAGTTTTGGGGGAATCAAAAGTTATACACGAATTTTTGGCTGTATGGGGTTGTTGGTGTCCCTAACACCTGCATTGTTCAAGGGTCAGTTGTATCATATATTCATGGCAAATGGTAGCTTTTAATGTTATGGAGTGTTCATCTCTGTACTTAATAATAACAACTATATTGATATACAACAAAATATTTCAGCCCCAGTGTTCTTTGGATTAATATATCCAGAGAATATATATCTTTTTCCATTGTTTTTTGTTCTTTTCTGTGTCCTTGCTTTTTTTCTTTTGAGACAGAGTCTTCCTCTGTGGCCCAGGCTGGAGTGCAGGGGCTTGATCTTGGCTCACTGAACTCCGCCTCCCGGGTTCAGGCGATTCTCCTGTCTCAGCCTCCTGAATAGCTTTTAAGAGATGTCTCTTATAAGCTTCTTAAAAATCTCTGACAGCCTTTGTTTCAGCAAGTGAGTTTAGTCAGTTGACATTTTTGTGATTATTTATATATTGGATTTAATGCTACCATTTTATTTTGTACTTTTTATTTACTCTGTATTCCAGTTTGTCTGCATAACAAACTTCCCCAAAACTTTGTAGTATAAAATAGCGATTTATTATGCCCACAGATTCCGTGGGTCAGGAATGGGATAGGGCTCAGCTCCACGATGTCCGGCACCTCATCTGGAAGCTTTGAAGGCTGGAATCATCTCAGGACTTGCTCACTTACATGTCTGGTGATTGGTGCTGGCTGGCTGCTGAGATCTTAGCTGGACCTGTTGGTCCAAACAACATGTAGGTTTTCCATATGGCTGTGGGCTCCTCACGGCATGGTGCCCAAGTTCCAAGGGCAAGAATCTTGAGAGAGAGAGAGATAGTGTGCACACACACTAAATGGAAGCCGTATTACCTTTTATGATCTAACCTCAGAAATCACACAGCATGACTTCCACCATGTTCTATTGGCCAGGGGAGTAACACAGTCCTTCCAGGTTCAAGGGGAGGCATAAGAGACTCCACCAAGTCTTGATGGGGAGTGTCTGAGTTCTGGAAGTACAAGAGGAATTAGAAATATTGTTGTGGCCATTTTCAGAAAATACAATCTACCACACTCTGCTTTGTTTTTCTTCTTCTCTACTTTCTATTGAAATGATTGAGGCTTGTAAAAAATTATTTTCTTCTCTTCTGCCTACTGTTTTGGAAGCTCAACATTCTATTTTGACTTTTTAAGTATGTTCTCTTAATTTTTTTGCATCTATATTTAACATAAAGTCTGAAGTTAATCAGTCTCTGCTTTCCTCCTGAATGAAACAAGGCCTTGAGAATTCATTTTAGCTCCTATCACCTCTTCCCCAACTTACATATTCTGTTGTTCATATTTTAATTCCATTTTGTCATTATTATTATTAGTAGTAGTAGTAGTAGTATATGCTTAGGGTTTTCTTAAAAACAACATAGGCTTGTTTCAATTAACTGACATGAACTGGCGTGTTTGTTTGTTTGTTTTGAGATAGGATCTTGCTCTGCTACCCAGGCTAGAGTGCAGTAGCACGATCTTGGCTCACTACAACCTCTACCTTCCAGGTTCAAGCAATTCTCCTGCCTCAGCCTCCTGAGTAGCTGGGACTACAGGCGCCCACCATCACACCAGCTAGCTTTTTGTATTTTTGGTAGAGATGGGGTTTCACCATGTTGGCCAGGCTGATCTTGAACTCCTGACCTCAGGTGATCTGCCCACCCTGGCCTCCCAAAGTGCTAGGATTACAGGCATGAGCCACTGAGCCCAGCCCCATGTTTTTTTAAACTATGTTTTTACTATGCTTTCTTGTATTTACTCCATAGTAAGTTTACTTTCAGCAAACCTCTGTAGTTAAAAACTTTCAATCTCTTTACATCTGAAGATGTCTTTATTTCACCCTCACTCTTGAAAAACTGGTTTAGGGCCAGGCATGGTGGCTCATGCCTGTAACCCCAACACTTTGGGAGGCCGAGGCCGGTGGATCACTTGAGGTATCAGGAGGTCAAGACCAGACTGGCCAACATGTTGAAAACCCATCTCTACTAAAAATACAAAAAAAAAAAAAATAATAAAGTTAGCTGGGCATTGTGCTGCCTGCCTGTAACCCCAGTTACTCGGAAGGCTGAGGCATGAGAATTGCTTGAACCTGGGAGGTGGAGGTTGCAGTGAACCAAGATCAAGCCACTGCACTCCAGCCTGGGTGACAGAGCAAGACCCCATCTCAAACAAACAAACAAACAAAACTGGTTTAGCTATGCATAAAATTAAAGCTGACAGTTATTTTCTCTTGGAATTTTAGATATATTCTTCCACTATTTTCTGGGGTCTACGGTTGCTTTTGAGAAGTCTGAAGTCAGTACAAATGTTCTTTTGTAGGTCTTCTGTATGTTTTATCTCTGCTTGCTTAGATCTTTGCCGTTGTCTCTGAAACTTCATAGCAATATTGCCAGATGTGCATTTAGTTTTACATATCCTACCTGGGATTCTTCGTGGTCCCAAACAGGAGGATTTCCAATTCTAGAAAATTCCCAGTCATTATCTCTTGGAATATTGCTACTTCCCTAGTCTCTCTATTCTGTCCTTCTTTAACTACCATGAGATATATGTTGAACATTTTCATTCCAGTCTCTATGTCTCTTAATCTCTAAGATTTTCCATCTCTTTATATTCTGTGTTGCACTATAAGTCATTTCTTAAGATTTATGTTTTAGTTCACTAATTCTTTAGCTATGTCTAATATAGAGTTGTCCCTTGGTATCTGCAGGGGATTGGTTCCAGGACACCCTTGCGAATACCAAACTCTGCATATTCTCAAGTCTTGCACTCAGTCCTGCAGAACTCGCTTAAGTGAAAAGTTGGCCCTCTGTATAGCCAGGTTTTTGAAATCTGTGAATACTGTATTTTCCATCTGCCTTTGGTTGGAAAAAAAACTCACTATAAGTGACCCCATGAAGTTCAAACCATGTTGTTCAAGGGTCAACAGTGCTATTTAAGCTCTCCATAAATTTTTAACTTTAATATCTACGTATTTCATTTCTAGAATTTGGGGGGCTTGAATCTACCCTTATGTTTACTTAGTGACCTTTTATGCTTTCAATTTCTTCTCTATACCTTCAATCATGTCAAGAAATAGAATATTTCCAGCACCCAGCATCCTCTTCATTTGCCAGGCACAGCCCCTGCTCTTCTGAAGAAAATCATTTTCCTGACTTTTGAGGTGATCTTTCCTTTTCTTCCTCCTTTTGCCACCTGCGTTGTTCTTTGTGTTTTTGAATTTTGGATTGCAAGCTTATCTCAACAGAGTTTTATCTCTAGAATCCTGAGCACGCTTAGATGAGAATGTGTTTTTCTAAGACATTTTGCATTTGCTTATGAGTCCCAAATGTATCACTAATCCAGAACTATTTTAAAATAAAACATTATCAAGTTGTTTCTTTCTGTATCAAGAAGCTAGCATAAAGTCAAAGACCAAATCTGTATGAAGAGTTGGTCCATGGTTATAAATTGCCAGATGAGAACTCCTTGTCTAAGTGGAGTCAGACAGACTTCTTTGTCATCTTCCTGGACCAGGACTGTACATTTTCTCTTCCACTCTTTCATCGAAGTGTAATCATTTGAAAGTCAAGCTTCTATGCAAAGATCTCAGTTCAAACATCCCTCTTCAGAAGGCCCAATGCCCAGCCACTGGGTCCCACATGAGCATTAACCCTATGTGCTTGGGTTCCCAATGCCGGCAAAATCATGCAGCCGCTGTAGTGTCAATTCAAGTGCTTCCTGCTCCAGATCCTTTGTGCCTGGCTCACAGGTGAATTGGCTTAAAGCTCAGTTTTGCATTTAAAGGATGCTCGCCTTTCTAGGTCTTTGTCATGGGCATGCATGCTGGTTATCTGGGCCACTACACTGCCGGAACCAAACATCTGGCACCCTCTTCCTCAGCCTCGAATCCCACCATGACCCACTCCTTACATCCTTCTCTCCAGCACGTGAAGCCTGATCTGCTTCTGGGGCTTTTCTATCCATTCCTGGGCCTGACTGCCCTCTAGTTCCAGTGACTTCGGGTGTTGCGGGTGAGTCTACAAACTCTCTGACAGCCCTCTTTCTGCAGCCCCTTAGTCCTTGGCATCCTCGGCCAGTTGCCACTCCCCCATCTGCCTCTGTCTTAGAGAAATAGTTGATGTCTTTTATATGCGGCAGTCTCCTTTCCTCTTCTTGGGGTTCTTATGAGTTTATGCCTTTCTTATATTCTTTGTTTTCATTTTAGTGAAGATTTGGAAGGGAGAGGAAATAAACACACGTGTTCAATTTTTCATGTTTAGCTAGAAGTCCAAACAGTGTGTTATATCATCTTTGTGTTTCTTTCATTGTAAGTGAGGTTGTCCTTTTCAACATATGTTTATTTTCAAATCTTTTTGTTGCATGAATCCTTTGTCTGTTTGTTGTTTGATCTCCTCACCTCACCCCATCTTGACTCTTAGAACGTTCCTATCAATTTATATATTAATTATTTATATGAAAACATTAACACTCTGAAATGTTAGAAGTAAATATTTTTCTTCAGAATAAAAAGTTTCTTTTTTTTTTTTTTTTTTGAGACGGAGTCTCGTTCTATCACCCAGGCTGGAGTGCGGTGGCACAGTCTTGGCTCACTGCAAGCTCCGCCTCCCTGGTTCACGCCATTCTCCTGCCTTAGCCTCCCAAGTAGCTGGGACTACAGGTGCCCACAGCCACGCCCGGCTAATTTTTTTGTATTTTTAGTAGAGACGGGGTTTCACCGTGTTAGCCAGGATGGTGTCGATCTCCTGACCTCGTGATCCGCCCGCCTCGGCCTCCCAGAGTGCTGGGAATACAGGCGTGAGCCACTGCGCCCGGCCAGTTTCTTAGTTTGTTATACCCACGCATTGTTAATTTTATGTAGTTGAACTGCCAGGTTCTATCTTTTGTGATTTCTTCTATGGCTTCTGCATTGACTGGGAGAGGAGATGCTCCCCAAAGCCTCTCTTGCTGATACTCTACTTTGGTTCTGTGGAGAGGGAATCCCTGCAGGGAAGCAGAAGGAGGGCAAAAGGAGAATTTTCACTTGACCCTGGTCATCTGTTAGTATATGGATAATTGAGAATTGACTACAAGTGAAACTGACAAAACAGACCTTCTTAATTATGTGCCAATAAACTCTATCATTCACTGTGGGCAGGAAAGCAATTTCCAGGCTTGTCCTTAAAGATGTGTTCACCCACCCTCTTCCTTGAGATTTTGCACTTCGTGACCTGCTCTTCCAGTGAGTTCTCCTTAAGACCCATTCACCTCCTGATGCCAAAAGTGCTGAGAGATAACAGCATTGCGACTTTATTGCTGCCTGAGTTCCCAGGCCCCCAGTTAGTGCGTAAAGAGGAAGCAGCATATATCTCAAGCACCTCTGATCGTAGCTGGCATGATGCTTGATAACAGAATTTCTCAAACAACAGGCCCAGGCTGGGGAATTTTAATATTGTCTCTCCCTACAAGTAATTTCCAATGTTTATGCTCTGTGGAGCCCCTTTCGAGTGTCAGAGCAGAACAAATGCCAGTTTTAATGGACTTGCTAAATCATAAAAACTGCTTGCAAAATTGCATCTGATTAAAACAGGAAAATGTTCCATTATTCAGAAAAATCTCCCTGCAGTGGCTCACGGGGGCGGCAGGAGGTGGAGAAATGTAGGGAGTGCCCAGATCCGATTGAGTTTTCTCTCCATTGGAAAAGACGTGGCCACGTTCACAGTCCTCCAGTTTCCTCCTCTCTCCTCCCCAGGTCCTCAGTCCTTCTGCCATCTCTGATGAAAGTGAAATTGACATTAGTCATTTTGTAATTAATTTATACAACAACACGCTATTAGCCAGGGCATGGTATGTGTGACAGGTACAGCCATTTAGGGTATGGTGGGGTGGGAGTGGGAGAATATTCTGAATACTCTGAAATCTCTGCATTGCCTCTCATGGGCTCCCACAGAGTAAAGACCAACATGGCAAACATCAAAAGGCCTGCCCTCCCCAGTGGGACCACACTCTCCTGGCTAGCAGCAACATGTAAAATGAAATTGAGTTATTCCGCTGAAAAAAGTCACACCCAACTCACGAGCCACACTATGTGTATTACTAGGGGAGTCTGATTTGGGCATTTAATATCAAGCTAGACAGGCAGGCAGACTGACTGACCAGCATCATGGCCAGGCATCACGACCAAGTATTCTCTGTTTAGGGAACAGTTCCTAAGTCTGGAGAGAAAGCAAAGCAAAGAACTGTCCTGTCCTCATGGAATTCGCAGTCTAGGGTGAGCAAGAGGACACAGTGGAAGAAGGAGCAGTCCTGGCCAGTTTAGGTCAGTTATCAAAGCCAGGATGACACGCTGGGCAGGTCCTTCCAGTGTCAGGACCCCAGGAGGAGTGTCTGCACTAATCAGGTGTCTCGGTTATCCAGCACAGTGTCTTATTTTTTTCCATGATTATGTGGGGTGGCTGGGCTCCACTGGCAGCTCCTCTATGCCACATGGTGTCAGGTTGGGCCATTCACAAGGCTGCATTTAGCCACGATATCCACAATGGCTTCCCTGACATGTGTGGCAGCTGGGGTGACTGGAGGGCTGGCCAGGCTTCTCCCTCACTGCACCAATCCATGTGATCTTCAGCAGATGTCAGTCTAGACTGTGCTTCTCCACATGGTGGCTGGATCCCAAGAAGGTGAAAGTAGGATCTGCCAGGCCTCTTAAGACTGAGGCCTGGACCTTGCCTGGTGTCACTTACACATTCTATTGGCATATTGAATATGGTTTGAAATAAGTGAGCCATCGACTAGGACATGGAAATTGCTTTTGTCATACAGAAAGTTTCATAGCAATGGTACTTGTGTTAGCAGGATTTGACTTGTAATACTGAGCACTTATAGGACCTTTGTGATTCCCAAGCACTTACCATACATTTGTGAAATGCACAGTGTAAGAAAAGTCAGTGTCAAAGCAAGTCACAAGACTGGCCTAGATTCAAGGGGAGGGGAAATAAATTTCACCTCCTGATGGAAAAGAGTGGATATGTACAGGGCTGGAGGATTACTGGTGATGATCTCTGCAGATAATCCATCACACTGAGGCTACCTAGGAAAAAGGGTTGGATTTGAAGTCAGCTGACCTGACTTCGAGTCCCATTTCCCCACCTCCCTAGCTGAGAGATCTTGGGCAAGTAGTGAGGCCTCTGAGTTGTGGCTCCCTGCTCTATGGAAGTCTCTTCACTGAATTTTTATCAGTGCGAATTTTGAGGGATCATGCATGGCAAAGCACTTTGCCAATCGTGGCCTAACTACCTAGATGGGGAAGGGATTGCAGTGGCTTCTACTCTCTCCCCATACCACTGCTTGTTGCCTTAGCTAATCAGGAGTCTTCTCTCCTTCTGGATCTTAAAATAGATTTTTTTTTATTTAAAATGTCTTAATTCCTCTTGGATTCCCATGATTTCCAGTTTTGCTTTCTGGCTCTGTTTTCCAGTGTTTCACGAGGATGCACCCCAGTCTCTCCCCATGGACTGCCATGAACAGTTGCACAATATTTTTCTGCATCAAAGCACCTGGCCTTGGGGGAACTAGGGGGCTGAACTTTGGCTGTGTTCTGCCCACCAAGCCATGCACCCTGGGGCAGAGCTGCATCTACCTAAAGGGGTCACTTGTCCTTGTGCCTACAAAAGCTCTGTGTGGACTGGAAGTGACCATACCTGGTGCCAGCCCTAATGGGGCTTGAGAGGCCACCAGTGGGGGCCCATCAGCCATCAGCACACAGACCCTCCCTGCTCCATGCTTCTTGACTGTCCAGGGCTGCATATGGTAGAGTCTTTTCTGTTTGACTCTGGGGTTCAGGGGTCCCCCCTGTTTACCCAGTGGCCTGCTTGACTTCTCTTCCCAGCCCTCTCAACCCCTCACCCGGCTGCTGCCTGTCACCCTCCATCCACCATGCTGCAGAAATTATTTTTATAAACTCCTCCTTGACTGAAGTGCCACTTTAAAGAATTTAAAACACCACTGCTGTCTCCTAATGAGAAGGAGAAGAGACGCAGAGGCACTAAATTCTCTAGAGCTTTCCTGTAGCGTTCTGATGTCGCCATCTCTGGAAATATTTCTCCTGCCACAACACACAACATATTGGCGGGGGAGCATCACTACGTATTTTAGAACCATCCCCTTGAGCACTTTGCAACCTTCCAGGATTTCTAAACTACACACTGTTGACACCTCAGACTTCAAAAGCTGAGGGTAGGCATGCACATTGGGACAGGATGCTGGGCTCTGATTTTAACCAGTGTTTGCTAGGTGCCCCCACGCACCCACCCCTCGGCTGGGCCCCGGGGAGGGAAGTAAAACCACACAGGACAAGAACATTGTTTCTGTCTCATCCCATCCTAGATGGGGTCCCTGATGTCCTGGTCTTTGGAAGGATGTCAGCTGCTCAGGTGCACAATGAGGGGAGTTCAACCTTGACTTCTGGAGCCAGCCGGACCCAGGCACCCTTAGCACCCTGCAGTTGCAACTCTACCATTTCCTATGCCAACCTGCCCTCATTGATCTAAGTTATTCTTTGTTTTCTGGACCTAATCCCCTGACTGCCTACTATTTGAAACCAGCCTCCCTGGCTGCACCCAACATCCCTCATCCTCATCCTCCCCTGGGGCTGCTTCTGCAGAGCCACCAGGCCATTGCCTGCTGAGCTGCAAGTATTATTTGCCACCTCAAACATCCACCACATGGCAGCCTCGCCACCTATGGAGCTCCTCCTTCCTCTCCAGATGCCCTGGGCATGGCAGTGGGGCTTCCAGATGCCCTGTCCCACCTTTGGAGCCAGACTCTGTAACTGGGTCCTTCCCTGCACCATACTGCCTGTCCCAGCTTCCTTCTCCTCCCCACCAGCCTGTGTGGCGGATGCCCCATCCAGTTCACCTCCTAAAATGCTCTTTCATCTTTTACTTCCTCTGCATCCACACCAAGCCTGACTTCACCCCGCCAACATCTATTGCTTGGATGAGAAAATAGCCCCTAATGCATCTCCCTGCTTCCAGCTCTGCCCTCTTGAATCCATTCTTCATAATGAAGCCAGAGGAGGTTTTCTAAAGCCACAGGCTGTCATGCCCTTCACCCTCTGGAACATTTCATGGGTGCCTTTCCACAGCCTTCATGCCACTCAGGACCAGCCCTGCCCAACTGATGCTTTATGACCCCTCCCTGCACCACACCAGGAGACTGAGTAGGTGCCGTTCCCCCGCCTGGTGACCTCTTTCATCTCCAGAATCTGAGTACTGAGTTCAAATCCTAATGCAGCTCATTACTAATGGTGTGAGCTTATCATTAGGGGAGGTTAATCCGTACCTGTTTCACCAGAAGAGGTTAGTTGAGATGTGATGTCTGAAGTTAATAATAATAGTAACAATTATGATAATAATGATGGCTAATATTTAGATTGTGTTGATTAAATAGACAAAATATTTATCCTCTCAAAGCCTCAGTTTTTCATCTGTAGAATAGGGATAGTGGGGTTGATTTGAGGCTTAAATGAAATAATGCTTATAAAGCCTTTACTATGTGCCTGGCATTGGCAAGTGTTCTTTAAAAGTGAGCTGTTGTTATCATTGTGCTGATCCAAATACCTGGAATTCTAGTCTGGCTCTCACCACTGTCCCACTGCCTTGACCCTTGACCCTTTCCTTACCTCACCTGCCTGGATGACTCTCATTCATCTTTTAGATGTCACTTCCACCTGGAAGTCCTCCTGGACTCCTTCTGTCTATGTTAGGCACCACTTCCCTGGATCCCTGCTCTGAGTGCTGTTGTAGAATGCACCTCTCACACTGAATCTTGATGGCAGTTTGCTGGTCTACTTGCCCTGCAGCCTGTAAGCCCTTGAGAGCGGGGTCTACATCTTCCTGGCGTGGTCATCTCATACCTGGGGTAACACCTGGTACTCAGCAGGTGAGAAGGAAACATTCAGTGCAGGAACCAGTGAAGGCCAGGTGGCCTCCGCACACTTGCTCCTTAGGGCAGGATCTTCTCTGTCCTTGAGGACTTCAAGGCAAGAATAATAAGCATCAAACAATGGTGAATGGTACAAGATGGTGCATGCATGCTTTACAGAATTAACAGGACAGACAATCAGCCTGCCTGCTCAGAGAAGGGAGCTATCACTGTTGGCATATTGAATATTGTTTGAAATAAATGGGCCACCGACCAGGATGTGGAAATTGCTTTTGTCATACAGAAAGTTTCATTGCAATGGTACTTGTGTTAGCAGGATGTGACTTGTAATACTGAATACTTATAGGACCTTTGTGATTCCCAAGCACTTACCATACATTTGTGAAATGCACAGTATAAAAAAATTCCAATTGTTAGGAGATTGGCAGCTCCAATTTCCTGCAGCAGTTCTTCAATTTTTCCTTGATCACAGTCCTCCACTGTGGCCTGGTGTTTCTCCTTCATGGCTCCTCTGAAGTGGGCATGGGTCTCTGGCCAGGAAGAACAGTGCCTCCTGGGACACAGGCATGCCCACCTGCCCTGGAGCCATGACTCTGTCTTTTCTCAGGACTGGAAAGGCTGGTGCACCTCAACATAGACTCTGGGGAAAGGTACCATTTTCTGTCTGGAAGCTCCTCCTCTGCTTGCTAGGGGATAGCACCATGTTTCAAAGCCAGGCCACTTCTATCTCTTTCTCCTGTAGAAGGGAACATGACAGACATGTTTCAGCATTCTTGCTGGGGACTTCAGGACACCCAAAGGAAACCACGTCATACTCCAGATGATCTGTCCCTGTGCACCCAACCCCAAAATGTACCATCTCTGTTTGGTGTGATCTGCCATGTGCTGCAGCCCAGTAGCCAGGGCTTCTTGTGGCTGTAGCCACCTGCCTAGCTCAGTTCCCATCTCTTGCCACAGAGAGCAGCCCCTCCTTCCCCACAGCCTGTATTCCACCCATCATAGGACAGTGCCTAGTGAATAGCAAGCACCATCTAAGCATTAGCTGTCATCATCGTCATCATTATCTTCTTCTTCTTCTTCAAAATCCAGATCTAGGCCAGGTGTGGTGGCTCACGCCTGTAATCCCAGCACTTTCGGAGGCCAAGGCAGGCAGATCATGAGGTCAGGAGTTCGAGACCAGCCTGACCAACATGGTGAAACCCTGTCTCTACTAAAAATACAAAAATTAGCTGGGCGTGGTGGCATATGCCTGTAATCCCAGCTACTCAGGAGGCTGAGGCAGGAGAATTGCTTGAACCCAGGAGGCAGAGGTTGCAGTGAACTGAGGATCGTGCCACTGGACTCCAGCCTGGGCGAGAGAGTGAGACTCCATCTCAAAAAGCAAACAAACAAACAAACCCCCCAAAATCCAGATCTAAGTTTACCTCTTAGGTTTCTGGTTAACTGTACCTAATGATAATGGATTTTTCTCATTGGAATTTTCAGTTTACAAAGCACTTTCACATCCATTCTCTTACTGCAGGCTCGCAGCACATCTGGGAAGTTGATCAGCTGCGGCAGGGCGTGCCACCTCCATTTTTCTGATGGTGAAGAATTTCTGAAAGGTCTAGAGCTTTGGCTCATGGTGTGTGGGTCAGAGTCAGGAACTGTGCTGATCCCAGGCTCAAAGCCTGGACTCCTGTGATGCACACATACTTCTTAGATCATGCAAGAAAGAAATTTTATCTCAGGACCCAGTACACACACTCACCCCACAAAAAGCTGAAACAAAGTTTTATAACATAATACTTTCCTTACTGCATGCAATGTGCACTGCCTTCCTCCTACTCCCCTCCCTTCTCCTCCACTCCTCTCCTGTCCCCTCCCCTCCCTTCCTCTCTCCTCCTCTCCCCTCCCCTCCCCTCTCAGCCCCTCTGCTCCCTTCCTCTTCCCTCCACTCCCCTCCCCTCCTTCTATTCTCTCCCCGTTAACAGGGCATGACTTTTCACTGCATATCTGGGACTCTTCCTACCCCATTCTCCCAACCCCCAGGTCTGCTTCTCACCTGATATTTCTTCTCCTCACCCACTTCCTCAACCTGGATTCACTACTTTGCACTTGCCTGTATGTTGCTTGGCAAGCATCTTAAAGCCCAGCGTGTGTCACTCCCAATATAGGTCATGAACTGGGCGAGGGTGGGGACTGTTTTCATGCTGCTTCTGTAGCCCCTCATGATGCCTGAGACATGTGGGAGTCCCCCGCCTGGACTCCGTGGACAGGTCTGGCGGCCCCAGTACATCCTGGTCTGGTGGCCCTAGCACATCCCAGCCTCTCCTTACTCCTCAGTGTGCTCCGCCCTCAGATCAGCCCTGCCTCTCCCGCTCTCCTCCAGGGCTCTCTGAAGGACATTAGCTGGACTCCTGACAGGTGTGTATCTCTGTGATTAATATAGACCCCTTTCAAACCTGGGAACCTGACACCTGCCAACTGTTTATTGGGCCGAAAGTATTGGAAATGCAGCATCTAGAGATGGCAGGACTCGGGCCTGGCCAGAGAAGGAAAGGAAGGGCATGGTAAGGAGGTGGGGGAATGGGAGGCTGGGGCTGGCAGCTCAGCTTCAGGGGAAGTATCCTGGTGCAACAGATGTGAGCTCTGCAAGGGACATTCACCACAGTGATGCTCACCCTGGTAGAGCAAACACTGGGAAGTCTCAGTGTTGGCCCCCAGGGAAACCATCACACCCACCACTTTCTCCAGTGAATCTGCCCAGAGGCCACAGGGCCAGTGCCTCTCATCTGGGCAGGATTCCTGAGGTTCTTTCAGAATATTGTTTTACCTTCATCATGGCCTGGAGAGGGAGGTATTAGTACCCTCCTTGCCCAGACAGAGAAACTGAGGTTATTCAGTGATATCAAGAAGATTGTAAAGACCAGAGGTCCTTGCCTTTCCCCCGACGACCACATCCGCTTAGAGCACTGGTTCTCGAGCTGGGAAGATGCCAATAACTCTGATGCTTGGGTCCCACCCCAGACGCTCTGCTTTAATGGATTTGGGTGTGGCCTGGGCCTAGCCCTGTCATAGGTAAGCACCACTAATGCACAGCCAAGGTTGAGAGTGACTGATTTAGATGCTATTAGGAGTGTGTGTGTGTGTGTATAAAAGTACCTTCCAGATTGACATGGGCAGAGGGGTAGGAAGGAGATCCCAGGGTGGGAGAAGATGGTGCAGGGGTCATGCCACCGTGGGGGTGGGGTTTGCTAAGAAGCTAGACAACACACTCCCACACTGTCTTTGGGATGTCATTGGCATTTCTGTGACCTCTATCATGTCCCAGTGAGTCATAGGTCACAATCTGTGCAGCAGAATATTGCATCAGATGGTTAGTATCCATGTTAGCATCTTAGCACCCTTCTCCCTGGAAATTCATAAAGACAGTAAGTTCCATGACGTCAGAGAATCTGTCTTTCTTGGTCATTGTTAGCCTTGGGAGTCTGAAGTGTGGTGGCAGCTCTGGAAGTGCCAGTGGAATGTTGAGTGGATGAAGCCCAATAGCTGAAGAACTTGCTTAGCCCTGTGTTACAGACAGGGACACGGATCTGGAGAGGGGAGAGTCATAAAGTAATGTTAGTAATAATCGTTACCATTTACGGAGTAATTCACATGGGTCAGGCACAATATGAGGTGCTAAACCTTTGTTAACTCTAATCTTCCAACAGCCCTGTGCATAGGCATCATGAGCTCCCATTTTGCAGATGAGAAAACTGAGGCTCAGGGAAGTCAAAATTTTGCCAGGTTACATAGCAAGTCAGTGATCAGTCTACACTGTCCCATGCTGCCCTAGAGCTATAGCAAGCTGGAAACCCAGAGGGTTCTGGCTCTCCTCCTTCTTCGCACTCAGGCACGCTGGCTACCAGATGAGTTTACATTCTCTTTTTTCCCCTCTTCACCAGCTTTTGGATGATTAATAAATTTCAAAGCAAATCATGCAGGGATCAGCACAGACTTCTCATTTCTATCAACAGTGTCTTCTCCAAGAAACAGTGGAGAATGGTCTTCAGGGAGGCAGCCACCTGGACTGGAGGAATAAAGGGAAAGTCTATTACCGAGAAGAACGTGCACTTGGCCCCATGGGGATGGGCTGCCTCTGACCTCAGCGTCCTTTTTCATCTCTAATTTCTGTGATTCTGGGATTCAACATAAACCTCATTCCTCATGCAGCGCCCCGAGTGGCAGTGGAGTTGAACTTTCGTTAAAGAATGTCAAGGTGTTCCATCACGCCCGCGGTGATTAGGAAGAAGGGTGAAACGGCTGATCTCTGAGTTGCTGCTCTCCCAGTTGCAGGGGCTGAAGACAGATATGTAGCTGGGTCTTGCTCGCCGTCCCAGCCACTCACAGCCAGAGGCCAGGTCTGGCCCTCTCTTGGCCACACAGAGCATCGGCTGACCTGGCCCAGGTGCCAGGGGAGGAGCTGACCATCAAGCAGAGGGCCCCTGCTCTCAGAAACTCTGTTTTTTGCTCCCTGCTTTCTCTAGGTGCCCGCTTTTTCTTAGGCTCTGACTCATTTCTCATAGGTCAAAGGTTAATGGATCCAGATTCAGAGTGGGATTCAAATGAATTTCGCAGATAGGGGGAAGTTGATGGAGCTGGATTTAGGTTGGATTCAGGGCTGTGTGGCCGGAGTGTGGCATTTCTGTAATCTGGGACCCCAATGGGGCTGACTAGTCAAGCTTCTAAGCTGGGCCAGGAGGCGGTGCTGGGCCTGCTGACCCAGCAGGAGGGCTCCTGACTTGAGTTCAAGGCTGGTCATGACTTTGGTGACCCTGGGGAAATGACTCAGCCCCTCTGATCCTCAGTTTAATTACCCATAAAGTGGACGCCATAATAATAACCACCTCATCTAATTAACATGGGAACCACCTAGCACTAGGTGTGTGACAGCATTTTGCCAAGTGAAAAATACTACACAAATGTTAGTTTGGCTTTGTGCTTTTAAAATGCCTCCCTGATTAAGAAAAAAAAAATTCCTTCTCCTAAAGCCTGAGGCAAACACATTCCCCACGCAGGGTTCCTTCTACTTTTGCCATGACCTTCGTCCACTGTGTGTTCAGGCAGTGTGGGGCACCAGAGAGGCTGTGGCTGAAGTTCTCAGATCGTCACATCCTGTGACCTTGAGTCATGCCCTTTATCCTGGTAGACGAGACAGGAGCCATCTGAGAAGCTCTGAAAGAAAGGAGGATCCACAGCAGGGAGCTATGGGGTCCCAACCCCTGCTTAGCCCATGACCCAGTCCAGCAGAGGTCCTAGCTCAAAGGTTAGCACCCTGCCGGCTGCAGGTCCAGGACAGAAGGCCGTCTCCAGCAAGGTAATTCCTGGACCTTGTGCATCTCTTCGAGTACATCTCACTCATGAAGTTATACCTGGGCCATTGCCTTTTGAGGGGCCCCAACAGGTCTGAATGGATCCTGATGGGCAAGTGGCCAAGGGCATCTGAGTAGAGGGGGGGGGATTCAGCTGACTTGAGAAACTTGCTCTCTTTGCTCTATTCCTAGGTGCCAGCTACATACTGGTACCAGGCTGGGCTCTTGGGTGAAAGGATGCCCTGGACCTTAGGCCCAATCCTGGGCCCTCCTGGCTGGGTTTCCACCCATAAGTGGCCTCCTTCGTGGCAGCTCCTGAGAAACACTGGAAGAGGTGCAAGTGTGGTGTGAAACGCTGAGCTATGAATGACTCCAGAGGCTGCAATTAGCTGGTTCTCAGCTGCTGTATTTTTAGACACAAATATTGTCACCAGACGCTTTGCAGCCACCGAGAAGCCTACTCCTCTCAGGAGGCCCCTCTTCTTTGGCAGGCAGGAACTTCCTCTTCTCAGGTAGAGCTGGGATTCCAGAACTACCTGGGCCTTGGAGCAGGTGCTCCCTCTTTAGCACTGAAAAACTCAAGGGAGGCTGAGGAGGGGCATGGAGCTGGGAACCTGGGTACTGGCTGGCATGTCTGGCCCTCCCACAGCCTCACTTGGTGACTGGAGATTCCTGAAGCCCAGAAACAGCGCAGATGAGCTCCTTTCTCCTTGTGCCTTTATGCCTATCATGTGAGTGAACCGAGAAAGGGCACGCCTAGAGGGGGAATTCTAGGTGGTGTGTTCATCTCTTAGGCACAGAGTGATATTTCATGAGGCAGAGAAGCAGAAGAATCTTTGATGATCCATTGACTCTATTGCCTAACTTTGCAGATGGGAAAATTCAGGCTGAGAGAGCACTGGCTTGTCTAAAGTTTTGCAGCTAGTCATGGAGGAACCAGGAAACAGACTCAGGGCCTTGTGTGAAGGGCCTGTTTTCCTGGCACTCTGGATCATTCCAGCGGGGGAATAGAGTGGCCCTGTAGTCATGCCAGGCTCAGGGCATTCTGGAGCTTCTTCAGGTCTAGAGAGATGTCCAGCTTCATAGAGATTTATGCAAGTGTTCTGGTTTTCGACTGCTGCATAATCTCTCTGCCCCCGACCCCCTCCAAACAAATGAATAAACACCAAGTGGCTTAAAGCAACAATTTACTATTATCTTCCATAGCTCTGTGTGTTGACTAGGCTCAGCTGTGTGGTTTTCATTGGGGTCCTCATACAGTTACAGTCACAGAAGCTGGATGGGACAGGACATCCATGATGGTTTCTTTGCTCATGGGTCTGGTGCCTCAGTTAGGGTGGCAGGAATAACTGGGGACTAGCTGGGCTTCTCCCTCAGTCTATGCAGCTTCTCCACATAGCTAGCTGGGCATCCTAACAACACGGCGGTCTCAGGGCAGTTATGCTCCTTACATGCTGGTTGGCTTCCCCCAGAGTGAGCCCTCCACGAGGTCTAGAAAGACTGTCCAAGGCTGCTTGTAACTCAGCTTCAAAAGTCACACAGCATCACTTCCACCACCATCCAATGGCCAAAAGCAAATTATGGGGCTAGCTCAGATTCATGGAAAGGGCAGCACACAAGGGCATGGTTACTGGATGGCATTTTTGGAGATGGCTACTGCAATTAAAAACACACAACCTAAAATAAATAAAGAGGTGAGTGAGCCATTTGTATCACCATGTCAATAGTTTTCTACATAACTTGACTCTCCAAATTAACGCATTGTCCAGTGCCTTCCTCCTCCTACTCCTAACCCCTCACTGTCCACCCCTAAAGCCATATATCTCCTTCTGCTATTCCCCTTTGCCACCTCATTTGGCTTTTTGGAAAGAGAATGGACTTTGAGGTGAGACAGCCACACATTTGAATCTTGCTGCCATTACTAGCTGTATGAACTTGAACAGTTCAAGCCTCAGTTTATCCATCTTAAAAGTGGAAAGAATTATAATGGTAACCATCTTATCTCTGTACAAAGCCACTGAGGTGATGACAGATGCTTACACATGGGTACCCTTCTGGCACAGAGAAGTCCATCTGAGTGCACCCAGCCTTTATTGGTGCCTCTTGGAGAATCCAGCACTTGGAGGCAGCAAATTCACAGAGAGGCCACTCCCAGATATGCCCCCAGATCTTTCCTGATTCACACCACACTGAGCCTGTGTCTCCACCTGCTATTCTCTGCTCCTGCCACAAACAGCAGCCTGAAGAAATAGGGAAAAATTCAGTCTCTCAGCTGGTTGTTTGCTTCACTTGATGCTGACCACCTGGCTTGACCGATTTCTCCCCCTCTGAAGGTCAGGATATCTGAGAACTGCATTAGGCTCAGCTTGAGTAAATGTCATTCGTTTTAGAACTATTGCCTGATTTCCTTTAACTCAAAGGGATCTGGAGTTGGTGTTAGAAAGCCTGGTTTGCGTCCTAGCTCTGCGTGCTATATGACCCTGGCCAAATCTTTGAGCTCAGCTTCCTCATCTGAGAGATGGGGATGCTAATGCTTCTTTATTTCTGATAAAATGAGATCAGGCATTTTTTAAATTTAAATCTACCTTTTTAATGGACAAATAATTGTATCTATTTATGAAATAATGCATTTGAGAGCACCTTGTGGACTGCAGAGGGCTATATGAACACAAGGGATGTTTTATGATTGAAATGACTGTTTAGGCCCAACATGGAGAGGGAGGGAGGGAGGAGAGGGGTGGGGGAGAGACAAGAGAGAGAAATCTTCACAGTAACCCTATAAAATAGGTTACTAAGATTATTCCCACTTTAATTAAGAAAACTGAGCCTCAAAGGCATGAAATCACTTCTCCAAGTTCACACAGCTAATGGTAGAGCTGAGATTTGAACCCGGTCAGATGAGCCAGAATCCAGTCTGCAGTCACCGAGTGTCCACCTGTCTTGCCAGGCACTGTTGGCCCCTGCAACAAAAGATGAGGAAGACCCAGTCTTTGTTCCTAGGCAACTTACCATCCGGGAAGAGGATTCCAGCTGGAATGCATGTCTTGGACTTGTTATTAGAGACAATTTGGCCTCCAGGTGAATTTTCTTGTCAGTGACCCACTGAAACGAGAAGTCATCAATAAAGAAAAATAGACATTACCGACTTGACCAAAGCATACCATTTTTAAATGTATCCATCCACAAAATTACATTTTTTGGAAGATAGCCCGTGTTTGCTAAACATCTGAGAATTGAAAAAAAAAAAAAACTACCCATGGCACAGAAGAAAAATAATACAAATGTGTTTGCAGTGCTTTATGGCTTGAAAAATGACTTCATCAATTCTCACTGAGTTTCATACTAAACAGGCGAGGGAAGCAGAACCGTCTTTGTGTGATGTGCACGCCGGGTGGTGGATGCTTCCTCTCTGCCATTTCTAGACCTTCTTGGGTCCCCTCTCTGCACCTGGAGCCCACCACTTTCCTCCTTTTCCACCCTTGTTGCCCAACACACCTGCTGTCTTTAGCCAACAGAGCACAAATCACATTTTGCACATTTCAACCTTGTTGCTTAGACCATGGAAACAGTGGGGACAAAGGACAGCTCTCATGGGAACTGTGGTGGCTGTGCATTGAGCCCTCGCCATTTACCAAGCATTGTGCTTTGTGCTAGATAACCATGACTTCATTTGATCCACAATCAGTGCTATTATTATTCCCATTTTCAGAAGTGGAAATAGAGGTGGCAAAGCTCAAATAACTTGCCAAACCTACATGGCCAATAAATGGCGACACCAGAATTCAAACCCAAGCCTGATACCATAGCCCATGGCCATAACAATTACATTACACTGTCTCTGCTCAGAAGAAGGCACAATGAAACTATTCTGGAAAGTATCAGTACCTTTGTCTTGGGGACCTATGATGTGGAGTAATTTCATTAATTCAGTCACTCATCTTTTCATCTATTGGTTCATGAATGCATGTATTGATACGTACAACATACATTAACTCTCCATCTGGGGTATATTTCTGCATGGTGGTTGAAAGTGTGGGCTCTTGAGTCAGATCCCAAGCATTCAAATCCCAGCTCTCCCACTTACTAGCTGTAGGACTTTAAGCAAGTTCCTTAATCATTTTGTGCCTTAGTTTGTTTGTAAAATGTAGTAATAGTAGTTACCTTGCAGGGTTGCTGAATGGATTAAATAATACAAATCAAACACTTGAAACAGTTTGGGGCACGTGGTCATTATGCCAAAAATGTTAGCTATCATTATTATCACCTGTAGTAGGCACTGTGTTAGGTGCTGTGGTAAAAACTATGGCACGAGAGTGAGAAGTGGCTCTATTCTATGGGTAATAGGGGGGTCACTGAAAGTATTGATGGGATTTTGTTTTAGGAATTTTACTTTTAATCTGGCAGCAGAATAAGTTGGATCAAAGATGGGAGACTGGCCAAGAGGCTGCAGTAACAGTGTCATCATTCCAGGCTCATCTATGATGGTAGCAGAAACAGCTGCAAAACGCATTCTGAAAGAGGATGCGGCAACTGGCTGGACTGGGGTTGCCACACGGGGAGAGCGATGACCTAGAAAAGTGAGGTTTCTAGCCTGGAGGAATTGGAGAACTTAGAGCCACCAAGACAAACAGAGAACAGAGGAGGAGAGGCCACCAGGAAGGAAGATGTCAACCAAGTCTCCACTTCTGCTGCACTGGGAAGGGGAAGCCGCCCTTGTCTGCTTGAGCCTTTGGACTGTTGTCAGGAGCCTTGGCCTCTTGGGAACTGGCCAAAGACAACTGTGCTCACAGGGTCTGGACCATGAGGCTTGAGGCCCCCAAGAATCCCCAGGACAGGCCCAGTTTGAAATTTGGCTTTCCCACAGTGAACCGTGGGCTTCATCTACATAAGCCATTGTCATTCTTAGCTCCATACTGCCCCGTCTGCTGTCATGTTTATGGGGCCAGATGCCAAAAAAGGAGAACCATTATTGAGACCCCTACCTGCCCACTGGGTTGAAAGGCCCGTTTCATCCCTGAGGAAGTACAGGGGCCAGGGCCAGGAAGCTCCTGTGGGTGTGGCCCACATCTCCACCCACATTGTGCCCCAAATAGGGAAGGCTCTTGCCCTTCTGGGAGAGGCACTTGCAGTGAGTGGTGCTGAAGACGGAGCCCTTGAAGGGCCAAGGATGGAAACTTCAGGTCCAGTGTGGCAGATGGTAAAGCGAGGACAATGGGAAGAACATAGCCCCAGGTTATTGGACCCCAGCGTGGTGAGCGGCACCCTGGCTAGCTCTCAGAATGGCCCCTCTGCTTTCCTTATAGACCCAATCCCCAGCACAGCACCTGGCACTTAGTATGTGCTCAGTAAGCCTACTGAATGAATGAGTGGGCAAACGCCAGGTTACCAAGCTCTTTCCACTTGGGGTAGGACAAGGGGAGGTGAGGGTGGGTGGGAAGCCTGACTGCACACCCTGCCCTGGTGGGGGAGCGGGTGTGAGAAGTAGCTGAGCTGTCATCGACTGGCTGCCTATTCATGAGCAGAAAGCAGAGCTGCCATCCTGGGGGGCCTGAGAGGGTTGGGGATGCAGGCGCAGCATCCACCATGTCAAGGGCAGCTGGGGTGGGAGGATTTCCAGGCTGCCTGCCAAGGAAAACCAGCCTGCTGGCCAGCGTGGCTCCCAGGCAGAGGTTGCAGACCCTGGGATAGATGGCAGTGTAGGAGATGCAAATATATGCAAATGATGGCACAACCATTTTCTGGGTTCCCAGAGAGAGGATATTAACATCCATCACTGGACAGCTGGCCTCTGGCAGCAAGGATCCCAGTCATTACCCCACCATCCTGTGGCAAATGCCCCCAAACCTCCCTAAAATCATGCTGGCTTTGGGTCTCCCTTTGGGCCAGCTGGAGACAGAAGGATAGAGCAGCCACTGAATCGCAAATGCTCTGTGTTGTTTTATTCATGCCACTGTGGTCTGGGATGAGACCGTGACCTTAGATTGGGGTCTGGAGTGTGAGCTCCAGGTCCCTCCCTGAGGATAGGTGGAAGCTGGGGAGGAGGCGGTACAGCTGGGGAGCTCTAGTCAGGCCCCTCCTGCAGGAGAAGGCAGGCAGCTGGGGCTCCTCAGCCTCAGGGAGACCCATTTCACCCTGAAGCCAAAGAGGAGGTGAGCTAGAGGTCAGAACAAGGACCCTGCACTGCCACGGACCAGAAAAGGTGATGAGAAATGGCCTTAGTTGAGGAGTCTGAGCAGAGGACAAGGATCTCTGATGGTGGAGGAAGAGACAGAGGCTGAAGACAGTGAAGAGAGTCTGCAGCGAGACCAGCTATGTAGAGAGCAGTTGGGCCAGGATGCCCTCACATGCAGTCCCTCCCTCATTCATTCATTCCACAAAGGGCATCTCTGTGGCAGGCTCTGTACTTGCCCCTGAGCAAGTAGCAGCAGACAGGGCACAGCCCCTCATCTCATGGAAATGAAGTCTTGTGGAGAGAAAGGATGTTAGGCAAATCATTACGAGTTCACTGGGTAACTGAAGCATAAAGGCAGGAGAACAAGGCATGTCTGATATAGTCTAGGGCAGCAAGGAAGGCCTTCTGGATAACCCAATGCTTAAGTCAAGACCTGACAGATAAATAGGAGTTACAGAGTTACTAAATGGGAGGCTGGGGGTGGCGGTAGAGTGGAGAGGCCATTCCAGGTAGAAGGACTAATACGTGCAAAGGTCCTGTGGTAGGAAGAGGCAGAAGGCTCCCTAGAGGCTGAAAGAAGAGCTGCGTGGCAGGAGCAATTGGGGGGGCATGCAGGATGAGGGTCAAGAGTGGTCAGAGGCCAGGGCACGCTACAGGGCATGTTCAGGGCTTTGAACTTGATCTTGAAGACAATGGGATATCACTCAAGGTTTTTAATCAAGGGGGTGGCATGATCCGATTTATAGTTTTGTGATGTCCTATAGATAGATGCTGGAGAATGGATGGAGGGAGGGGAGAGCTATAAAACTTAAGCCCTTGAATGACATGTGCGATGCTGCCATTGTCATTATAGGATGAGATATTGCTGGATATGAGAAACGAGGAAAGAACTTGGAAGTTAGGAGTGAAGTCCAGAGAAAAATCACTTCGTCCTGGTCTTCTGGTGGTGGCATAAAAAAATTAGCTACAGTCCCTAACCAGGCGACAAACCACACTGAAATTTCTGTCCTTTTCTTGTTTTCTTTGCTTCTGCTCAGAAGAGGAGGGATGGGGGACTTCTCTGCCTGTCTGGCCACTTGCCCTGGTTCTTAGCATTCAAAAGGCCTTGCTCCCTCCCTTGGTTCTTGATAGTTCTCACCTCGGCAGGGCCGAATCCTGGAACTGTGCCTTTGACAGAAACCGCCATCGCCTCCAAGGGCTCATCCTGCTGTGGCACACACCCCCTGCCAAGAAAGGCTCCAGGGGTAATGGAATGGGCTATGTTCCTTGTTTTGTGACTCTGACATTTGTCCTTCCCAGGGTCTTCCCTGCTGTTCCAGGTCCTCCACATTCCTGCCTTGGGGGCCAGTTTTATATTCCAACAAATGCAGATTGCGAGGAACAAGATTGGCTTTCAGAGAAGTGGTCCCTGGCCAGTGATATCTTATTCTGTAGTTATAGACAACACAGACAGGGATGTATATGGGCCGTAAAAGAAAGAGACAACATGTGACATTTAATTCAAGATTAAAAGAAATCATCAATTGGAGCTGATTGTGCTCATCCAGATGTCACCAGAAACAGCTGTATGCCATCTGCCAGAGAGGGTGCCACCAGCTGGAGCAGCTCTCCTTAAGACCCTGGCTTTGCTTTGCTTTGCTCCACAGCAGGAAGGCAGAACTGAGGTTGGAGGCCAGCACGAGTGACAGTGGAATGATGAAGGCAGCGGCAGTGGCAGAAGCTGGGAGGAGGAGCAGGAAGCATCATCCCCCACCCCAACTTCTCTGTCTTGTTTATGCTAACAAAGACGAGTAACGAATTACTGATAACTGGCGTCTTTTAAAGGGAAATTATTCAAGAGAGCAGGTGAGATTCTGCAGGCATTCATCTTTCCAGCTCCGGGAAGCTGGCTGGGAGATGGGAAAAGGTGAGAGAGATGATTCATGGCCCAGGCCCTTCATCCATCACGGGGGTGTCCTAGGCAATAGGGGAGCAGGATTGATGGGTCCCCGGTCTCAGGTTGGCAGTGTGGTGGGATTCCACTGGCTCCACCTCATCAGCCAGGCCAACAAGGCTGAGAATCAGTGGGACCTGAGTACCCAGCCCCCATGGGAGGCCAATAGCCTGTCAGGGTGAGGGATGGGGCAGGGGATGGGTTGACTGTGCCCTCACCTGGGTGCAGTTAGAGGGAAATGCCCTCACCTGGGTGCACTTAGATCCTGGAGAGGGGAAATTCCTGAGTCATGGCAGGCTAGAGATCTTGCTAAGGCCATGAATGCTAAGGCCAGCCTTCTAAAAATGGGGGTAAGAACACTGGTCTTGGAGTCAGAACATCCAGTGTTAGGCTCGGCCCTGCCCCCTTCCCGACCTGGCCCAGTTCCATAAGATGAGTAGCTCAGAAATTGCAAACCTATGGGCCCCTGTGGGCAATATTCAGAAATATTTTATTTGACCTGCAGTGTTGGCCCACATCACGTTTTAAATCTGAATTGCTTATCAACTTCAAAAGAAAATTCAATAAACTAGCTTTCTTGAAAACAAATCAGAAGATCGAGCAATTGGCTGGGGCTGAGTGCAGCTGCTTTCTTTGGATGGAGCACATACCCTCCTCTGGGCCATCGAGCCCATGATCCCCTGATCACTCTAGCAAGCCCTTATTTTGCACCCCCTTAGATCCTCTCAGCTTCGTCTGTCTCTAGCTTCAAGGGCATCTGCTGCTACCGGCTCTTGATGGGCTCCAACTAACTTCATGCACGTCAACCAGCTAGTGCCTTGCTCCGTGCCTGCACGGTCTGCCACCATGGGCCCCTTGCCTCATATCCCTGGGCTTCCCTTTTGAAGTGCAGGCATTGAAGAATCCCACTCAGCACCCACATGTGCACAACCTGAAAGTGCTATGGGTTAATGACCAGTTTGACAAAACTTTGATTAATGGAAAATAGGAGTTAATGGAAAATTCTTCCCTCTTTCTCCCTCCCGGTAGATGCTTCCGAGGCAGACAGTTTCTTGAAATGATCTTGCAAGATTGAACAATCAGTTGCATTTGGCCGCAGACAGCTCAGTAATGTGCCCTCCTCGTGGTGGCTCTGCCCCTCCCTATCTTGCTCTCCTTCCTGGGATTGTGTTCCCTAATAACGGAGTAGCACAGAGGACTTTGCCTCAGCCTTTGCTTTCTGGAAAACCCAAGAGAAGACAGTTGGTGTCAGGAGTGGCTCCAGCAAGCAGCCCTCAAAATGGGATTCTGGAGCTGGATTACTCACTGGAGTTCTGGCAAGAAGAACCCCATCCCTGGCGATAAGTTGGGTGGTGATAGTCCTGGCATGCAATGACATCAGGGTTATCCGAGCTATCACCTGTAGAATACTGGGAAGAGCTGCAGGTAGAAAGTGAGGCCTTGGGGTAGAAAGCCATGGCCTTGGTGCTTGAACATTGCACGGGGTTGGATAGAGGAAGGAGGTGGGGGAGAGAAGGCTGCCTGGGGGAGAATTTGTGACACTCACTCTTGATGTAAGCCCTTGACTTGGATTGAGTGTTAGGACCTAGAACTGGTCTGAACAGTGTGATAGGATGGCATCTTAGAGCTTGGCCATGACAATGGTTTAGAGCAAATGAGTAGAAATACCAGAACCTCCTCAGCATAGGATTGAAGAAGGGGTCAGAAGACGCAGGGAGGTAGGAATTTTAGGATGGATTATCTATATAGGACCTGGGAACTTACCAGCTGGCTATTGTTATGGATTGAATTGCATTCCCCCAAAAGAAACATTGAAATCCTAACTTCTGGTGCCTGTGAATGTGACCTCAGTCAAGTCTTTGTAGATGTAATCAAGTTAAGATGAGGTAATTAGGGTGAGCCCCAATCCAATATGACAGCTGTCCTTCTAAGAAGAGGAGAGGACATTCAGAGAGACACAAAGAGAGGATAGCCATGTGAAGATGGAGGCAGAGATTGGAGTTGTGCTGCCACAAGCCAGAAGCTGGAAGAGCAAAGAGGCTTCCTCCCCTAGAGTCTTTGGAAGGAGCATGGCTCTGCCAACACCTTGATTTTGGACTTCCAGCCTTCAGAAATGAAAGAAAATACATTTCTTTTGTTTTGCTTTAAGACACCCAGTTTATGGTACTTTGTTAGAGTAGCCAGGGGAAATGAATACAACTTTCTACAGGAGTACCCAGAGGATCCTCCTCCCCAAGGCAAGAAGGGATGCCCTGGTTCAGGGTGGGGAGCACAGGCATCTCTGAGAAATTCTGCAATGGCCGCCATCAGTAGGCTGAGGCTGATGATAGAATTGTGCTCTGTGTGATCAATGGGCAGGACAGGATTCTGGCAGAACAGAGGCCAGGTGCTGGCCCTTTAACACCAGAGGCAACATGAGTAGCAAGCTAGAGAAGCAACCAGGGAACACAGACCTGCAGAGATAGTTGACGATGGCTAATCAGCCATGGTGTGGGACAGATGGACAGCTGCAAGGGAGTTGCTTAATTTGTATAATTGTGAAAAAATATCAAGAAATGGCAAGCAGAAGGATGACATCAGACCCTCACCTGGTCTCCAGATCTAAGTCAGTTCACAGACCGAGCATCCATTGAGAGAAGAAGAAGAGGGTCCCCTTGAGGAAGGACCACAGGATGCCATCACAAGGGTATAAGATTTGTATTCCTCCCATCCTTTCCCAAAGGGACCTACAGCCATTTGCTAGAGTGACTGCATGGAAGGAAGGGAAATGCCCATATTTCTAAGGACTGGTAGATACCTGCAGTGACCTAACACTGGCACTGACAATAAGGGGCTGGGTGATAAAGGGACTTGGGGTCTAAGTCTGTTCTGCAGTGGGTCCTGTGGATCTGTAGACCACCCCGTGGTCATTCCTCCAGTCCCTGCAAGTGTATTTGGATAGATGCCGGCAGAACCCTCCCATTTGATTCCACAATCCATGAATAAGGGGCCATTCTGGTAGGATGGGCCAAGTGGGATACCCTGAAACTACCACCCTGCTCAGACAAGATTGTAAAATGGAAGAATTATTGCCACATTATAGGAGAAATTTCAGAGATTAGTGCCCTCGTTAAAAACTTAGAGGATGTAGGGTAGGTGTTTCCCATCACATCCTCATTCAGCTCATCATTCTGGACCTGCTAAAACCAAATTGCTCATGGGGAATGACTGAGGACTCGTATAAACGAAACCAGGCAGCAACCCTGATTGCAGCTTCTGTGCCAGATGTGGTAATTTTACTAGAGCAGGTCAAATAGCCTCTGGCATTTGTAAGAGGCTATTGATCAAGCAAATGCCTTCTTCCCCATCAGTAGGGAGGATCAAAGTCAGTTCATCTTCATATGGTGGGGACACATTTGTTGTCTTACCCCAGGGCTGTGCTAACACTCTTGTTCTTTGTCATAGTGTAGTCCAAAGGGACTGTAGTCATCTTCAATTCCGCAGAATATCACACTGGCTCACTGTATTGATGACATCAAGCAAATTGTACCTGGTGAGCACAAAATGGAAAGCTTGGAGATTTTATTAAGCACTTGAGAACAGGAGGTAGGAGATAACTGAATGAAAATCTAGGACTATGCACATAGGTGATGTTTTTAGGGGTCTAGTGGTTTGGAGCATTCTAAGACCCACACTTTAAGGTAAAAGACAAACTGTTGGATTGCATACCTCCTTCCACTAAGAAACAGGCACTGTGCTTAGTGGGTCTCTGGATTTTTGAGGCAGTATGTAGCACATTTGGCAACACCAATCTGACTCAATTTTGGGGTGACTGGCAAAGCTTCTAGTTTTGAGTGGAGCCCAAAGCAAAATAAAGGTCTGCAGGGGTTTTAGCCACTGGTGCAATCCAACACTAGGGTTGTATGTCCCAGCAGATTAGACTCTCTAGAGGTATGTGAGGTGGGTGAAAATGCATGGGGAGTCTTTGGCAGAGCCTCAATAGAAGAGAGGTAGTGAAAACCCCCTACGGTCTGGAACAAGGCCATGCTTTCTGAAGCACCTTTTGGTGTGGGCCCTGGAAGAGAGAGGGACCATGCAGCACCAAGTGACTACAAAACCCGAGCTACTCATCAGGGGCTTCTTCTCGAATCCACCGAGTCATGGAGTCAAGGCAATAGAGTTCCCTGTATGGTGGAAATGGTATCTTCAGGAAGAGGCCAAGCAGGACCAAAAAGCACAAATGAACTAAATGAACAGATCCCATGTCAATGACCTCTATTTCACTAGCCCTTCTCCCCTAGTTCATACCTATGGACTCATGTGGGGTTCTGACCAACAGAGGTGGAAAATAACTTGTATCTGGATAACAAATAGGCCAGCACATTATGTTGGTGAGAACACAAAATGGCCCTAAGATCAGTAGTGATGAAAAATCCTATCAGTGGGCAGTGCCATGAGCAGTAGTACACTTGGTTGTCCACTTCTCAGAGAGAGAAATGCAGCCTGAAAAATCCTATCAGTGGGCAGTGCCATGAGCAGTACACTTGGTTGTCCACTTCTCAGAGAGGGAAATGCAGCCTGAAACATGGATTTACACGGACTCCTGTATGGTCGCCAGTCACCTGGCTTCTAAGTCAGGAGCTTAGAAAGAATTAGATTGAAAGATCAGGGAGAGGTATGTAGATGGGCCTATGGTAGTGGAAATAAAGCAACAAAACATGCAGATCATGTATCTCCCACTAATGCCAGAAGCATTGATGGCAGAGGAAATTCTCACCGATCAGATGGAAAGGATGATTCATCCTGGGGATGTCAGCCAGCTTCTCTTATCAGCCACCCCATGCAGATGCAGAGTGACTGTGACAGAAAGGATGGAGGCTACGCATGGGCCAACATCATGGGTTCCTTCTCACCAAGACTGATCATGCAGCTGCCACCACTGAATACGCAAACAGGCAGCAACAGAGATTCATACAGAGACCTTAATGTGGCACCGTTCCTTCAGGAGACTAGCCAGCCACTTTGTGGTAGGTTGACTGAATCAGATTCCTTCAATGCTGGGAGGGGCAGCAATTTATTCTTTCCAGCATTGGTACTACTCTGGGAGGCACAAACTTCTCAAGCAGGTCTCTAGGAATAATGGTGGGAGGGTAAATCCCACTTCTACCCCTGCCTTCCTGTCCACAGAGCCCCCACCAGTACCACCATCTGAGAGTCTACAAAATACCTAGTTTCTTGCCATGATATCCCATATGACATTGTCTCAAACCAAGAAACCCAAGTCATCTAAGGAGGTGTACCAATAGGCACATGGTCATGGGATCCACTGGTCTTATCATATCTGAACCCCATCATGCTAAAGCAGCCAGCCAAAGACAGTGGTGAAATGTCCTATTAAGCTAAGGCACCAACTCAGGGAGAATACATTGCATATATTGCATCCTAAAGGATGTGCTAAAACGATGACCCACATGTCTCTAATAGGTAGAGCACACACAAGTGGGAATCAAGGTGTGGGATTTACCCTCCCACCATTATTCCTAGAGAACTGCTTGAGAAGTTTGTGCCTCCTCTCCCGGTAAACTTAGGCTCTGCCAGGTGAGAGGTCCTGATTCCCAGGTGATGAATGCCAGAGGACAAAGGGTAGGGGGTGCTACTGAACTTGAAGTCACGACAATTACCTAGATACTCTGGGTTCCTCATGCTGGTCGACCATCAAGTAAAGAAAATAGTTACTATGTTGGCAGGATTGATTACCCTGACTGCCACGAGAAATTAGGGGTGTTGCTGCTACTCAATGGGGGCAGCGGGGAGTGTGTCTGAAAGCCAGAAGATTCACTGGGGCATCTTTTGCTGCTTCCATGATAATGATAACTGTGACTCAACAAGGGCAAAGCCACTAGGAGCCTGGACTCTGGAGGGATAAAAAACCAGGTCCCTTTGGAAGGCCGAGGCGGGCAGATCATGAGGTCAGGAGATTGAGACCATCCTGACTAACATGGTGAAATCCCATCTCTACTAAAAATACAGAAAAATTAGCCGGGTGTGGTGGCACAGGTCTGTAGTCTCAGCTACTCAGGAGGCTGAGGCAGGAGAATTGTTTGAACCCGGGAGGCGGAGGTTGCAGTGAGCCAAGATCACGTCACTGCACTCCAGCCTGGGTGACAGAGCGAGACTCCATCACAAAACAAAACAAAACAAACAACAACAGCAACAACACAAACCAGGTCCCACAAGGTCAGCGATCCACACCAGCCAAAGTGCTGGCCAAAGGTGAGGAAAATCTAGGATGGAGGGTGGAGAAAGATGGTGATGTTAAATTGCAGCCTCAAGACCACTTGCAGCAGTGAGACTGTGGCTTGTTTCACCAATCCTCTTACCTGAACTCTTTACAATTATTTCTGTACCCACAATCCTAGCACTTTAGCAGGCCAAGATGAGAGGATCACTTGAGCCCAGGAGTTCAAGGCTACAGTGAGCTATGATTGTGCCACTGCATCCCAGCCTTGGCGACAGAGTGAGACTTTATCTCTTAAAAAAAAAAATCTAGCTAACTACCATCTTGGAGGAGACTCTGTGACTGGCTGTATTTGTACCTTCCCCTTCAGAAAAGACGTGAAGCTCTCTGTTCACAAAAATGGAGGCCTCACTTTGTATTCTGAGTGCCAGATGTGATGGAAAGTCAGGGTGGATGGAGTAGGGCTGGGGTGGATCCTATGAGCCATTTCTTAGGTGGATGGAGTAGTGCTGGGGTGGATCGTATGAGCCATCTCTTAGGTGGATGGAGTAGTGCTGGGGTGGATCGTATGAGCCATCTCTTAGGTGGATGGAGTAGTGCTGGGGTGGATCGTATGAGCCATCTCTTAGGCACCTTTCGTTCTGCTACAGCAGTGAGCAGCCCTGCATGGGCTCCAACAGGCATCATGCAGTGAGTTACTACCTGGGGGGGTCATGCCTGGTGTCTGGGCTGCCCACCGCGTACCTCTCACCTCCAGCACTGTAGACACCAAGACATGGGATGCCAATGAACATATTTGGGCTGTCATGGATTAAAATCCAGAAGTGAAGGTAAGTTAGTGCTTAGTGGGGCCAACCTTTGGCAAATGGGATATCGGAGCTGGTAGACAAATCTTCCTTCTTTCTCCCCTGCCCCCACCACCTGGACAGTTTTCGTAGCTTCTTGGGTGTATTTCCACAAGATTGAGCATGAAGTTGCCCTCGGTGGTGGCCAGTTTGATAATGCATCCTCATATTGTCTCTCTACCTTTCTCTGCCTCACTCCCCTGACCTCATACTCTTGCACCCCAGAGACAATTGTGGCACACCAATGAGCCTGTATCTCAGGCTCTGCTTTCTGGGGAACCCAGGTGAAGACACTCTCCAACATTTAAGATGGATGTCAGTTGTCACGCATCATGCAAATCCCAAATAACTCATTTACGCTGCCTTCCTGGTCCTTGTGGCATTTGAGTTGAGATGATCTCTTAGCTCCTCTGCTCAATCAATTTACAGGCTTATGTTTCCAAGAATCAAGGGTACAGATTCTGCCACAAACTCATTAGTCAAATGCTTCTGCTGCCTGGGGACTGTCTCCTGGCTTTCAGCTTTAAAGAGTGAGGTCCTGGGATTTGTTTGTCTTGGATTGCATTTTTAGGGAAATCCCTCTAGGGTTTCCTAGAATTAATCTGTCCCCAAATGGGATGCTCTTTCACACCTAGAAATCATCTGAGAAAAGGAGGGGCCAAAAGGAACCAGATTACAGAGGAGAGATTTGGAGAGTAGTTGAGAGAAGTGGGATGAGTTAAAAGAGCCTGTACCACCAAGAACTTGGATGAGCTCTAGGAAATCTGTTTTAGGAAATAAAAGCCAGGCCTCTAGAGTGTTTCTGAAATCTCTGCATGGGGTCGGGAATCAAGGCTCTGAAAAGCAGCCGACATGTTTGGAAGGCCTTCAGAGAGAAAAGGAGGCAGGCCACCAACCTCCTTCAAAGGGGGGTTAGACCACCAATGCCAGCAGCAAGTATCCGCTTTAGCCAAGTCAAGCATTTGATCAGCACATGCATTCCCTCCACTTTCTGTAAGGTACCGACTCTATCTTGGGAATGAGGAGGAGAGAGCAGAAACTCAGATTTGGATGTGACTTCTGCCAAACTTGAGCTTTCAATGTATTTATAGGCAACAAACCCAAGACAAGGAAATTGGTGCCGTCACCAAAAGCGTGGTGCAGAAAGTGGGGTGATGTGGTCAGAAAGGATTTGCCAGAGGAGGTGGGCGGGGCTACTGGACAGCCACAGCTCTCGTCCAAAAAGTATTTACTGATTATCTGTGATGCATGACGCAGTGTTCTAGGCTCTGGGAGGGTTATGTAGGTGGGTATGCGGTGGGGAGGGCAAATACATGTATTAACCTACTCTCTAGGGCCTCCTAAGCAGGAGGTCAGAATCACCTATGAATAGCTATAACACCAATCATGGTGGTTTAAATAGCAGATGGATGATGCACATTAACAAATCCAGGTGCACATAGGATAGAAGGGGTCAGAGCCCACTTCAAGAGGAGGTATTCACTCTGAGATTTGAGAGAGAAATTTCCTTTCACTAGACATAAATGGAGTGGTAGAGGGAGCAGAAGCAGAGTTCAGGCAAACGCTGGAAAGCACAATGTGGGTTGAAACTGGTAAGCAGTCCGTGCAATCATTCATCACACAGCCGTGTCCCCTAGGGTCTCTGCCAGAGTTGGGGTGTTTCCTGCAGAAATGTGTTCAGCAGCGGGTCACAGAAAAACAACTAGAGAGGGCTAGCTAAACGGGAGGGGCGTTGCTGCTTGTTTCCACATCCCCCTAATCCACAGTCTAGAGCCTGCAGCTCCATGATGTCATGATGCTCCTGCTCCCTCTGTCCTGCCACTGTCTTTAGCATGTGGCTTATTGTTCATGGTCACAAATGGCCACTTCCTCTATGGCCTCTGATCATGGGAAGGAAAACAGAAGTGGCAGTGGTTATCTTAGGAGAACACAGCTTTCCCAGGAACCTGCCCTCCACTGGCTGAGACTAGTTGTATGGCCACCCCTGTCCAGAAAGAAGCTAGGAGTCAGTTGGGCATGTTGCCACCTCTCGCAAAATTGGGGCTATAGTATAGGAACAAATAGGACTAAATGGTAGATAGGAAATGGGCAGACTTTTCCAGGAGATCCCACTGCAATGGGATGGTGTCTGCCTTCAAGGAGCCCCCAGTCCAGTGTATGGCCACATGCAAGCTGGTCATTTCTATGACAGGGTTGAGCACCGGAGGCTACCTGAACCTTAGGCAGGACATCAGAGGTCCGTGAAACCTGAAGAAGTAATTAGCCAAGCCTGGGAGGAGAGGGAGGGTTGCTGGGAGTCCTTGGGAGGGGATAACACTGTCAAAGGCCTGAGGAGATTGGCCTGGTTACAGAATCAGAGGATCACAGAGGCCAAGGCAGTGCCAGACTGAGAGTTAAGAATGGAAAATAACAGGAGTGGGGCAGAGCATCAAGGAGCTCTTATGTCCCATTCAGGATTTCTGACTTTATCTTTCAGCCAGAGAAGAGTCACTGAAAGGCTTAGGCAGGGAAGTGACATGTCAAGTATGTACTTTAGAGTTCAGAGGAGATATAAATTTGGAGATGCCACCATATAGCTGCATTTAAACCATTTCAGGCCATGTATCTGGCTGAGATTACCAAGGCGCTGTGTGTAGAGAGAAAAATAGGAAAGGCTCAGAGGCTGAGCCCTGGGCGCCTGCAATGTCAAGGAGCTGGTGAGATGAAGGGAAACCAGCACCAGAGACAGGAGAAGCCAGTGAAGATGGAGGAAAACCAGGACTGTGTGGGTCTTGGACGTTGGTGAAGAAAGTATTTCAGTAAGAAAGGAGTGCGGTACTGCCAAATGCTGCCGATAGGTCAGGATGGGACCTGAGAAGCCACCACTGAATTTAGCACCAGGAAAGGCAACAATGGCCTTGACAAGAACAGCTAGTTAGAACGGCAGGGATGAGACCCTGAATGGTCTAGAAAAGAGTGGGAGGAGAGGAGTTTGGGAGAGTGAGGGTGGACAGATCTTTCAAGAAGGTTGCTGTAAGTTGGTGGAGGAAGAGGTGGGCACATTTTTTTTAGGACAGGAGAAATAAGAGCAGGTTTGCATGCTGATGGGGGTGGACTGGGAGAGAGTGAACAATGGATGATGCAGGCTCAAGCAGGGCGAGTGCCCAGGGCATGTCCTTGAGCAGGCGAGAGGGGTCAGATCTGACACAGGCCAGGAGCATGGACAGTCCCTGCACAGAACCCGAGTGAGGTAGAGGAGTTGAAACACACGTGGGAGGGAGGGCAGTTGCAGGGGTGGGAGTTTGTGAACATTCTTTTTGATTGTTCCATTCTTTCAGCGACTAGACAGCAAGGTTATTTGTGGAGATGAGGATGGAGGGGGAGGTGGTGGAGGTGTAAGGAGAAAGGGGGAGGTATGACCACTCATCTGGGAAAGCGTGAGAATGAATGGACCAGAGAAATGATGTATGATGCCAGCCGGCAACCAACGCCCACTTGAGTTTAAGGCTCATCGATTCAAAGTGGGCCTGTCAGCACACTTGGGGTATTGTTCTCCAGCCACACTCTGCTCACAAAGGTGTAAGCACCACAGAGGGGGAAAGTTGGATTTAACCCCGTCGAGGTTTTGCTAAGCAACTGGGAAGTAAGAGGGGCAAGGGATGAGAGCGTTTGCAATGGGGTTATTACGACGATTGGTCAGGAAACTGTAGCAGGTTAGCAGGTATGCTGGGATAGTAGAAGGGAAAGTGGACAGGTGATAGGACTGACAAGTTACAAGTGGGGCTGGAAGGTGATCCCTGAAGGAGTGAACTGAAGTCACTGGATGTGGGGGCTGGAGAGTAGAAGGCTTAAGCTGGAGACTACGGAACCGTAGAAAGGGGTGATAATGACAAAGCCAAGGTGGAAGCTGGGGGGCAGTTGAAGACAAGCTCATCAGAGGAGACGAAATCAAAATAGGAAAAGGCCAGGCTGGGGGAAGAATCCCCATGAATTATGCTGGGGAGGACTGGGGAGAATGACAATGATCTAGAAACCAAAATATTCAAGGAAGGTGGGGAGGCCATGGGGGTCCAGAGATGGCTGCAACCAGGAGGGGAAGGGGGTGGTGTGGTGGAGTCTTCTGACTTGAGATTCAAATCTGGGTGTTTTTTGGGGATGAGAGGATGGATATTGGCCGGAAGCTGAGCAGTGCAGAGCCAGGGGACTCCTACTCCACCTCCAGGCCCTCTGGCCTCCTGGCTTCCGCCAACCCCTGTGCGAATCTCCTCCAAGCAACTCCCCTGTGCCAATCTCCTCCAAGCGACTCCCCTGTGCCAATCTCCTCCAAGCGACTCTGCAGCCAAGTGCTGCCCACAGCCTGGGGTGCAAGGAGCCTCACAGATAATCATCTCCGAGGCGCTGAGGCATTCAAACTGCAGGAGGATCAGAGTTTGCTAATGTCGCAGTAACACAGCCCTGGGGATGACCGTTCATTCTGGGAACCACTGAGGCAGCTTATCTTGCAATACATCACGCTTCTACAGGAGAAGTTTGGACGCCAAGTGCCTACAGGATGGAAATTAAAGAGGAAAAGGGCTGGGAGTGGGGGGCAGAGATATTAAAAGAAAAAAATCAGTATCAGGGCCTATTTTTAGGTCTACTGAAGTAGAAAACATGTGCTTGGACTGTGAAAACCCAATCACTATGCAAGCCCCCGCCTTCAGCGAAAGGCCGGGGGTCCCTGGTTGCGGGAAGCCTGCCATTCGTTACTTTTGATTTACTGAAGCGCAGACAAGAGGTGCTCACATGATACATAGCTTGTATATTCTATCGATTTCCAAGACTTCATTTTCTAAACTTCCCATCCATCAGCCGCATCTGTGCCTGCTCTCCCCCAGAGATAAAATAGGGGATGGGCCACCCCACCTTGCAAAGCGTGGCAAGTTTTATGAGCCTGGAAGATTGGAAATGGGGGCTTGATTCATGTTTGCTTCTGCTAACAGGTGAGGCCGGATGCCTCGCCGTAAAGCTGAAAGGTGGGGCGCAGGGGAGAGAGTGGCTGCGCAGCAGGGGAACGAGCACCCCTGAAGCCCAAGCAGGGCCGAGGAGGAGCGAGGCAGGGTTGTCAGGGAGGAGGCTTGTGCTCTGTGGTTGTTGTCCCCCGCGGAAGCCGTCCTGGATGCTGCTACTATGAACACGTTGGGAGCTGAATAAGCAGCATGAACACTGCCCACATTCACCATCGGCTTCTGTCCCGCAGCAGAAGGGCCGGATGGTGCCACTGCTGCTGGCCCAGGAGCCCCCAAGAAAAGAGAACCCACTCCCCACTGGCTGCCGTAAGAAGTGATGGTGCCCCCACCGGAAGACACGTTGTTCTGCGCATATAAGGAAACTCGGGTACCCACGTACCACCCTAATTCCTCTTCTCCTGCCAATATTCTCAGAATGGAAAAGGCAAGCATCTGTGATGTTACATCCACCCCCAGCCCCCACCCCCCCATTTACAAAAAGATCCTTTCGGTTTTTGCACAGATCTCATCCCTAGGGGTTGGGATGGAGGAGAGTGGAAAAGCTATTCATTGTATCCCCTTTGAGGCTGAAGCACAAAGGGAGGCAGGCTGGGCTGAGGGCTGCTGGGGCCTTTGGGGGAATAAAAGGCCCACACTCCCTCGTTAAGGGTTCAAGGGTGCCTTGTCTTTGTAGGTTGCTGGAGAAGCTTTGGCTGAGACTCTCACATGAGCTCAGAACAGCCCGTGGCAGGAGGGGAGCCGGTACCCCAGGAGCTGAGCAAGAAACAAAGCATCCGGAGCCCGGGTCCAGCTCAGCTCTGTAGCCCCTGGCTGATCTTCCCATCTCCCTGGGCCTCAGTTTCCCTCAGGGAAGAATTTTCCCACCTCTCTTGGGTATTGGGAGGCATCCAGAGAGTCTCCAAAGTAACAATTTTACAAATAAAGGAATTATCAATGTGATTGATGGTTTAAATTGAGCCTTGGGATCTCTGCTGTTTAGAGGCTGGATCAATAGCAATAACAACAATAAGTAGAGAATAACTCAGGAGAGAGTTTATAAAGGACCCCATGGCAGCAGGGCCAGATCATTCAGAAGCAGAAAGAGTCTTCTTGTTTTGCCCACACCGGCTCGGCCACCAGGCTTGCTCTGGGGAGTGGCTGCCCTGCTGCTTAGCCGGCCTGTCTGGGGGCCATTGCTGCTCCAGATGGCATTTCAAAGGGAACCTGGCTGTGCAGGGGACAGGTCGGGAAATGAGGAAATATGGTGAGCAAAAGAAGTTCCCCAGAGGCCCCGCATAGTGCCACAAGCACAAGACGTAGCCAAATGAAATGCTGTCCAGAAGCCCACAGATCTTTCCCCAGATGTGAGAGAGCCCTGGAGGGTTAGGGACAACTTGGTCCAGCATAGGATGGACCAGCCACAGCCTGAGCCTCGCCCCGGCAGCTTCCAAGAGAGAGCAGAGGTGCTGGAAAGGGCACAAGAGCAGGAACTCGAGGACCTGGTTTGCATCTCAGCTCTGGCACGTCCTTGCTGGTGACTCATTGCATAACCTCCCTGAGCCTTGGTCTTCTTGTCTGCAAAATGGAGAGAACAATAGCAATCTAAACAGTTGCTACAAGATCTCAGTGGAGAGAAGATTGGGGAACCTTTCTGCAAAATAGTCAGAGTTTTTATTGGACAGTTACAAGGGATGATGGGCAGTATCCCAGGAATACCTTCCTTCCCTAGATATTTTTGCCACTCTCTAGTTGCCATAGGACCAGCATTTCTACATTCATCCTTACCAAGGTAGAAACCAGTCTAGAGATGCAGCTCTGGTGCCACTTACTTTGTATCCCCTATCCCCACCTCTGCATAGTGACTGTAGCAGGTTTTTATACTTTGGGGGTTGTCTCTAACTTTCCTGCTGAGTTACAAGCCCTTGTTGACATGTGATGGGCACAGTTCCTGGCACATGACCAGTGCTCCTGGGTACCAACCACTCAGTACTTACTTGTTTGTCAGATGCTTTTCCTCCAAGAGAAGAGAGCTGATATAACAGATTGGCAGAGAGTGCCTCAGGTGCGATGAGAAAAAGTCTTTAAAGGGTGCAAAAAGCCTACAAAAGGAATCCAACGGGGATGAAGACAAATGCCAGGGGCTTAGAGAATTCTTTCTGGAAGGGGTAGCCCTGGGCAGGGTCTCAACCACAAGTTATCAAATCCCAGCCCACATTCCTGCCCCTCAGCTGTTGAAGAGAATCGACAGTCTGAGGACCTTATTGATAAGCTTTCTGTCCAAGAACAAACATCACAGAAATCAGCAGAGGGAAATGTCTCTTGTGTGTACACTTGGCAGAGGAGCTGAGCAGAACACGGACCTGGGTCACGTCAGAATCTATCCCTTCATGATGCCATTAAATGGAATGTTTTCACACATGATAACTGGCTGTCTTACAGAGCGGGGCACAGTTCTAGGCAAACACATGTTCACACACACTCCCACGTGTACACACACAGAACACGTGGATGACCACAGGCATATGCAAGGCATGCTTGAACAGTAATTCAGACAATGAAACTTCTGGGCCCTTGAGCCAGCAGGGAATTTCAATCCTAGTAATAGATTACTGTCCCTGACCGACCAGAAGTCTGGGCTCTTATAATGGTTTTAAATCATAGAATTATAGTTTTTAGGGGCTGTAGAAATCAGCTATTTCCACCTCCAACCCAGAGCATACAAATCCTCTCCGACATTCCTGATGTGTTGACACATAGCCTCTGCTTAACACTCCAATGATGGGGAACCTATTACCTTACCTCAAACCCTACTTGATTGTTGTTATTAATAATGCTACTGTAGATTATTGAGCACTGATGCTGTGCCTGGCACTATGCTAAACCCTCTAGGTAGACTATTGCAATTAAGCCAGTGAGGTAGCTTAAATTGAGTCTCAGAGAAATCGAGCTGTCCGTGGTGATGCATTTAGCATGCGGCAGAGCTGGGATTTGAACCTGGGACTGAATGACCCATAGCCTTGCACAGCACTTGTCATATTAATGTGTCTTAAGTTTTGTTGTATAGGAAATCATTCTTCAGAATAAGCTGAATCCTCTGCTTCTCTGTAACTTTCACTGACTGATCCCAGGTCCCAGCTCTGGAGCTTTGCAGAGGCTTCCCTCTGTTCCTTTGCCCCCTCTCCTTTGATAGCCATTTTCAAATATGGGCCCCCAAAAGGATTCCCAGTGGGATATCACCTGCTTTGTTTGGACATTACACTTCGAGTGTGAACCTAAGATGCCATTGGCCTTTTGGGCAGCAACATGACATCATAGACCATTTTAAAGAAACTGCGGGGTTTTATTTGGTCTGTCTCCCAGGCGGGAGTGCAGTGGTGCAATCATAGCTCACTGTAGCCTCAGAATCTTGGGCTCAGGAGGTCCTCCCGCCCCAGCCTCCTGAATAGCTGGGACTACAGGTGCATGCCACCACACCCAAGTAATTAAAAAAAAATTTTTTTTAGAGATGGGGCCTTGCTATGTTGCCCGGGCTCAGCCCATTTTTAACATAAACTGCTGTAGGCTACTTTAATAGTTAAGTAAAAAATACATTCTCAGCCTATTATTCCACTACTTTTAGGATCTTTTTGAAGTTGTAGTTTGTCAGCCTGTACTTTAGCCAGCCTGGCAGCTTTGGGACATTTGCAAATTGGGTAAGATGCCTTTCTATACCTAGGAGATGATTACAGCCAGGCTGATATTTAAGGGCTAAATTTCTCATATCACCCACTAGAGACCACCTAACTAGTGACACTGATCTCTTGTGTGTACACTTGGCTGAGAAGCTGAGAGAAACATGGATGTGGGTCATGTCAGAATCTACCTCTTGATTATGCCATTGAACAGTATGTTTTCACATAAGATAACTGCATATCTTATGGAGTGGAGCATGGTTACAGAAGCATTACATTGGTTCCAGCATCAAATGCCAGCCACGGCTGCATATTTGGACTGAAACTAAAGATATGTCAGGGGTTGCTTCTGAAGATTTAGAGGGCAGGGATCAGTTCCAATCCAGGAGAAAAGGGTAAGGTCAAGGGAGAAATGCCAAAGTTGGGAGACCTCACACCTGTCCAGGGGGCAAGAGTGCACCTGAAGACAAACCCAGGTCTTGACATCAGGTCTGCAAAAGACAGTAGCTCAGGGAAGTATATACCAATGTTGGAGCCTGAGACATGTACCACTCGTGGGAATGCACAGGCACAAATGAGGCATTTCAGGCAATGTCCACACAAATTCCAGAAGACGGAATGCTCCTGGCCTGGGGCTCCTGCTACAGGCAGGTACACTCAACTTTCCTGAGCATGCACCTGGCTGTTCTAAAGGTACCACTTGGCTTGTTCCACCCAGTCTCTGGTCAACTTTGGATTTACTGGTGTGAATCTACCTAATTATATTATTTAGTTCTCATTTCTTCATTTTGCTCACAGGGATATCTTAAACTGGAGTAAAATAATTTTCTGAAGCTGAAATGCATTATATCTAGGGTATTCCCCTTGTATTAGTTACAATATGTTTTTCTGCAGGTTACAGAAGCCCTAAATCAAAGTGGTTTAAACAATAAAGAAACTGATGGTCTCACATAATAAGAAGCCTAGAGATAGATGCAGCATCAAGGTTGGTTGATTCAGTCGCTCAATGATGTCAGCAGAGACTCAGATTCCATCCATCTCTTGTCTACCATTTATAGCATAATGTGGTTCCCCTTAGGCTCTTAAGGTTGCTGCCAGAGTAATTGGGGCAACATACTTTGTTCCCATTCAAGGAGAGAGACAGACTGGATTCTCTTTCTCCCCAAAGCCTCAAGCAAGTCTGTCTTCATGACTCATTGGTTCAATCAGCTTAGTGGCCCAAAATGAACCAATCACGGGGGGTGGAAATGATGTTGGAAAATGTTTGCTACATTCCAGATGCTCTGGTCCAACCATGCTCTCAATAGAATAAATGAGCTCATTTGACTTGGCTCATGCTTAGTGAACCTATGCTGGTTCCTGATACTCACCATTTCTCTAAGTGATCACAAACCATCTATTTAATGACTGTGCTAAGGCTTTACCAAAGATGATAGACTCTAGGGTCTTATATTTGGAGACAGCATTTCTCCTTCTCTCTCTATCTCTCCCATTCTCAGGATTTTTTCTTTTTTCTTTTCTTTTTTTTTTTTTTTTTTTTTTGAGGCAGAGTCTTTCTCTGTCACCCGGACTGGAGTGCAGTGACGTGATCTTGGCTCACTGCAACCTTCACCTCCTGGGTTCAAACAACTCAATTCTCATGCCTCTGCCTCCTGAGTAGCTGGGATTACAGGTGTCAGAATTTTTTTAAGATACAGGCTATCACTCTGTCATCCAGGCTGGAGTGCAGTGGCACAATTATATCTCACTGCAGCCTCACCTCCAACTCCTGGGCTCAAGTGATCCTTTTGCTTCAGCCTCAGTCTCTTGAAGCTGGGACTACAGGTGTGTGCCACCATTCCTAGTTTTTTAGTTTTCTGAGATAGTGTTTGATATGGTTTGGCTGTGTCTCCACTTAAATCTTATCTGGAATTGTAGCTCCCATAATTCTCACATGTTGTGGGAGGGACCTGGTGGGAGGTATTTAATCATGGGGGCAGGTCTTTCCTGTGCTATTCTCATGATAGTGACTAAGTCTCACAAGATCTGATGGTTTTATAAAGGTAAGTTTCCCTGCACACGCTCTCTCTTGCCTGCCACCATGTAAGATGTGCCTTTTCTTCTCCTTTGCCTTCCACCATGATTGTGAGGCCTCCCCAGCCAAGTGGAACTGTGAGTCCATCAAACCTCTTTCCTTTATAAATTACCCGGTCTTGGGTATATCTTTATTGGCAGCATGAGAATGAACTAATACAGCATCTCACTATGTTGCCCAGCCTTTTCTCAAACTCCTGGCTTCAAGCAATCCTCCTGTCTTGGCCTCCCAAAGTGCTGGGATTACAGGCAGTTTGGGTATTATTTAAAGCAGTGGTTTGCAAATGTAACTGTGCAGGAGGATGCCTGTGGTTCTTGTCTGGAGTCCATGGGCCACTAGGCCATAATCCACTAGGCCACATATCCCAGTGGTTAGGAGCATGGCTTCTGGAGCTAGACTGATGGCCTATGCTCAAGTTCCAACTCTGCCACCTTCCATGTCCCTGGCCATTCAACTTCTCTGGGCCTCAGTTTTCTTATCTCTAAAATAGAGGTCATATAGAATCTCCCACATAGGATTGTTATGAAGATTAAAGGAGAGTTATGTCTACATTGTCTAGAACAGTGTCAGGGAGTCGTACGCATGTGTTCACTAACTAAATGCTGATCCCCACCCTAGAGTCTGACATTATAAGTGGGAGAGAGAGTTGGGAAGGCTGTGCTCTTGCCAAGCAGCTGTGTTGGGGATGTGGGGGTGGGATTCTGATACAGGTGACCACCCTGGAGAAACCCTGCCATAGCGAGAACTATTAGTGTGGCCACCATCCTGCAAGAACTCTTCTTGAGCTCTAGAATAAAAGACATTTTTGGCTGGGGAATAAAAATCTCGAACAACAACAAGCATGTTCTTGCTACTGCCTCATCTTATTTGGGCTTCAGTTCTCTCAGCTGTATTTTTTTCTACTTTCTCCAGATCAGGGAATATTGTCCTTGACAGGAAACAAGCAAAGTGGGAAGATTGCTTTGCTCAAACCTCTCTCAACATGATAATGTCCACCATAAAGAGAGGGGCTCGCCCCTTGTTCTTCTTGCTTCAAAAATTTTCAATGTGCCCATTTTTATTGTTGCTGGCACTGCCAGCTCACTGTGGACCACGGTGCCCCTGGTACCCTTCACACAGGTCTGTGTCATGTTTATGTCTTCCTGGGACATAGACACTGGCCCCACCGCTCCATACCCTGCAAGCCCCTTTATAATCTGAGCTCAGGACAGGGCTCCTTGGGTATCACAGTGTTTTTCTATGACAATACCTTTGTTTTCTTTATCAGCTTCATTTGTGATTATAGCACCAGAACTCACTGTTTGAGATGCTCTCAGCCCTCCTGAGCCACCTTACTTTTAGAGCTCCTATCTGTGGGATTGCAATGGTCTTTTTCTGAATCTAGGCAATGCTACCTTCTGAAATTCGACTATCCAATCCAGCTAGGCCCAGCTTGCCCTCCTTGTCCCTTATGAATGCTAAAATGACTTCTTCCAAAGCTTCCTGTCTCATGTATCTATTGCTGCATGAAAAACCACTCCAAGACTTGGTGGCTGAAAACGGCAGCTATCCATTTGTTCATGATTCTGCAATTTCTTCTAGGCTTCTGCTCACCTCATCACGGGCACCTTTGCAGCTGCCGTCAGTGGGTGACTGGGGGCCAGGCTTCAGCCAGGTACATCACTGGCACGCCTGGAGCCTCAGTGGGATGGCTGGGAGGCTCAGTCTGCCTCCACGTGTCTCTTACCCTACAGGAGGTTAGTGTGGAACTCCTTCCATGGTAGTCACAGAGCAGCCAGAGGCCAAGAACAGAAGCTGCAAAGTCCCTTAAGGCCTGGGCTCAGAGGTCATGCAGTATCACTTCTACAGCATTCTGTTGGTGAAAGTAATTTGTGTGGCCAGCCTGGATCAAAGGGAGGGCAACGTAGACTCCACCACCTAATGGAAGGAGTTGCAAAGAAGGAGCGGCCAGTTTTCATCGATCACACCTCTTTTCATTCAGCCTATTTTGAGGGCCTGTATTGAGGAGACAATAAAGAACATGGTTAAGATCTCTGGAAAGAACTCACAGCCTAGTGGAAGAAATAGAAAGCTAAAGAGAGCATCACAACACAGGCGAATAAGTAATACTAATGGCCGCCACCTTGTGTGCATTTGCTGCGTGCCAGGCACTGGGCTTCATCTCACTGAGCTTTCACCATAACCCTCTAGGGGAAGTATGTTATCATGCCCATTTTTCAGATGAGAAAATCAAGGCACAGAGTTAGGTATCAAAAGTGAGAGGCAGGATTTGAACTCAGCCAATGCCCAGCTCTAGAGCCCTTGCTCTTATGAGATACCATGGCTTTCCTGCAAGGACTGTAGAAGGCACTCCATCAACGTGCAAGGAGACGCGGCAGGAGAAAGAGAAGGGAACTCAGAGGTGTCTTTTCATAGCACACAAACAAGGAAACCCTCTGCCTTTCACTGCTGACCTCCTGGGCCTTTGGCAGGCTGCCTGTATCATCTTTATTATTATTATTTTTGGTTTTCCATTTTCTGTTTTTGTAACATGCCTGTGTCGTTTACCTGATTTTTTGTAGTTGTTTTATAGAGATGGGATCTCGCTATGTTACCCAGGCTCATCTTGAACTCCTGGGCTCAGTGATCCTCCAACCTCACCCTCCCCAGATGCCGGGATTACAGGTGTAAGCCACACTGTGCCCCCCCTTACCTGACTTCTTTCTGAGACCATGCACTAAGACCATAGCCCAGTGAAGCCTGGGACTGCATGACAGGTTTGAGAACAAAGGAGCCACCTGCTACTCTGCTACTCAACTGTCCCGGAGACACGTGATCAGGGGGAGAAATTGTTCCCAAAGCTACATAGGAAACCATGTCTCTGTAAACTCAGCCATGACATCAGCACCACGTCTACAAAGGCCCTTGCGTCTTCCTCCCACTCATCCTCCGCATTAACCAATTACCAAAAACAGCTCAAAATAGCACACGTCCCTTGGCTGGGGCTGCTGCAGGAATATTGTTTGTGATCATTTTGAGAGGGAACAAATCTGTTGGAAATTGGTGCAGTGAGAGGATTATTATCAGGCTCTCACTCCAATGCGGGGCTCTGATTTTAACCTGCCTGGATCAGGCCAGAACATAGATTTTGTGCCTTTTCCTGCAAGACATTCATGGGTGGAATGTGGCCACTTGTACAAGCTGTAGGCCTAAGGGTCAGCAAGGGATGACCCCCATGAGACACAGGGCACCAGAGGCTCCAGGGTGGGAGGCACCCCAGACTCCACTGGAAGCAGCTGCTCTGAGAAGCTGGCCAAGACACAGGAGTCATTTGGAGACTGTTTAGTGGCCTGGCTTCAATCTAGCCCAGTTTCTCCACACCCCAGTTCCCCAAAAGATCCCAAGGGACTCCTGCCCCCACCAGTCACTCATGGGCCTATTTTAAAATCTGTGGCAGCCATGTAAAGGGGTGCTTATTGTGAAACAATAAGAAAACAACAACAAAATAAACATCCATCAATAGGGTTACAGTTAAACTATGTTACCCCTGATCAATGCAACTCCATGCAACAATTAAATGAGTGAAATGGATCCCTCCATAAGGATGGAAATGATGCCAAGGAATATTGTCAGGTGAAAAAGGCAAGCCACATAAATTATCTATCTATCAAACAGTGAATCATCTATCTATCTCCCTCATCTATCTACCCATCTATCTATCTCTATCATCTATCTACCTACCTTACCTATCTAAACACTAACCTGACCATGGTCATTCCCTTTAGGGAGGGCAGTGGGACTGGGGAGGGCAGATGGTGGAGTTAAATAACGAGAACTTTTGCTTCACTTTTCTTGTTTGAATTTTTACAAGAATATATTCACATATTACTTATACAATTAAAAATGAAATCTATTTCCAAGCGAAACAAAGTAGAAGAGGACGATCCACTAACCCATTTCATTCCTGAACCCAGTCTTGGTCTATTTGGGTCTTCCTTCTGCCTGGGCACCAGTCCTGCTCTGGAATAGTCTGCTTGGTGCCGCGCCTCTCCCCATTGCCCCCTCCTCCCTCTGCTGCTGAAGGATTGCTCTTCCACCTGCAGGTCCAGCCTCGCCCCGGGCTCTGGAAGCCAGCTGGGAAAGTGCCGCTATCTTGGGTCTTGAAGTTCTGTCCTGGACCTTCAGTTCCATGGCCAGTGTCCTTGGGGACCACTCCCTATATAGACTCTGAGTCTCTCGGCTTGGATGTCCTCAAGTGCCTCTCCTGATGTCTCCCTTGGCTTTGGCCTCTTGCTGGGACCACATAGTCTGTATACTCTTTCCTGCCTCATTTGCAGGCTCCCCCATCCCTCCCTGGCAAAGCCAGGATGATGAGGGCGAGGCATGTGAGGTGCCTAGTCCTGGCCTGCTCCTGGAACTGGCTCCCCTATAGGCCCTGCTGGTATAAAAGCACCATTGGGTGGCCCCATGGCAGCAACAGGTGGAAGGGAGTGTGGGCTCTGCTGCCCAGAGGCTTAAGCTGGGCCTCCTCAGCCTGGAGTAAGTAGCCTGCATGAATTTTTCAAGGACATGTATGGGTTCAGGGGCCCTAAGCCAACAAGTGGCCAGGGTGTTGGTTTCAGTCTCCTGTGAGGGACGTCCTGGGAGCACAGCCAGTGAGCAACCCACGTGGGGGTGGAGGAGCCAGCATGAGGCCCTCCCTGGGTGTCTCCAGCCCCTACCTGTCTGCTTAGACCACCCTGACCATCTGCTTCTGCTGACTACATCTGCAGCATGAAACGCGCTGGGAGGGTTTCAGGAGTGGGGCTGCCAGCATTGTTGTGCGTGACTATAGGGAGCTGTGTCAGGTTCTTCCTCAGAAAACTCTAGAAGAAAGGGAGCGCCTTCCCCTCAACTAGCTTTTCAGACTATTTTATCTGCAGCTGGGCTCAGCGGCAGAACAATGAATGAAATGACTCCAATGATAAACCCATGCCAGGACCCAAGCAGACACTGGGAACACAGGGTTGTGGTAGTAATAAGCCTGCTGTTCCCTGGAACCAGACCTTCTCCATCTATCCAGGTGCCCCTGGCTTATCAGCACAAACCTGAGGGCAGCCAGCCCCACCTGGGACATCATGACCTGGAGGAGACACCTGCCCTGCAGTGGGTTGGGCGGGTCCACACACACTGACTGCTTGCTCTAATATCAACGGAGCTGGCCTCTCTCCAATAATCATGGTGGATTTCCTTCTGCAGCATCATCAAGGAGGGTGTGCCTGGAATTCAAGCAGACTGCCCTCACACTCGGCAATACCCATCTGTCCCTTGGCCTCTTTCAAGTCCTCTGGTGATCATGATGAACTTGTCCAGGGCTCCGAGCATCTATTAATAAATAACGGTCCCTGAGATGACACAGTCCAATTAACAGAAACATGGCATTCAATGACGTGGTGGAGGTCGTGGGGGATGGCCAACTTTCACATGGCCTTACTCACTTGGGAGGTGAGGGTGCAGCACTGCAGCAGCCTAGGGCCCTTCCAAGGGCACCAGGGCCCTCATTAGACAGAGGAAAATCTCCAGAGACACAAAGAACAGACAGAGGGATGGTAACAAAGCCACTCTGAGCACCAATTCGCGTCTTGGGTTAGTAACAGCTGCCAATATCTTTTGCATAAGTACTGCTGGGTGGGTGTCTGGTCGAAGCCGACGCGTGGGTAGTGAAAGAAACAGTCAAATTGATGAGAGTTAAGAACTGAGGGTTATTTTGAACTCTTACATTTTTAATTTGAGTTTCCTTCTTTTTCTTGGGGGGGAAAAGAAAAGTTGTTTTTCCGTGGGTAAGCCAAGGGAAGTGGAAAGAGAGAGCTGGTGGAAGTGGCCTTAATTCATTCTTGGTGTGCTCCTTTTTCAGGATTGCTGCCTGGATGCAGGGGCATGGCCATGGAGACCTCTGGTGCCCTTTCCTTGGGCTGGAGGAATCCTGGATGGAGAATTCTAAGATGAAGAAGGATGCCCAGAAGGTTTGAGGGGAAACTTGTAGTCATGGTAACCATGCAATTCAGAATTTCCCCATGAGAGTGGGTGATCCCAGTTTGTGAGAGGCAAAATCTGAGGTTCAGAGAGATAAAGCCGGGCACCAAAATGTCTAGAGGAAAACCAGCACAGCAGTTCATGCTCTTGGGGTGAGGGTAGCTCCCTTTGCCAAGTGCCCCATGACCCTCCTATGCGGAAGGAAGGACAAGCAGGTAGCAGAGCTACCTAGAGCCTGGAGCATGCCAAGAATGGGAGAGCCATGAGGGTAGAGGCGAGAGAGAGAAAACATGCTCAGAGCAAACCTAACTAGTGTTTCCACTGAGGTCTAGGATGGGGAACAACCTCATGACAGAGAAAACAACTTTAGTTAACAATCAGACAAATGGAAGCAGGGTTGGGGTGTCTTGGAGGGCAGAACAACTTTATAAAGTATTTTCAGAATTCTTTTTATATTCAGGTCACACACACATTGGCTGGTTCTCGTTCCCCACGATTCCATCCCAGACTCCAAGAACTCTATCCCATCCTCTCTCGGCAAACAGAGTAAACACACACATGGTCAGTTCCCTAGACATAGGGTGCCTCCTTGCGCACTAGGACCTTGCCCTGTCCTGTGCAGCCCTGTGCCCAGCTGCTGTGCAGAGCTCAGGGAGCTCCTTCTTGCCCAAACCTAGGTATTCAGCAGAAATGCCACCGTCTCACTTGGCACCGAGCAAAGTGCTCTAATCCCGTGGAAGGCAGGGAAGCCAGATTTTAACTCAGACAATATTTAAGACGCCCAGGAGCAGAGACAAGCGAATGTTTGCATAAATGCCCTCCCACTGAACTTCCTCCCTGCCCATATGTCCCCTGGCTTTCACACTGCTGGGGCCGCCTTGTGGGTAAACAAGGGAGTCCCTGGAGAGGCAGCCAGCCCTCCTGGCTGCCAGACCCCCCGCCCCACCACCCAGCCCTGCTCCACCTCCCCAGCCCCTGTGCTCCTGCTCCCCCACCCCTTTCTCATCCCCCTTTATCTCCTTCCTCTCCATTCCCATTTCTGGACCTGGCTTAGCCCTCTATAATGACTTAATCTTGCCGACAGGGTGACAAGCGGATGAATCGAACTCTGAGGCTTTTTTCTGCACTCCAGATTCATTTGAAGATTTCTCCCAGATGCGGCACTAAAACCCTAGATTCAATTTCCCTTTGACATAATAACCGAATTAGTCTCATATTGTCATACATAAATTACTAGCCAGTCAGGGTGCCACCAGAGGGAGAGAGAGCTGGAGAGAAAGCGAGGCGTGAGCTTCCAAAGGGGTGTAACTGTGACAAGCAGGGACCTGAATAACAATGGAAGACCAGAAGGGTAACAGCTAATCATATCTGACAAACGAGGAGAATTCCCAGGCTGCGGCAAAGGTAAAGAGTGTTTACCTTCCTCCCCATGCCCCTGGCCATTAAAATGTCACCATGGGGAGCCTTGCACCTTACAAGAGATACACAGATCTAAATATCTTCTCAATTAAGCAATGCTCTGTTTGCAAAGGCTGCTTTCAAAGAGGAAAATATAATTTTGTGGAACTCCGTTGAAGCCTCTTGGCCTGGAGACAGCGCTGAGCTGAGCGGGGGACTTGCATAATGCCTGGTTTGGAGTACAGATGCCCATCCTGGGCCCAGGGGGCTCAGCCTGGCTGATTCTGAGCACAGAGGCAGCATCCCAGCCTTGCCTACCCAGGCCCTGGGGGTGATTGCAGGCCAGGAGTCGATTGCGGCCAGATCAGAGCCAGCTGGAATGAGGTTCTCCCACCTGTCCACCAGCCACCCAGTCCAGGCCAGAGCTCTGGGGGAGCTCCTTATGCCTGCCCCTCCATTTCCTCCAGCCCATCTGTCAGTTCTGGTCAAGTCTTCCTCCTAAAAGCTCTGGCCTCTGGCCTGACCTCTGCAAGTGGACGCCCACATTCCATCTTGCTGGGGCCAGTGCCACAGCATCCTGACCGGTTTCCCCACTTTCGATCCTATCTGACAACCTTTGCTCCACTCACCGCCAGAGTTTATCTTGCCAAAATGCAAATTTGATGGCAGTACTTCCCCCAGTTACAACCTTCTGGTAGCTCCCTAAATAGTAAAGTCCAAACTTCTCAGCGTTTCCTGTAAGCCAAACAGGACCTGGCCAGCTTGCCTGTTGCCACAGGCATAACCCTTGCCTAGCCCCTCACACCTCATTTCCCAGGCAAGCCCCTGGGATCTTTCTGAGCTGCTCCTTAGGCCTAGAACATCCTTCTCCTCCTTCACTTAAGCACCGTCTCCATGTAAAGCCTTTTCCTGTCCCCAGCCCTGGTCAAACCTATCACTGTTCTCACCGACCTCCACTGAGCCCGGCTTTCTCCTAGCATGGCCCCTAAAATGTTTTATTGCTGTTTGTGGTCTACTTTATCCATCTCTGTTGCTAGATATCAGGTTCTTTGAAGGCAAAGATGGGATCTTATTCATTGCTACAGTCCTCTATGCCTAGCATAGAGTAGGAATTTGATAGATGCTTGGAAAATAAACACTCAAGAAGGTGTGTGAAGCCAGCCCAGAGCAAACCAAGGGCTCTCATACTCCCCGCGCAGCTCTACGTGAGGGGTTTGTGCAGGCCCATCACACCCACCCCGTGAAATTTCAGTTTTTGTTGCATGCCTGCCATGAGCCCAGCTTGGGCTAGGAGCCATGTGACTTAGGACTTTTAGGTTCTTCGCCTGCGGCAGATGGTTAGTAAATGTGTAAGAGATTATCTGCTATGGGTTCTGTTCTCAGGAGCCTACCGCTTGTGGGAATAATAAAGAACAGGATACAATCAAGTATTCCACAAGATCGCAAGATCCTAGATAAGCAAGGAATGTATCCTATTCATTTCTACATCTCTGTCCAAGTTACCTGCATCCCCCAACATGGTCTAGCAGAGCCCCTGTTCAGTACAAGTTGTAAAACTATGGAAATAAATGTGGATTTCATCTATAGTTTATCCTAAATGTAGTTTGGGGGACAAGAAAAGACCTGTCAATTTGTCTTTAACTTTTTATTTGTATTAACATCACCACCTTCTTGATTTGTTTTCAATCCTGTATTAGAGAAATACTTTCCCTTTATGTTTCTATTTAATTTGTAGTCTTGCAAAATCTCAAAGACTTAAGTGGCTTTAGAGACAATTTATTAAATAGTTGGACTTGGTGGGAGTAGAATCAGGAAACAGCCTTTTGTCCTGTCACTACAGCCATTCAAACCAGCTCTCTGAGTGCCCCCTCCTCACCCCTGCTTAACACCCGCCCCATGGTATGCAGATCAAATCCCTTAACCTTTCAAAGGTTCTTGACTATTAACTCTCTCCATTCAATCCCATTATAAAAAAATCCAGATTGACCTAAATCAAAACTTCACTCTCTCATTCAATTTAAGGCTTCTCTCCATCCCACCCCGTCCCAGCCTAGAGAATCTGCAATGGGTAGGAAACCAGCTTGCTGCTCATTCTCCCTCCTGGCCTTCCCCTTCTTCCTCCCTCATGGTCTGTGCATACCCTGACTCCTTCAGGGTCAGGGCAGGGAGAAAGGTTACCTTTTTTTTGATTCAAGCTGTTGGTGGTTCTCTTTGGCTATTGAATGGCCTGGAAGATGTCCAAATGCAGGCTTTCTCCCATGTAGGTTCTTTAAAATATCCCTGGGAAAGCTCCACCAGGCAGTTCCCCAACAGGGCAATGGGCTCCCCACTGATCTCTCACGACTCCCCTCATCTCCAATGCAAGGGTGACCCACACAGCCTCCTTGGTCTCCTCTTCTAGCCAGTTCTCAGGGCAGCCATCTTTCAAGACAGCTCAAGCCTCGTTAATCTCTACTGGCCCATCCGGCCTTCAGGAGATATCCTAAGCCTTCAAACTCTGCCCACGCAGGCAGCTCCCAAGAGCCTCTCTCAGCTCCACTCCAGCAGAACTAGGGACAGGCCTCTGACTTTCTACAGCTTAAGTACCCAGCAGTGGGTGGGGTCAGGTTTCCCATTTGTAGTCAACACCCTCTTTCAATATGTGATTTTCCTGAAGCTTCCTTTACTTGGCTTGGAATGGACAGGGGATGGGAAACTCATTGTATTCCCCAAAAGACTCACAGTCTCAGGCCTTCTCTTACCAGGATGGGGTTGGCTGATGGGAGAGGGCTGTGAGCCAGTTTTTCTCTCTTGATAAGTCCGCGGCTACGTCTGACAATACTTCTATTGGGCAGGGTTCTGGTAGGAAATAGACAGCATACTCAAAGGGGTAATTGGACAGAGTCAAAGGGACTTTACAAAGGTGTGGGGAAAGTTCAGGGAGCCACAGGCCATGGGGAAGTATCTTGAATCTAAAAGGGCAAGGGCAATGGGAAGTTTCTGGAACTTTGGGAGATCTGGAGCTGTTGGACTGGTGCTACAGCCTTTAGCAGAGGGATTCAGCCACCCTTGGACCGTGACCAAGCAGAGAGGGAAACAGGGAAATAAATACCTTGGCCTCTCTCCTCCTGCCCTTGGATCTTCTGCAGGTGCCTCCCATTGGCTGAAGCCAGTGCAAAGCCTGAGGTTGAGGGAAGCCAGTTGATAATATTGGTAGCAGTCAGCCTGGCAGGACCAGGATAGAGAAGAATGGTGCTAGAGGGGTATGTTGGGAAATATCCAGTACATGCCCCTCTCTTTACAATGCGCAAGAACTTGTCACGTTTTCCTCTGCTCAGAGCTGCAATGACATGAGTGAAAGTCCATTTGACAACTAATAACCCATCGCACACTTGTCTTTATCTCCTCCTCTCCTCTCCTCCCAAAGGCATGGCATCTGCATCCCCAGTATAGACTGCAGAGAAGTGGGGAAGGCCTGGAGCCATGATGGCAGCCTCTCACCTTCTTCAAAGAGTGGCTTCCTTCTGAACCTGATCAACACTAAGGCCGCCCACGTGCAGACATCAGCTGAAAACCGCATAACCACAGTGCAAAGAAGATTGGAGTGAATGTTTGATTATCTGCCATTTGAGATTCTCTAGGCCTCAGCACCCCCATTATTAGCACACATAATTAAGAGCTGGCTCAGGCTTGCTGGCTGAGGAGCCCTTCAAGAGGCCGTGGCTATAGAAGGAAAGGAAACAATTGGGTCGGTGATGCCCAAGGTGGAGGCGGCATTCTAATTTGACTTTGGGGGCACAGGGATGAGACGCACGGTGTCCCCTCCCTCATTTGCTACTCTAAGGATTGCTAAAGGCGGTGTCCAGCCCAGGTGGCACGGGCTTGTGGGCAGGGCTGCTGATTGCTGCTGGCAACCAGACTTCTCAGGAGAGCTGGCTTCTCCGCAAAGTGAGGACTGACTTTGAAAGACTCATTCATCAATGTCAGAGCTCCTGCAGACAGGATGAGGCCCAGTGTGGATGGGAGTATACTCACCAACACATCAGCTTCTTGTCACACAAACAAACAATCATGGCTCATACACCTTAATGTTCACCTTTTCCTTTCCCACAATCAGGTGGAGTCAGGGGAGGCAAGGGGAGGGATTATGGGGACACAAGATAGGAGCGAGGAAGGGAGCACTGGGCAACTCAGTCACAGAGAAGCAGGTCCCCAGGGAAGAGCCTGCTGGGCCCACGGCCTTGCCTGGGAGGACTGGAGATGGTTTGAGGTCAGCCCATACTGCAGACTGTGGTATGAGACACCAGGGCCACCAGGCACCTGTCTAAGCTCAAGCTCTAGCTGCTGTGAGCTGATGGTTGTAATGATTAACTTTAGGTGTCAGCTTGACTGGATTAAGGGATACGCTGATAGCTGGAAAAGTGTTATTAGGTGTTTCTAGGAGAGGTTAGCATTTGAATCAGTGGACTGAGTAAGGAAAATCTGCCCTCATGCAATGTGGGCGGGCACCATCAAATCGGCTGGGAGCCCAGATAGAATAAAAAGGCAGATTCTCTGTCTCTCCCCTCTTGAGTTGCTCCACACATCTTCTCCTGCCCTTGGACATCAGAGCTCACGGTATCTGGCTTTTGGACGCTGGGACTTGCACCAGCAGCCTTGACAGCTTCTCAGGACTTCAGCCTCAGGCTGAGAGTTACACTGTCAGCTTCATATTTCTCAGGTCTTTGGATGTGAACTGAACCATGCTACCGGCTTCCCAGAGTCTCCAGCTTGCAGATGGCCTATTGTGGGAGCCAATTCCCCTAATAAATCCCTTCTTGTAGATACATGCACATATACACTGATATGGTTTGGCTGTGCCCCACCCAAATCTCAACTTGAATTGTATTTCCCAGAATTCCCACGCATTGTGGGAGGCACCCAGGAGGAGGTAACTGAATCATGTGGGCTGGTCTTTCTCGTGCTATTCTCGTGATAGTGAATAAGTCTCACGAGATCTGATGGGTTTATCAGGGGTTTCTGCTTTTGCTTCTTCCTTATTTTTTCTCTTGCTACCGCCACATAAGAAGTGCCCTTTGCCTCCTGCCATGATTCTGAGACCTTCCCAGCCTTGTGGAACTGTAAGTCCAATTAAACCTCTTTCTCTTCCCAGTTTCGGGTATGTTTCTATTAGCAGCATGAAAACAGACTAATACGTACACAGACACACACATTACCCTATCGGTTCTGTTTCTCTGGAGAACCCTGACTAACATGCTGGCTAAGAGCATAAATGTTTCCATCAGACAGACTTCCATTCAAATCCTGGCTAGGCTACCCCCTTGTCTTGTGACTTTGGAAAAACTGAGGCTCAGTTTTTCTGACCTGTAAAATGGAAATGATCAATCTCAAAGGCTGTGCTGAGGATTAAATGAAGTAATATATGCAAACTGCCTGTTATCATACTTGGCACACAGTCTGCAATCAATAAATGACAGCGTTAGCCATTATTGTTACTGTTGGCAGGCCCCCATTCTTCTTGCTTAGCCAAATCCCACAGGGTGGCAATCTTTGTCATTTATTTATCCAAAAACTGTTTACTCAGCACCTCTCATATGGCACTGGAGAAAAAGAGGCCTCAAGAAGCTCTAAGTCCAGCAATAGAGCAGAGGAGTAGAGCTAACAGCTGTGACATGGGGTGGCCACAGGAGGCTGTGGGAGCACAGATGAAACCTGCCTGGCCCAGGCAGGGATGGGTAGGGAGGCCTGCCTACAGGAGGTGGCACCGGAGCTGACTCTTGCAGGATGAGTGGGTGCACCCAGGCAGTCACATTGGGGAAGCCGTTCCAGGCAGAAGCAACAGCCAGAACTGATGAGGAAGACAAAGGAGAGTGGTGGCTTTGGAGTGGCCGCAGGTCAATGACAGGTGGAAAAGTAGGAGATGAGCTGAAGAGGAAGGCATCATGCTGGACAGAGGCATCTGGTTTGTATCTGCAGGAGCAGGGAATTCCAACAAAGGACAGCCAGGAGCAGAGGTCATCAAATAGCCCTCCTGGACATCATCATGACTTTGCCCAAGGTGGCTGAGACTTGCTGTCCTGGAAGCTGTCCAGGGAGAGCCCCAGGCCTGGCCCTGCATCGCCCACTACTCCCTGAAGTGAGGTCAGCCTGACCATCTGGGCATTGCTGCCTGGGAGTCAGCCCTAGGGGGCCCAGATTACCACTACTACCACTACCACCACCACCTATCTCCTCCTGGAAGCTGCACCTGCCTAAGACAATGCCTGGAACTTTGAAGGAAAAACAGCCCCGGTCCATCCATTTGCATCCACCCCTCGGAGGAGAAGGCCAGGCCAGAGTTGTGATTTGCCTAGGCTGCCAGGAACTGGTGGATCCTCTATAGAGGTGGCCCCCAGGCTTTCAGATGGCACATCTCTGCTAAGGGCACATTAACCTTCCTTGACTCTGACAATTGTCCTTCTTGGAGACAGCAGCTGAATCCACAATCCAGTTCTACATATGGGAGGAATGGAGGCCCCATTCCCTCTAAAGTTCTAGCTGATGCTGTTCGGTGACAGGCCAGCTGCAGCCTCCACGCTCTCTGAAAATTGGATGTCTTGAACAGCTTCGAAGTTCCACACTGCCTCTGCAAGTGACAAGGGCTACAGGCCAGAGAGGAAGGCGAAGTACTTAATAGAATGGGTAGAGGAGGGATAAGCATTTGGGACTAAATTTTTAATCCAAGCCCTAGGTGATCTCAGAAAACTCACTTAACCTTTTTGAGCCTCAGTCTCCTCTCCTGCATTACGGGGATGACTGCATTACTGGCAAAAATTTATTGTGACAATGATTGTCTATGTTTCCCAAATAGGGAACTCTGCCCCTGAGCCTACATGGTAATACGGTGAGAAGTACATATTTTCCTAAGGCATATATATTTTATCCAAAGATTTTAGAGACAAGCATATTTTAAAACAGATAAATATATATTCTGGAGAAGCATATAACATTTTAATTAATTATAAAGACAAAATTTGAATTATTAAAGAAATTCTACTTTGGCTAGAATCTGGGCTATAGCCAGACCTTGGGACCCTGCTTCCTGCTTCTCTGTCATTGGGGATGTGTGAACCAGTCCACTGAGAGGCCCAGCACACGGAATCCCTTTTGTGACACAGGGCAAGTGTTAATATCCACTGCCTGAGAGTGGAACATTCGAGGCTGTGTGTCTTTGTGGCCCATTTTGCCCATGAACTTTTTTTATTGTAACCACAACTATCTAGTCCATCTATCCATCTTTGATACAATCATAGAAAAACTATGGGCATCAAAGGATACTTCTCCTTGGAGAGTGAATATCCTGGGAATAATTCAGAGAAGAGGACGGGAGGGAACCAGCCAGGCTGGAGGAGATAAGCAGGAGGAGATGGGGCAATTGCTGGCATAGGAGACAGACACCTGGAGAATGATACGGGGGAAGGCGAAATCTAAGATCCAAGGGCCCCAGGGAAAAATGGAGGCAGAGCCACAGTATGGTGCGGGTCACACAAAGAGGGCTCAAGACCACCTGCAGCCACAGGCCAGGTGGGGAGCAGGAGCTGCAGGGAGGGAAATGATGGCCCATTGCTAAGTATGAAGATGACCTCTCTAGGTCTCTGACACTGATTTATCCCTGCCCTTTTATTGTAGACCCAGTTTAACAGTCAGTCCTCTGTGTCCCGTTGATCATGTTCTGCCAGGTTTATGGAAAAGCCATCTCAGCCTAGCCTCTGACTGTTCTCTTTCCTCAAGCTTAATACTGCTCAGTTTAGGGAACACAGCCATCTGCTTGCTGGAAGTGCATGAGCCCAGAGATGCCCCAGTTCTTTGAGTTGTGGCCTATGCGATCGAAACTGGGGAGGTAGAGACTGCATGCAGCTTTTATGAATAACAATGGTGAAGTATATTTAAATGTATAGATTTTTAGCAGCCATACAAATGTTGAAAGGGAGAGGGGAAGCCCATACCCCAAACTCCGTGTAATTCATTTTATTCCAACTGAAGTGCACAGTTACAGGCCTGGTGCTTGCCATCGATCAGTTTTGATCAAGTGGCTGAGAATAGTTCTTAATGCCTGAAATTCTTTTCTATTTTTTCTTTTTATTTTTTAAGTTCTGGGATACATGTGCAGAACGTGCAGGTTTCTTACACAGGTATACATGTGCCATGGTGGTTTGCTGCACCCGTCAACCTGTCATCTAGGTCT